>NC_000002.12:2434242-2737272 GCF_000001405.40 Homo sapiens | reverse complement strand
CGAATATCCCAGCTGCTCCTGCCCCTGATGCCACTGCGAGGAGTTAACAATCCTCCAAAAGGAAAAAAAAAAAAGGAAAAGAAAAGCAAAAAGGAAAAAAAAAGAGTGTGCTGTCTGAGGTAGTTCTTGTCTTAATGACTTTTTCCTGGCTCAAATCCTGTTTTCGCTAGGATTATTAGTGACTTTCCTGGAATTTTTTGTCATGAAGCCTCTGGGGTCGGTTGTCCACTGTGGCGAAATGCTGTCTTGATCTGATGTCTGTGAGCTGGGAGCCTGATATGTGCTATTTTATCTCTGCACATGGTCTTTCTTTCTAAGATGAGATTAGCATGGCTTTCCATGGTTTCAGGGCTGTGCCCTACAAACGCCCTTGCCAATGTGTCCATCTTCCCCGGGCTCTGCTCTCTGAGTCTGTGTCCATCTTCCCCGGGCTCTGCTCTCTGAGTCTGTGTCCATCTTCCCTGGGCTCTGCTCTCTGAGTCTGTGTCCATCTTCCCCGAGCTCTGCTCTCTCTGAGTCTGTGTCCATCTTCCCTGGGCTCTGCTCTCTGAGTCTGTGTCCATCTTCCCTGGGCTCTGCTCTCTGAGTCTGTGTCCATCTTCCCTGGGCTCTGCTCTCTCTGAGTCTGTGTCCATCTTCCCTGGGCTCTGCTCTCTGAGTCTGTGTCCATCTTCCCTGGGCTCTGCTCTCTGAGTCTGTGTCCATCTTCCCTGGGCTCTGCTCTCTCTGAGTCTGTGTCCATCTTCCCTGGGCTCTGCTCTCTGAGTCTGTGTCCATCTTCCCTGGGCTCTGCTCTCTGAGTCTGTGTCCATCTTCCCTGGGCTCTGCTCTCTCTGAGTCTGTGTCCATCTTCCCTGGGCTCTGCTCTCTGAGTCTGTGTCCATCTTCCCTGGGCTCTCCTCTCCGAGTCTGTGTCCATCTTCCCCGAGCTCTGCTCTCTGAGTCTGTGTCCATCTTCCCCGGGCTCTGCTCTCTGAGTCTGTGTCCATCTTCCCTGGGCTCTGCTCTCTCTGAGTCTGTGTCCATCTTCCCTGGGCTCTGCTCTCTCTGAGCCTGTGTCCATCTTCCCTGGGCTCTGGTCTCTGAGTCTGTGTCCATCTTCCCTGGGCTCTCCTCTCTGAGTCTGTGTCCATCTTCCCTGGGCTCTGCTCTCTGAGTCTGTGTCCATCTTCCCTGGGCTCTGCTCTCTGAGTCTGTGTCCATCTTCCCTGGGCTCTGCTCTCTCTGAGCCTGTGTCCATCTTCCCTGGGCTCTGCTCTCTGAGTCTGTGTCCATCTTCCCTGGGCTCTCCTCTCTGAGTCTGTGTCCATCTTCCCTGGGCTCTGCTCTCTGAGTCTGTGTCCATCTTCCCTGGGCTCTGCTCTCTCTGAGTCTGTATCCATCTTCCCTGGGCTCTGCTCTCTGAGCCTGTGTCCATCTTCCCTGAGTTCTGCTCTCTCTGAGCCTGTGTCCATCTTCCCTGGGCTCTGTTCTCTGAGACTGTGTCTATATTCCCTGGGCTCTGCTCTCTCTGAGTCTGTGTCCATCTTCCCTGGGTTCTGCTCTCTGAGTCTGTGTCCATCGTCCCTGGGTTCTGCTCTCTCTGAGTCTGTGTCCATCTTCCCTGGGCTCTGCTCTCTCTGAGTCTGTATCCATCTTCCCTGGGCTCTGCTCTCTGAGCCTGTGTCCATCTTCCCTGAGCTCTGCTCTCTCTGAGCCTGTGTCCATCTTCCCTGGGCTCTGCTCTCTGAGTCTGTGTCCATCTTCCCTGGGCTCTGCTCTCTCTGAGCCTGTGTCCATCTTCCCTGGGCTCTGCTCTCTCTGAGCCTGTGTCCATATTTCCTGGGCTCTACTCTCTCTGAGCCTCCCTGTCACCATCCCTCAGGGCTGATTCCTCCCTGGCCAGCTCACAGGCTGGTTTCAGGAGCCTCTTCACAGTCTGCATGCTCTGCTTCTCAATTGTTGGCTCAGGATACGAATGGAGAAATGCTGCCCCATGACAGGCTGTGTGTCTGCTGCTCAAACTTCAGCTGTGGTTTCATCATCCCAGCCAGTAATTTCCCAGGAACCCACCTCCTATTATACCTCAGAACAGGTTCCTTCCCAGCACCCTTTCCCCGATGATGAGGCATCGCAGGCACTTTCAATTTACGATTGTTGCCTTAACACCCCCGGGCTCTGCGGGGTGGCTGCGCTTCACAGTCATTACAAATTACAAAGGCAACAATTTGTTGAACACCTATTATGTTCCAGGCATTTTCCAAAACGATTGCCTAGCAGGCATTTATTTCCAAACCTTACACGAGATGCCCCCTTTTTTCTTAAATTGTGGTAAAATACACATGGCATAAATTTTACCACTTTAACTATGTCTAAGTGTACTGTTCAGTAGTGTTAGGTATATTCACATTGTTGTACAATCAATATCCAGAACATTTTTATCTTGAAAAACTGAAATTGTCCCCGTTAAAGAATAACTTTCCTCTTTCCCTCAGCTCCTGGCAGCTGCCCTTCTACTTTCTGTCCTTATGAACCTGGCTACTCTAGATATTTCACATAAATGGACTCACACAGTGTGTGATTTTGTGTGTGTGTGTGTGACTGACTCCTTTAACTTGGCATAATGTCATCAAGTTTAATGAATGTTGTGGCATGTGGCAGAATTTTCTGACGCTGTTCTCTCTATCCTTTCCAGCCCTTGTTATTTTCTGTCTCTTTGGTGGCAGCCATCCTAACGGGTGTGATGTGCCTTCAAGGGCCTCTTAACAGGTCGGGGCATTGGGACCAGCCACTCGGACAGGAAGGACCAATACGGGAGCAGGTTTGTGGACAGAATCTGACCAGTCACTGCACCTGGTCCCGTGAGTGTGGGGCTCAGTCCTGTGGCTCATGTCATGCCCTGCAGGCTGATGTGAGGGACAGGCCATGGCCAGCGATGCTTGTCTCTGCTCCACGCTGTTCACAAACTCGTTAGTAGCTGAGACTTACTCCCCACAGTCCCCCACTGCCTGTCTCTTCAAAGCAAGGCCGTTTCTCACACTCAGCCTGAGTCTCCTTGAGTGGGGCCTTTCAACAGCCAGGGCCCCTTCTTCCCTGGGCAGAGACGCCAGACCAATCTGAATAATGGCACCCCGTGTATGTCTGTGAAGTGCAGGAAGGCAGTCGACAGGCCAGCCTCACCCTGGCCTCCATCACCCTGGGGCCCGGATGCCTCTGCCCGCTCAGCCTCAGTGACCTTAGGGCCTCTGGGGTAGAGAAAGGAGGGTGGATGCACTGAGCTCTCTGGCCGAGTGGACATGCCGGCCAGGCCAGGCTGTGACGTCATCCTGGGTGGGGGCTGTCGAATGTTGCCCCTGGTGGCTTGGAGAGAGTGGGTTTCTCATGGGTTTCACATCAGGCGCAGGTGGGGCAGGACTGTGGTTTGCCGTGAAGCAGCTGGAGGACTGAGGGAGAAATGGGCTCTCAGTGAGACACAGCTCCCTCCTGTCTAAAATGGGGACGTGGTGGTGCCCCAGGCCAGAGAAGGCAACCCTGCTCACAGTCACTGTCTATATTGGAAATGGGGTGAAGGGTCTGCAGACGCTTGTCCCAGCTCTGACATTACCCATTTGTAGAACCTTGGACCAGTGAATCAACTGCCATAAATCCCAGTTTCCACACCCGGGAGGTGGACCCCTCAATGCCACACACGCTTCCAGCTGGCTCAAGAGACTGAGCGAGACTGGACTCGCAGCAGCCGGCGTGGTGCCTGCACACGCGTGTGCGGTGGTTCTCAGCAGGGGGCGGCGCGGTGCCCGCACACGCGTGTGCGGTGGTTCTCAGCTGCCGGTTCCTGAGTCTTCCTCTCTTTCCATCCAAACTACGCACTTGCTTACAGCACTGAAAGTGCGATGCAGTCTCTTGGGGCCTCGCTTTCATCCTATGGGAGATCTTGGGCTGAAGAATAGTATCCAAGGACAGTTCTGACTTTAGTACTTGGGTTTATTTTATTTTTTTTGAAAAAAGCAATATTCATCAAACTATACAAAATGTTGCAATTAGCTTCTTATTGTCACTGAACTCAGTAATGAAGGAATTGAGAATTTTGTTTTCCTTTCATCATTTTTATGTTTCCTTGTACGCTGTAATGAATGTCGCCACTTACTCTCAGGTAACTATGTGGAGTGACATGAGCTAATTACATACTTTGTAACCTCCAATCAGCAGAATCTCACAATATATCATGATAATGCCCTTGTATTTCACTGCAAGAATGCCTGGCAGAATTGCGGGTTAATTATGCACACCTTTAATAGAATCATGGTGTGGGGCAGGAGTGGGGGCCTCAGGAGAGAGAGATGCGGAGTCAGCTCCTCTGCCCTTCCCGGTCCTGACGGCTGCACGGTTGTCCTCTGCTGCCAGGGAGGTATATGTTGGTTGCATTTATTTATATAATTATAAAAAGCCCTTACCCTTGCAAAGCAATTTATACTGAACAAAATATATTCATAGGTAGTATTTCATTTGATTCACAAATAAACTTAGGAATTGGTAGACAAAGGAGGAATGTTACTATGTTTATTTTGATGATGATTATTTTTTTTTTGATAAATGAAACTGTGGCTCAGAAGCTATGAAGCTAAGCTCTGGCAGAACCGGGACTCAAACCCCTGTCCCTGGACCCGGAACTCCGGGCTCTTCCAGGACCACGTCTCCTGCAAGAGAGTTTTAGACATGGGGAGCAATGGCCAGCTGAGCTTCCTCCATCTCCGGCCACCCATGGCTGTCTCTGCCACATGTGGTCACACGTAGGACATCCTTTTATTATCTTCATCACCCTCAATGATGTCCGTGTCTGCTCATTCGCTTCCCTGTCATCTCACGGCGGGTGCATGGGGGCATTGCTTTCTGTCCTTGCTGTCTGAGGCCATCCTAGAGACCCGAGTTGCTGTGGGTGTCTGCGAAGCCCATAGGCCCCTGCTGTTGAGGAGAATGTGTTCCTTCGATGTTGGAGCAGATCGTTTTCTCTCTGAGCCCTGGCTTTCATTCCTGCCATTTCTTGCTTTCCTCCCACTGTGAGTGGCTGCGTCTTGCTGGGGTCGGCCGGTCACTTTCACGTTGCTGTGTGTCTCACTGAGTATCTGCATCTTGCTGGGGTCGGCCGGTCACCTTCACATTGCTGTGTGTCTTACTGAGTATCTGCGTCTTGCTGGGGTCGGCCGGTCACCTTCACGTTGCTGTGTGTCTTACTGAGTATCTGCGTCTTGCTGGGGTCGGCCGGTCACCTTCACATTGCTGTGTGTCTTACTGAGTATCATCTTGCATGGCCTCCCAGGGGACCAGGCCACATGCGTGTGAGGACCATGTGGAAGTGAGAGTCCATGAGAGAGAGTCTCAGACAGGCGTCGGAATCTCTCCATGGCGTAATTCTCTCTGACAGCCTGGAGCCGCCTCTGCTCATATTCTGGGTCTCAGCTGTGTCCCTCGTAGCTTAGGGCACTGACTATGAGATCTCTGGACAAGCGATGTGTGTCTGTCCCCACAGTGCCATGACCTGTGAGCTGAGGGAGCGGCTTCTCATTGACTGAGGCAGCAGCGCAGATGAGCGGATGCCCTGTGAGCAGCCACAGCCAGCACCTCCTCCACTAGTCCATTAAAAAGATCAAGTGTGCGTGGGGGGCGTGGTGGGTGGGGAGGGCTGGAAAGGGCCCCCTGAGCATTCATGTGGCAGGTGGTCTGTGCAGACAAGACTCGTTCATGTTCACGATGCCTCTAGGAAGCAGGCGCCGTGCTCTCACTTCACAGATGGAGGGGCTGGGGCTTGTAGGCAAAGCTGCTCTCTATGCCCTGCTGAGATGTGGCCGGGGACAGGGACCAAGCCCTCTCCACCCCTGCTGCCTCCTTCCCCAGCCTGGAGAACTCCAAGGACCAAGACTCCAGCTGGCTCCCAAGGCCTGGTCTCAGGTGTGCCACGGCCAGTGTGGGGTGAAGGGAAGGCCGCCGGACGGTGCGGGGTGTGCAGAGGCTGTGCCGTGAGGTGGCTCCTGTCGGAGGGGAGCCCAGACTTGGGCATCACTGGCCGCCCATGATTCTGGCAGCTGCTCCCCAGGACAGTGAAGTAAATGTGTCATCTGCCTCTTCCAAGAGTCGCTCACCTTTTCTCTCTGGCAACAGCTGGGGTGGACTTATTCGTTGGAAAGGTGCCTCAAAGGACAGCTCCCCTGATGCAGAGAAAGCGCTCACACCTGGTAGTCCCCTAGTCCTGGGAGAAGAGGGCCTCATTTCGGGGTCTTTCTTCAGTGAAATGGGGATTGCCTTGTCCTGGGGTCTGCCCAGCTCTGAATTTCCTCCCTTCCAGGAGGTCTGGGTGCCTCCTGTCCAGGGTATGAGCCCTTGAAGGAGCTTTGGAAGGGAAAAGAGCAGATGTCGCCTCTTGCCCCAGGTCTTCGCAGGGCAGGAGTGTGCCTGGTGGTGCGGACCTGGGGCCTCCCTAGGGAAGAGGGTCGGGGATCAGCAGCCAGAGGAGGAAGAGCTATGAGGTGAGCTCTTTCTTCAGAGATGTTTGCGGAATTTTACCCTCAGGAAGTTAAAGCCGGGCAAGGCTGGGGCTGTGGCACCATTTGCCCAGCTCTGGGGTCACCATCCTGAGGCCCAGGTCACAGCGGGCTGGTGTAGGAGAGGAGAGGCCTGGCCTCTGGGGCACTGTGGGAGTCTTTTCCCGTTCAAATCCTCTTATTCATCCAGCGGCAGCTCCTGAGCGTGGCCCTGGGGTACGCAGTGGGTATATCAAGGCTTGACACGTCCCTGTGGAGGGGGCAACTCCCACCATGGAGGGAGGCGTGCAGCGAAGGGAGGATGTGGAGGAGGACAGCGGGGCCTGATGGCCGTTTTCTTGAGACGTCTGAGAATTCGAAGAGGCTGGTGGGCAGAGCCCGTGGGTCCACCCCGCCCAGGGGAACACACAGTGTCCAGGGAAGACGTATTGGCAACACCTGCCAAGGGCCAGATGGGGGCCATATGCGGCCCTGGAATGCACTGGCCCATTCAGTGCCATGTGGGTACCTTCACAAAAGCCCGAGTGTGCCAGCAGCTGGACGGGTCAGGCGGGCATCCTCCAGGCCCCACATCCCTCCTGGCAGGAAGCCCTCCCTGCTGCAGCCCCGGGCAGCTGTGCCTCCTCTCCCCCGCACCCTGATGTCTCCCCTCACTCTTTCTCTCCAGTCTGGAATGAAGAGATGAGAAGCTGGAGCTTCTTATGTGAAAAATAACCCTCCAGCCATGGCTGCGTCACCAGGCACAGGACTGCATCCTGTGGTTTCGCCTAGAATTCTTGACCAAGGCATCCCTCCCCGTGTTCTCTCCTGGCCTCCCTGCCTTCTGCTACTCAATCTCCAGTAGCCCAGCTACCTCCTCACTCCACCAACCTCTTCTCCCCGACGCTGACGGTGGGTCACTGTCACTCCCTCCCTCCCTCTTGACTACCCCTGTTTTTTCTCCTCCCTCTCAGGCTTTCTTCTGAGCTGTTTTGTGGGCCCCACCTCAACACAGAGGCTGGTATTTCTTGGGTCTCTTGTTCATCTGCTTTGGGCAGAGGTGACTGCAGGCCTTTGGTGACTTTGGAAATGTTGCAGCAATGAAGGCTCTGAGACCTGGATACCCGATGGCACTAGACTCAGTGCCCTGCACAGAGCTCCTGCCCAGTGCGATGAAGAATGAAGTGGGCACCGTGGCCATCTGCACGTGGTAGCTCAGGGAGGGGAAAGGAGTCCAGTGTCCACCATCACTCAGCTGCTCACTTTCCCGCTGGTGCCTGCTACCCTCCTGTCTCCTCTCTGCCCTGCGGGCTCCTCCCTCCCTAGCTGGGAGGGGACAGATGGTCCAGGTGTCATTTCCTCCAGAGCTTGGACAGAGCCGGGCCCTCCCTGCCCCCAGGAGGCTGCCCTTCTGTTATTGTTAAACATTCGGCAGACTCACCACTCCGTGCAGGGCATGAGGCCGCATCCTGGATTAAGAAAACAAGCTCTTGGAGGGGAGAGACCTTCCTTATTTCCTGTGCATCCCTCATAAGCAAAGTGACAAGCAGGTCACAAGCAAGTGGCCCAGCTCGATTCACGTTTGGAGTGTCTACTTGGGGGCAAGACTCGTAGCCATCTGCAGCCACACAGGCCTCACACAAGGCCTCATTCTATCCTTACGGCAACTGGGGGAAGAGTTCGGGAAAAGCTTTCAAGTACCATCAGGCCTGTTTCCCAGAAGAGGAAATGGATGCTGATAGCAGCTAATTTACCTGCCAAAAGCACATAGTAGGGGGCACGGTCAGGACTTTAACCCTGAGCTTTTGACTCCAGGCCCTAGAGTCTACAAGCTCTTTAGGAAGCGTACTCCCTGGCCAAGTGCAGTGTTTCACTGGCTTGGGAATTTGACACGCGTAGGCAAAAGGGTCACAGTGAGCACACCTGCACGCGGGAGGGACGGGAGGAAGAAGGTCGGCATCACCCGGGGCCGTGGCCCTCCGGCAGGCCATGTCTCCCTCGTGCCCCAGTGACCACGAGCGCCCACTCGTCTCTGCTGCGGAATCCCTGCCAGCAGGCAACGGGTCTATGGGCTGTGGTTTTTTTTTTTTTTTTTTTGAGACAGAGTCTGGTTTGATCGCTGAGGCTGGAGTGCAGTGGCACAATCTTGGCTCACTGCAACCTCCGCCTCCTGGGTTCAAGCGATTCTCCTACCTCAGCCTCCCGAGCAGCTGAGACTACAGGCGCGAGCCACCACACCCAGCTAATTTTTGTATTTTTAGTACAGACAAAGTTTTACTATATTGGCTAGGCTGCTCTCGAACTCCTTACCTCGTGATCCGCCCACCTTGGCCTCCCAAAGTGCTGGGATTACAGGCACGAGCCACCGTGCCCGGCCTGGGCTGTTTGTTCACCATTGAGAGAGGCTGCTGAGATCCCAAATAGGCCCTGCTGAGACCACGCCTGGCAGGGACAGAGATGAACAGGATTAAACGCAGCACAAGAAAAAGGCGGAATGGGCGGAGGAGGGAGAGGCCGGCTGCCAGCACAGAAGCCCCAGTCGATCCGTGTGTGGTGTATGAGTCCTGTGTGCAGCCTGTGTGTGTTTATGGATGGTGTATGCGTGTGTGTGATGTGTATTTATGGGTGGTCAGCGTGTGTCTGTGGTGTGGTCTGTGTGTCTGGTGTGTAGCTCCAGTGTGTTTGTGTGTGCTTGTGTGCACATGTGTGTTGTTGTCATGCAGTGCATGGGTGTTATGTGCGTGCTTATGTGTGGTGTGCATCTGGTGTGTGATGTGTTGTGTGTAGTTATATATGGTCTGTGTGTCTGGTGTATGTGGGTGCTTCTGGACGCGTGTGCAAGTGTGTGCTGTGTATGCTTTGTGCTGTGTGTGTCAGCAGTGTGTGGGTGTCAGTGTGGCCAGGAGAGTTGGTTGTGGGGACAGCTGCTTTGTCACCAATTCACAACTACCCAGGGTGCAGAGATTTAAAAGCTGAAGCTTTAACAGCTCCACGTCCCTGAGAGCCATGGGGGACTTTCTGTGAAACAACAGCCCACCTGGCTCCCTCCTCCAGGCTGTGCCCTGAGGGAGCATCAGGCTGCGCTCCTGAGTCTGCACCCCTGCTGGGTCCCCGCCTTGGGGAGTGGATCTAGGGGGTCACTCTGTAGGGAAACTGAGTGACAAGTAGGGGCCTGGCTCAGGATAGACCTGGTAGCCTGGGGATGCAGGTGGGAGGTGCCCACGCTCCCAGGACACCTGAGTTATGACAGAACCCACTGCAGCAACAGTGTAGGCATGGCTCAGACACGGGCTGGGCTCCGGGGAGGCAGGGAAGGGAGTCAGGCAAAACTCTGGACAGCACCTTAAGGCACAATTCATGCCTTAGATGGGAAGACCTTCTACAGTGTGCGGAGAGACCCAGCGAGCAGACTGGGCTAAGTGGGGGCCACAGGACTGGGAGGAAGGAGACAGGGCCAGGAGGCAGGCAGGCGCCCTGAGCAGATGTGTGTGAGCAGGGCCGATCGGACCTCCCATCCGAGGGTCTCCAGGCCCTCCAGGTAGTGGCCTTTGCCACAGCTCCTCACCTCAAGATGGCAGGGGGAGCAAGCTGGGGGGGAATGTGGGGGGCTAAGGGCCACTAACATTGCATAGCTAGCAGAGCAAAGCCTCACTATGGTCAGGTCAGACGGTCTGTGGAGATGGGAAGCAGGTTGGGAGAGGAGCCACGGGCCCAGCACAGGCTGGTTCTGCTGCCCTGCAGCGGGGTTTATGAATCAGTGCCAGTGCAGACAGTGTGGACGCGATCCCTTTCCTAGCCCCTTCCCTCATTTCAAAACAACTGTTTGCTTTTCCTTTAGGTGCGTCATTAAGGACTTATCTTAGATGGAAACGCCATGATATGCAGAATGGGAAATACCAAGTGTACAGGATGAGCCCCTCTACCAGGCTTGTGGGTGGGGCGTGCAGTCAAGTGCGGTAGCCAGGGCAGAGCGGAAGGCAGCAAAGGCAGACATGCAAGGGAGCTGATGTTCCAGGGAGCGGACACGAAGCAAGCAACACGAACCCGTGGTGTGATGTGATGCGGAGGTGGGGAAAAAAGCAAGAGGAGGGATAGAGGTGATGGGTGGGGGTCAGGCTGCCAGAAAACCATCTTGGAGGAGGTGATATTTGATCAGAGAGGGAAATAAAGGTGTGGGTTGTGAGGAGATTAGGGAGAAGAGTGCCCTGGAATTCGGAGCAGTGGGTGCGGTCAGGGCGAGGTGGGGTGGGACTGGCCTGAAGAGCAGACAGCCACGAGGTGAGTAAGAAGGGGTGCGGTGAACGCGGGGGTCTGAGGGGTACAGACCCCGGAGTGCGGCCCTGCAGGTGCAGGCAGCAGTGCAGGTTTCGTGCCTAAAATGGCACCTTCTAAAGCAGTACATTAGTGACGTAATCTAAGTACATTTGAGAACCACGCAGCACACAGGTCAGATGTCAAGGGGCAGAGGGGATGTTGGGAGGGGAGCTATGGTTGTAATCCAGGTGGCAGGAGATGGCTGATGATTTAAGTGGTAGAGGTGAAGCAGGGAATGACATGTAGATTTCAGAGACCTCACTGGTAGACAGGATGCCACTTGGGAGGGAAAGGGAAAACTAAAGAATGACTGGGTTTTTGCCAAAAGTGTCAGGAGTTGTGGTGCCATTTGCCGAGGTGGGAAAGACTGGATGAAGGTGACCTTAGGAGAATGGAGAGTAGGGCTCTGCCTTAGAAACATTAAGTCTGGGGCATCTGTCAGCCCAAATGCAGCGATGCCCACTTGGGAGCTGGATGCACAGCCCTGGGTCAGGAGCTTGTCGAGGTGAGAGGTGCAAGCTTGGACGTCCATAGCATCCAAGTGATGCTCAGTGTGACAGTCCTGGAAAGTCCACCTGGGAAGTGGGGAAAGGCAGAGATGAGGATGGAGAGCAAGCTTGGAGGTCAGAACATGAGGAGCCATTGGGGAAGGAACCTGAGAAGCAGTCAGCAGTGAGGCGAGGGGAGGCCAGGGGCATGGCGCCCAAGGGAAGAGACATGTCAAGGAAGCAGCATTCAAATCTATGAAACACATGTCAGTGTTCAAATGTATTGAACATTGCTGCCATTCAAGGAAGCTGGAGACGGAGAATTCTTTTTGGATTCGGCTAGAGGGAACTTTTTGTTGCCCTTGATAAAAGCAACCATAGGGGACGGTGATCAGGGTGTGTTGAGGTGAGAATGGAAGGTGAGGAAGTGCAGAAAGGACAACAGGTGACAGTTTTGTAAGAAAACGGGGTAAAGTTAGAGACATGGGACCTATGGGTTTCTTTCCCTGTTTTATTAAGATGGTAACTGTCATGGCATGGTTATAATCTGGTGGAAAATGGCACAATACAGGGAGACGCTGATGTGGAAGGGGGAGAGGGTGAGAGTAGCAGCAGCTTCCTTGAGTGGCTGGATTTCTAGGCAACACTGAAGCGTCACTAAAGTCTGTGTTCTACATTTAAATTTAAAATGAGAATGGTCAGCATGGTTGTGTGTCTGTGGATGTGTGGATGTGAGTGTGTAATGCTTTTGTTTATCCATGGATAAGGAGAGCTTGAATTTTTCCGGGTAAATGAGTATCTTGGAAGAAGTATGGAAAAAGATTTGCCAAGGTACACAAGCAGTGCTGACATTGATAAGCCACGTCTTCTGATCCATTCACGATGGAAGTGAGGCTATGGGGTTGTGGGCAGTAGAAGCCTGGTGGGGTGAGTGGATTGGAGGTTACAATGGGGCCAAACATGAGCTATCTTGGAATTTCTAGAACAAGTGATCTGGAAATGATCTGGAAACATGGACAGCTCAATGGGTAGGCTTCTAAAACCAGACTTTGGAGGCTACACACTATTGGTAATGCAAAAATCTAGGAGGGTGTGGCTCTGCAGTGAGAGGCTCATTCAAGTGGGGACACCATTGGGGGTGGTTGAGGGGTGTCAGCATGGAGGATGGAGTTAGCCCAGAGACAGGACTGGTGACGGGAGCTGTCGTAAGTGAGCCAGGTGCTAAAAAGAAGCCAGTGGGGTGCCTCTGAGCTGGTGAATGACAGCAGAAAGCAGGGTAGCATGCAGCAAAGTATGATGGAACCTGCTTCCAAGGTGGGGGTGGGGTTGTGAAGGAGAAGGAAAGAGCAATGGCTGGGGAAGATCAGGCAGGGGAGGTGCCCACACCACCTCTATCCTAGTGGTGCCTTGGGTGTGGGAGATAAAAGGGCATGGCTGGAGAGAGGACTTGGTGATCGTAAGTGAGATCCACACTTCAGTCGGAGGGGGAAGTAGATGGAAGACTTAGGGAGGGTGTGGGGATGTGTGATTGACAGTCCGTGCCCATCAGAGAGCAGAGAGAAGGGGTGATTGGGACTGGGAAAATGTGTTGAATGGGAAGAGACGATGCATGTGAGTGTGGTCACGGCTTTGGGTGATGACAATAAGTTAATAGTGGGAAGGCTTGGTTTTTGAATTGTAACAGGTATGATAGTTTTATTTTTGGTCTTTAAGGCATGGGGCAATCATGTCTAACGGCAGCGCCTGCTATGGTCTGAATGTTGAGGTCCCCACCCCAAGTTGATGTGTGGATCCCTAATCCCCAGTGCAGCGGTGCTGGGAAGTGGGGCCTTGGGGAGATGGTTAGTTCCTGAGGCAAAGCCCTCATGAACGGGATCAATGTCCTTAGAGAAGACATCTCAGGGGCTTGTTCTGCCATGTGAAAACCCAGAAACAAGGCACCATCTATGAAGCAGAAAGAGCCCTGGCCAGATGTCACATCTGCTGGCACTTTGATATTGGACTTCCAGCTCCCAGAACTGTGAGCCATACACTTTTGTTGTTTATAAGTTATTGAGTCCAAGGTATCTTGTTATAGCAGTCTACGTGGCTTAAGACAGTGTCCTTCTTAGAATGGGTATTTACCCACTTGCAGAGGTGCAAACAGTGCTGACTTGGTGGTGGTAAGATGGACGGAGAGAGGACTGGCCAGGAGCACGTGAGGCTCTGGCGTCACTTTGGTGCAAGTGGAGATGGGCTTCCTGCCATGGAAGGGAGAGGATATGAGGACCAAGGGGAGTTCCCGAGATATGGAGGGACTGAGATGGGAGAAGTTGCGGCTTGATGAGGGGCAGTCTTCCCAGGGTCACACGGGATCTGGAGGACCCACGTGCACCAACTGTTGTCCTATCTGAGGTTTGGGAAACTTCCAGGCCATTGTGTTTGACTCTGGGTCCCAGTTACTGGTTAAAGCTCTTGCTGAAAGTCAGGCATTGGACCAGGGGATGCCCTTTAACCTGGCCAGGCTGCTGTAGTTCAGAGATGACAGGCTCAGCCTTTTGAGATTTTTGGGGAGGCTGGAAAGAAGGCCTGTCATCCAGGGACACGTTGGCTATGCTTGAGGGTGTGGCTGGAAGAGCATGGGCTGTGGAGGCAGAATGAACTGGATTCTGGCCTCTGACCTCTGGTTACAGCTGTATTTTCACATTTAATCATCTCCATAAATGTGTTTCCCGACAGTGTGGACAGGAATGCAGGATGCACATGCTGGTCTACTGTGAAGGTCAAATGCAGAGGTGTGCTTTCACCCGCTCTGCTTTGCAGATGAGAAACTGTGAAACTTAGGGAGGGCAAGTGACAATGTGACTCTGAGATCTGAACCCAGGCTCACCCAACTTTAAAAATTCTGATGCCTTTCCTATCCCATCAGCTGCCTTTGGGTGCTACTAGTTCAAGTCTCTTTGGAAACGGGACTTACAACGATAGGCTCTTCTCCACATGTTCATGAAAGGTAATTGCAAAGTCATTGGCAGGGGCCCCGTGGGAAGTGGCCTAAGCACCTCTGCAGAATCCCATCTGTCTCATGACCACTGGCGGTGTGATCCTCCATTGGGATGTTGTGGGCGCCTGCTTTGTGCCCCAGTCTATCTCATGACCACCGGCAGTGCGATTCTCCATTGGGATGTTGTGGGCGCCTGCTCTTTACCTCAGTCTGTCTCGTGACCACCGGTGGTGTGATCTTCCGTGTGATCCTCCGTTGGGATGTTGTGGGCGCCTTCTCTGTGCCCCAGTCTGTCTTGTGACCACTGGTGGCGTGATCCTCCGTGTGATCCTCCGTTGGGATGTTGTGGGAGCCTGCTCTGTGCCCCAGTCTGTCTCATGACCACTGGTGGTGTGATCCTCCGTGTGATCCTCCATTGGGATGTTGTGGGCGCCTGCTCTGTGCCCCAGTCTGTCTCGTGACCACCGGCGGTGTGATCCTCCGTGTGATCCTCCCTTGGGATGTTGTGGGCGCCTGCTCTTTACCTCAGTCTGTCTCGTGACCACCGGTGGTGTGATCCTCCGTGTGATCCTCCGTGTGATCCCCCGTTGGGATGTTGTGGGCACCTGCTCTGTGCCCCACACTTGCCACGCGCTTCTCATGGACTTTCCCTGGATGCCAGGGTAGGTGATAAGCATGGGGTCTGAGCACCCCAAAACCACATCCAGACTTGATTTGAGTTGAGGAAGGCTGAAAGCAGGGACAGCTATGAATATTGAGCCTGGGGGCAGGGTACCCGCCTCCAGAAGGTCCTTGGCTGTGAATCAAGGACTTGACCTCAGTTTTGGAGAAGCTGAGGTTGTAGGCAGGAAAACAAGTAAGAGGCTCAAGGTCTGACGTGATCTGGAACCCAGAGGTTGGTTAATATAATAGGACATTAGCCTAGAACTTGGTAAGAAGCTCAGTGGAGACCCTGGCCCGTGGGCCGAGGCTTTATCGGGGCCTGGAGCAGCCGTTCTTCACCTTTGCTGCACATGAAAAACACTGGAGATCTTTCAACAGTCCTGGTGCCCAAGCTCTCCTAAGACCAAATCACTAGGGGTGAGGTCCAGGTTTCAGTATCTTTTAGAGTTCACTGGGTGATTCCATTATGCAGCCAAGATTGAGAATCCCTTGCCTACTGAAGGGGAAGCTGGAGCAGGTGCCGGCGGTGTGGCCGGGGTGTGGAGGTGCAGGTGTCGGTAGCATGGCCAGGGTGTGGAGACGCAGGTGCGGGCGGCATAGCCGGGGTGTGGAGACATAGGTGCCGGCGGTGTGGCTGGGGTGTGGAGGTGCAGGTGCTGGTGGTGTGGCCGGGGTGTGGAGGTGCAGGTGCCGATGGCATGGCTGGGGTGTGGAGACATAGGTGCTGGAGGTGTGGCTGGGGAGTGGAGGTGCAGGTGCTGGTGGCGTGGCCGGGGTGTGGAGGTGCAGGTGCCGGCAGCATGGCCAGGGTGTGGAGACCCAGGTGCGGGTGGCATGGCCGGGGTGTGGAGACATAGGTGCCAGTGCTGTGGCTGGGGTGTGGAGGTGCAGATGCTGGTGGTGTGGCCGGGGTGTGGAGGTGCAGGTGCTGATGGCATGGCTGGGGTGTGGAGACATAGGTACGGGCGGTGTGGCTGGGGTGTGGAGGTGCAGGTGCTGGTGGCGTGGCCGGGGTGTGGAGGTGCAGGTGCCGATGGCATGGCCGGGGTGTGGAGATGCAGGTGCTGGTGGTGTGGCCAGGGTGTGGAGGTGCAGGTGTCGGCAGCATGGCCAGGGTGTGGAGGTGCAGGTGTCGGCAGCATGGCCAGGGTGTGGAGGTGCAGGTGTCGGCAGCATGGCCAGGGTGTGGAGGTGCAGGTGTCGGCAGCATGGCCAGGGTGTGGAGATGCAGGTGTTGGCGGCATGGCCGGGGTGTGGAGACATAGGTGCCAGCGGTGTGGCTGGGGTGTGGAGGTGCAGGTGCTGGTGGCGTGGCCGGGGTGTGGAGGTGCAGGTGCCGGCAGCACGACCAGGGTGTGGAGACACAGGTGCCGGTGGTGTGGCTGGGGTGTGGAGGTGCAGGTGCTGGAGGTGTGGCTGGGGTGTGGAGACGCAGGTGCCGGCGGTGTGGCTGGGGTGTGGAGGTGCAGGTGCCAGTGGCATGGCTGGGGTGTGGAGTGTGGTGCTGAGCTGGGGTGGGAAGAGAGGCATGGACCAGTCACCTTGGGATCTGAGACTGCCCCACTGCCTGCTTGCAGAAGAAACACCTCTGTTTTCCCATGCTTGCAGGAAAAACCTGAGCCCCTTCCCAAACGACCTTGCCTTTCTGTGATTTCTGCTCTGGCTTCTCTGCAAAACCTCCCACTCTACTTACCTCCCCATGTTCACTGATGCTGCTCCTGCGTGAGACTCTTATTGTTCCCATTTACGTTGTGCTGTCTCAGGCTCCCGCACTGCATCCGTCTCTCACCTGACTCCATCGTCAGACTGCAGAGGGGAGGCGAGGGCGTTCCTGGCTGGATTTCATGGCTTCACCTTCGGTACTGAAGAAAAGGCCAAGTTCTGGGATTATGCATGCCACTGCTTGACTACTGTCTCCTTGGTTTCTTTGACAGACATTTATCCAGCACCTGCTGTGTACCAGGCTCTGTTCTAGGTGCTGAGTATACAAGAATGGAGAAGTTCACCTAAAATGTTACCATCTTCTCTACAATATCTTACCTCAACAACACACTCTTGTGCCTGGATTGTTGCAATTGCTTCCGAATCAGTTTTTCTGTCTCCACTCTTAATGTCATTCAAGACTTTCTGCACCTGACAGCACAACAGTCCCTCCAAAGTGTCACTCAGCAGCTTAACCCCCCCACACTGCCCTCGGGAGCAGCCCCCCAGTGTCTCACAGGGCTGAGATGATGCCCTCCTTGACTTGAACCTTCATGCTTCTCAGAGAAACGCCTTTCAACTTGGTGCTGTCAGACCCACGTAGACTCTGCTGAAGCACAGCCAGTTCCTCTCAATTCTCGAATGAGCCACCTTCCCTCTCACCTCCAAGTGGCGGCTCACGCTGTTGACTGCCTGCACGATGTTCTCCCTGGCTCTGCAGTTAATTGCCTGTGTATCACTCCTGCACCATGGAGAAGGCAATCAGAAACATCCTTCCTCCTCATGTCTCCAGCGCCTAGGGTAGTGCTTCCTCCCTGGTAGAATTAGAAGTTTTAATTGAATTAATAAATGCCTTACTTAATTACAGTGTATACATTTTGCTGTTTACTTGAGAAAGTTAATGTCTCTAGGCTACTCTGTTCTCATTTTAAAAACAAGACAGTAATACTTGTCTCAAAGAGTTGTTATGATATTTGAAATAAATTACTTTTGTAAAGTAGCCTCAGATAGGCAAGTCAGACAGCCACATAGCAATTGTTCATCCAATGCCAGTTGCCTACCTCCTTCCACAGTGGGAGGCAAAAGGTTATGTGTGTTATTTCTCTCTCTGGAGTGGAACAAGCCCATAGTGAAGGGTTCAAGGAGTGAGCTCTAGCCACGCTGCTGGCCTCAGGAAAATCCCTGTCATCTCCATGCCTGGCATTGTCCTTCCTTCCTCACAGAGGGAGGCAGGAAGAGGATGAAATGCACATGGTCACACTGGGCATTCTCTACAGTGTAAGAGTTCATCACCTGAGTGTTTTGGCCTCTTGAGTAATCTAGAAATATAGGTTTTAAATCAATTGCGTCATTGCTTTTTCTTCCAAATCATAAATAAAATGGTCAGTGTAGCCCACCTCCCCCAGTACCATTGCCGTTTCCCTATGATCATGATGTCTACTTCCAGCACCATGGCCAGTTCCAGTTCAACATGCATGACGCCGAGATGATTTTAAACACAATTATACTCAGCTTCACGGAAACTCTGAAACATCCTGTAACTCACCCTTCATGAGAGTCTGCGTTCATTTGTTGTTATCCCTTTGCTTAAGGCTGTTTGGGGGATACTTCATTCATCCAGCCCCAGGCATGGGAAGGCGCTGTACTCAAACCCACACAAATTTTGCAGATAACTACAGCTGATCAATTTGATCGGCAAAACTTAAACACACAAAAATCATTTTGAATGTTGAATTAAAATATTTCTAAAATGGATAGCACACTGTCTCACCTACATTATATGAGAAACGTAGTGTAATTACTTATTGATGATATCACATATATATCAATTATTCCATCCTATAAAACAGAGTTACTCTTGGTAGCTGTGGAGCTGTATTACACGGTTTCTCCATGCACCAAATGACCTAAACATCTAATGATTTTTGAGTTTCATTGGAGTTTATTTTTCTTCTCTTATGGCAAGCCGTTGGCAGTTTTTGCAAGATAGGTTGATGGGTGGTTTATTTTCTTCTAATTCTTTTTCTGAATTTTAAATAAAAATATATAGTTAATGCTCATTTATTTAGTGGAAAGTATTTATTTTAAGTGAAGTAAGTTCTGATAGAGGTACAGATCACATACATCTGGAAAACAGTGAGAGGAATTATTATTTTGGTGCTGGGATTGAGGGCCTCTGGGGAAAGGCATGGGTCAGGACTAACTTCCTTAGTGAACTCGTCCCTTAAAAGATGGCAACAATGTTGATAGACGAAAAATCTAGGGGCGAATTCTTCTAAGAGAAATAATGTGATTCAAGCTGCAGGGCCACATTCAGTGTGTCCCAGAAGACAAATGTCCCAACCCTGGCTCTGCCTAGCAGCTGTGTGCCCTTGGGCAGGACCCACCTGCCTCATTTGTAAATTGCAGCCAACACTGACAGGCTCCTCATGTCACTATGAGGCTGCCCAGATCGGAGAAAGAGCCCCAATTATTCAGGACTCTTTCATGAGAGACCTGAAGACCTGGCATATTTTCATTACAGCGTGTTTCCTAGGAGTTACCCGCAAACACAGATTGTTTTAAGGCTCAGGAATACTGCAGGTGCATGTGATGTTGAGGCTGGAGGATCCTTTATTTTGTTTCCTTGGGTCCTTAAGATTTCAAAGGTATAACTTTTCATATGTCCAGTGACCAGAGGGAGAGGTTCTCCTCACGAAGGCATTTGTATCTAACCTACTCATTACATTCTCGCTGCAAACATTAGTCTCATATTTGACAAGGTTGCAGGTCAGGGCTGGCATTCCGGGCTCAGAGACTCCACATAGCAGCAGCTCTTCCGTCAGAGGAGGGCATGGCAGGGGCTGAGGCAGGACTGCCCAACCTTTGAAAAAGGGCCACAGCGACAGGCATGAAGAGCAGCCGGATGCCAGATGCTGCCACGTGGAAGCACAGAAGAAAAAGAACTGGCAGGTCAGGAAACTCCAGGTAAAAAGAGACATCTTGCAGAGGAGTGTGGAAGCTGTGGAGCCTCCCTCCCAGGGGAGTTCTGCCAGTTCCCACAGTTACCACCACGCACACCCCAGGAGGGCCCGGCTGCTCGCTTGAAATCCCATGTTCTTGGTTCTCCTGTATCATAGAGGTGACAGGGTGACATTTTAAAAATCCTTCACAAATCCTAACGAGAAACTAGGAGGGAAAGATTATAGGTTAAAAATAGCCAGTTTCCATAGTGCTGGGGCTTGTGCCCTATGCTGACTGCACTTCCAAAGGTCGCTGCAGCTCCTGGCCGGACCTAGGGGATCTCTGTCATCTTGTGTCCCCTGCTGTCTGTGGAAACTGGCCTCCTTTCCTTCCACTCCCCACCTGCCCAGGTCTTCCTGGCATTTCAGGGCTGTGGACTCCCCCTTCTTGGGGATAAATTCCGCAGGTGCCCAGGCTGCCCACTTCTGCTTGGCCCCGCAGAGAGGCACTGGCTTGAGATGGAGGTGGGGAGGTGAGGGAAGCCGGCATCCTCCCTCTTCTCCTGCCCTGGACGGTGACTGACAGCTGCTGCTGCTCCCCCCTGTGCCTGCCTGTCACTCAGGTCTCATGGGGTGCTTGTCACCCCCTCTTCTTTCTCCCTTGCCTTGACGTGGTCCTTGCCGCTCATCCCTCGGGGCAGTGGCTCCTCTTGGCCGCCCTTTGGCTCTGGCTTCTCGGCCTCTCCATCCCTCCTGGAACCAGCACCCTGCATGGAGTCCCCTCAGCCTTCCAAGCTCTGTGTGGCGTCTGCTTCTCACTGAACCCTCGTACACATGCGGCATCACCCATGGCTTCCAAACTGTCCTCTTGCCCTCCCTCAAACTGTCCTCTTGTCCTCCCTCAAACTGTCCTCTCGTCCTCCCTCAAACTGTCCTCTCGTCCTCCCTCAAACTGTCCTCTCGTCCTCCCTCAAACTGTCCTCTCGTCCTCCCTCAAACTGTCCTCTCGTCCTCCCTCAAACTGTCCTCTTGTCCTCCCTCAAACTGTCCTCTTGTCCTCCCTCAAACTGTCCTCTTGTCCTCCCTGCTCCTGGGGTGGCCTCATTGTCAATTCGAACTCATGTTTTTCTTCTTCCCCCTCCAGTGAGATCTTCCCGGATTCTTACTCTTGCTTCCAGCTTCTGACCCAAGAGAAGCACCCGGTTCACGAATGATTCCCACCAGTGCCAGCATCGTGCGCTTCCAACTTTCCCAATTTCAGGTCCGTCACTGCAGCAATAAGGAGGGATTCATCGGGTGAAAATATTTCTCTGTGGGGAAAGTGGAATCGTGAAAGTCTTCCCACGTGGGGCTTCAGGCTAACGGTGCACCCCTCCCACAGATGAGCCTGTGCTAGCTCTGGGGCTCTCCCCAAATAGATGCTAGCCACGGAGCCACAAGTTCACTTAACATTCAAAAGAGCATTTGCTGAGCACGTCAGGCAACAGTCTTGGTGACTGGGGTACGTAAGTTTGGGGAAAAAAAAAGACAAAGTTACACTGGTTTACAATCCATTGAGGAAAGACAGAAAATGATAATATTTAAGCTAGCTAAAAAGCATTAGAATTTAAGTTTGGGGGAAATCAAAATAGAGGGTAGAACCGGGTGCAGGGTTTGGAAGTGCCATGGGGTACACAGGGGTCATCTGTATTGCACAGGCCAGAAGGAGTAAGCACCATGGTGTAGGAGTTACTTGAGCAAAGGTGCTTTTAGGAATATGGAGAGAGCATCGCAGGGAGAAGGTGCAGAAGGCACTCCCCTGTGGCCTGAGTGGGGGAAGGTGACCAGGGAGGACGTAGGGATGCAGTCAGGGCAGCATCAGGGATGGGTCAAGTAGAACCCCGCAGTGTGTGATGGACACTCAGCCTTTTATCCACAGTGAACTGGGGCTGTTGGGGAATTGAGGGTGATATTCTGGGATGTGGCACCCTCAGCCCACGTGGGGAACTGGCCGCAGGAGAGGGCAGCTGATGTCCACGCCCTGCTAGGAGCTCCTGGGTCCTCCAGGCGGGGAGACTGGGAAAGGGGCGTGGTGTGGAGGTGGAAAGAAGTGACCCCACATTGGCACAGTCCGTGGGGGAGCCACAGGGGTTCCTGACCAACCGTGACGTGGAGTGTGAGAACCAAGAAGGCCCCACGTCTTCTGAACAATTGTGGGACATCACTCCCGAGGGGCAGATGCTGAAGGAGGAGGATGGTCGTGGAGGGATGTCAGGAGTCCCTTGTGGAAAGCTTTCATTAGAAACATCTGAAGTGTGGAACAAAGAGGATTCCCAAAGCTCAGCCACAACAAGGAAAGTCTCCCCTAGGCCCCAATGCCTGACCATGCCCTGAGAGAGGGGCTGTTCCTCTGCCAGAGGCCCCAGCTTTCTGGGTCAACAAGCCGGGGACTGACAGGGACATGCTGCATACAGAGGTCCCCGCAGCGCATCTGTACCCCTCCCTCCTCGGTGGGCATCTGTGGTGAGGGAGGGTCACAGGTACAGACACAGCAGCCAGACCCACTGCACTCTGAGGCTGCTCCCACTGCTGGGGCTGCCTTAACAGAGGGGTGGGGACGGTGGTGATGATAATACGGAGGTTTACAGAAATCTTAAATTCTTACCTGGACTGGGGTTAACACCTGAACTCTCTCTCTCTCTCTCTCTCTCTCTGTGTGTGTGTGTGTGTGTGTGTGTGTGTGTGTGTGTGTGGGTAAGGATGGTATTTAGTTCTCACTTTCCGGGGAAGACTGTCCCACTCCAAACACAAATGAAAATCTGATTCTGCTATTCATCTTCGAAGGCTGATATAAAATACTTTCTCCTGAATTAATGATTCCTTGTTTCCTTCAGTTCCTTCAGGCTAATGTTCAGATTGTAGTGGTTATTTCATGAAACCATATCAGAGCTATTACTTTCTCATTAGATTATGAACACCTTGGGAACAGGGATCGTGTGAATTCAACCTCCATGCCTCGCATCATTCCAAGCACAGTCCCTGGCACATCATTGATATTTGGTCAATGAGCAGATGGATTGTGCAATAAACAAACACACCAGAGTGGAAATCTGTGGTCGCTGTGGTTTTCAAAGTTGGGCAATGGGCTTGGAGTAATGCTGCAGGACAGCTTCTTATGCCGATGGCAGTGCGAGGAAATTTCAGCAAATCCCATCTGAAGACGTATTCTCTGCTGGCCATTCCTGTTCTGCCGCAACACTGCTATCCCCAGGTTTCCCATGTTTTCCCTGATTTGACAGCCTAAGGGCTACTCTACTCGACAGAACACCTTCCCCAGGACCCCTTCCCCAAGACCCTTTCCCCAGGCTTCCACGGCCACCCAGTTGGGTTCAGCCAACGATCAACACCACAGGAGGACTGGGGATGGGAGAAGCGAGGTCTTGCTATTTTTTCATCATCTCCTGCTGGTTGGGCGGATGCCCCCATGACTCCAGCTCCCACCAGGTGGGCCTCCCCAAGGCTCCAGCTGCACAGGCCTTGCTTTTGCCTTCGGATCTGAAGAGTGGAGCCCTGCTCCTGCGAGTCTCCGTGCTTCAACATCTCCCGTTGGCTTCCTTGACTCTGCCATGTTCTGGTTATTAAAGCCTTTGGAGCATCCTGGGTTAGTTGTGTTTATTTCTGGAAACTGGAAACCATTTGTGCATGGAGTGTTGAGGATTCCCAGATTCTCCACAGACCTGGTGGCCAGTTAACTATGCATCTGTTTTGAATGATGCCTCTGTCTCCCTGGCTCTAGATCCTGATTTGGCCACAGATGCCGTGGGTGTGTAGCACGTGCGTGTGCAGAGTGGGTCTTTTAGAAATCAGACTTGATAACTAGTTTGTGGAGCCCACTGCATAGGTGGTGAGTCCCTGGGGTAAGAGCACCCAGGAAGTCACCTTGCTTTTTGCTTCTGGGTCCTTCCAGATCCAGCTTTCCTCTGGTCTCCACCCAGTTGGTGAGTGTCAGAGACACCTCCCCTACGGAGAGATGCGGGTCCCCCCTTTCTCATCATCCTCCAAGTCTCTGCTCCACACCAGTCTGTGCTGTGTGTCTGCAAGGTTCTCTGGGCGAGGGCCCTCCCATTCCCTGTTCCTCTATCCCAGCTCAGTTCTCTAAGTATCCACCCAACACAAGGGCAGCGCCCGGGCTCTGCCACCCAAAAGCAGATTGATAATTGTTGTTTAGCCATTCATTGGTGATCCCATAAATATCAATCATTCCATCTTATAAACCAGCGATACCCTTAATAGCTATGCAACTGGGTTAGGCCATTTTCCCTTCTGTAAATGGCCTGGACGTCTTATGATCTCTGAGTTTCAATGGGGTTTATCACTCTTCTCTCATGAGAAGCCAATGGCAGTTTTTGCAAGGTAGGTTGATGGGTGATTTGTTTTCTTCTTTCTACTTTTGTGATTTCTTAAATGAAAAAATATGTAGTTCACACTCATGTTATTATTGGAAAATATTTATTTTAAATGAAATAAGTACTAATCGAGGTACAGGCTAGCATCCTCCTGGAAGATGGGGCAAGGAAGGGTCTTGGTGGTGGAATAGAGCTCAGAGCACCGGGCGTGTGTGTGAGGTGGCGAGAGACAGCTGGACATGGGAATGGCCAGGAGGTATTGTCTACGGACTGGGCACCAGGCACAGGTGCTTTGGAGGTAGAGAAGAGGGGCCCGTCCGGTGTTCTAGGAAGGCCTTCTAGAAGGGATAATGCTTGAACTAAGCCCGTAAAGAACAGGGCTTAGCCCAGGCGGAAGCCAGGAACCAGTGCTCTGGACAGAGGGGAAATGTTGATGAAGTGTGTCATACACAGGATTTCACCAGCGATCTGGTATTTCCAGGTCAAACGTGAAGTGGGAAGAAGGAAGATGGGTCTGGAGGAGGAGAGAAGGCCGTGGCTGTTCCTAAGGTGAAGGGGGTTAGAAGCTAAGATCTTCCATCATGGGAGGCCAAGAACAATTTCAGCAGGGGTTTAGCTGCCACTTGAACAGAGCACAGGAGAGGCATGGGGAAGGGTAATTTAAAGGAAAGGGGTCTGGAAGAAGAGAGGCTTATTAGAGATTATTTTTAGGATCTCTGTTTACTTCATCTTCCAAATTAGGACGCCCTTGTTCCTGAGAAAGGGCACTGCTGATGGTTCTGCCAGGACAACAGTCATACACTTGGGTTTTACCAAAGGAAAACAAAGATGTGTGGAAACCCAAGCGGCTGCAGTAGCGGGAGATGTTGGCAGAACAGCAGCTGGAGGACGTGTGGGGAAGGAGAGTGGAGTCATTAGCAGTGATGACCGACCAGGTGCGGGCAGTGTGAGAGGCAGGGACCACAGGAGGACGCAACTTCCGACCTGGCTGAAGCAGGGGGCATGAGGCTCAGCTGCTGTGGGGGCTGACAGCATGGAGCCCAGGAGCCTCCAGAGCCGGAGCCCGGAGGCATTGTCTGGGTGAGTGATGGAGACTCAGGGGCAGCCAGCGTGGAGGTGGGGCTAAGCCAAGGAGAGGAGAGAGTGAGCAGAGGGGGCACATTGTGGGCAGGAGCCACTCAGAGACCCCCAGAGTGTGCACAGAGGAAGAAGGAGCAGAGCAGGAGGCCCGGGAGAAAGCAATGCCCTGCACAGTCCCTGCCGGCTGGGAGACCCACAAATCCCAGTCTCAAAGAGATGACAAGCTCTAGAGAATTATCTAATCATATAAAGTCATTTGAAACTACTCAGAGGCCGTATCCGAGCCTTCCAGAGCAACAGGATGCATTTATAACCCATCAAACACTCCCTAGGATTTCCGTTCCCAAATTCCTGATTCCTTCTGATTCCAGAGGCCATCTTAGGCATCTCAGTCCTCAAACCCCTAAAATTCCCTTCCTGCATCTCCTGGGCCACACTTCCCTTCCTCAGTTACCCTCTAGTGTGAGGAACCTGCCACCCTGTCCCCCACCACACACATACACACCAGTACATAAGTTCCTTTTTATGTAGGAGGAAGATAATTGGATGAAGGATATTGGATGAAGGATCATAGAATTCTCTTGAAAAGTCCAGGGAATAGTATTTGGTTAATTTGGTTTGTTATGCATAGGAGACAAGGAAATACATACTTCTAAAGATAGAGGGAGAATTCAACAATGTCCAGAGTGTCAGGAAGTCCCCAGAGTCTACTGGGTTTCACACTTGTGGGATCAGAGGTGGCTTTTTCACGGCGTTTGGGTGACGTGTGTAGGGGTGGGCTCAGAAGCCCAACTGAAAACAGAGACATGGAATGGCTGCTAGAAATGACAGGATTCTAGCTGCAGGGGGTGTTGGTGGTTCTGTTTGTATGTTTGTACAATGAGAAAGACAAATACCTGATTCTAGGATGGCAGACCAGAGCTCATAGAGAGGGATGGTTTAGAGACAGGGATCTCAATCACATTCAAGCCCCTTTTTTGCTAAAAACATAATCTTCTGTTTTCTGTCTCAAGGGAGATCACAAGTCCCTGAGCTGTACAGAACGCTCCGTCCACAGGACAGGGTCTTCCCTGCTCCATTCGAGTGGGACACGTTGTTGGCTGCCCACTCCTCAATGTCCGTGACGCAGGTTCCAACAAAAAATTCCAATAGACCACGTGGAAGGTCTTTTAAAAACTTATCTGGCCGGGCACGGTGGCTCACGCCTGTAATCCCAGCATTTTGGGAGGCCCAGGAGGGTGGATTACCTGAGGTCAGGAGTTCAAGACCAGACTGGCCAACATGGTGAAACCCCGTCTCTACTAAAAATACAAAAATTAGCCAGGGGTGGTGGCACACCCCTGTAATCCCAGCTACTTGGGAGGCTGAGGCAGGAGAATTGCTTGAGCCCAGGAGGCAGAGGTTGCAGTGAGAGAGACTGTGCAACTGCACTCTAGCCTGGCCAACAGAGCGAGACTCTGTCTCAAAAAAAAAAAAATTATTTGATAAGAACTGTCATCTCTTTCCCTCTCCCAAGGAGGTAGTGGCCATTTGCTGATGGGGAATTTTACTCTGATTGAACTTCCTTATGTGGGTAAATGGGTGGGGTGCCTCAAGGATAGCGGCATTCACATCAGAAGGAAAAAACTATTTCCCAACTCCTCTCCTCTTTGGTCCCTGCCAGTACTGTCTTCACTGACTAACAAGACAGAACGGATCATCTTCCAATAGCAGCCCTCTGCTTGTTCCCAAATTCTATTTGAATATCTCAAGCATGACTCTGGGGAAACGTACAGTTGCTTCCAGCCAGGAGGGGGAATCCACAGCAAATCCTATTCTACACTGGCCTCTGGATTTGAGATGCCTGCGTGTCAAGCAAAGTCCACCGTGGTGGCAGAGAACACCCAAGGCCTCCCTGACATAGATGGTGGCTGAGCCCCTCCCTGCTCCCACCAGAGACACAGGAGAGACAGGCAGGAAAGAGAAGGTCTCTGACCCGCTTCTGGGGGCAAAGGAGCCGCCCAGATTGCTGGACAAGCACGCGGGTGTGCAGGTGTGCAGGCTGGGTGCATCAGCTCCGCCACAGGGAGGGGAGACGCTTTTGCCTCCAGAGCCAGCAGCAGAGCCGGGTCCTTCACTTCACAGTGGGCTCGAGGCTGCTCTGGCCAAATGCTGCAGGAAGCGGACAGAGAAATGGAGCCCCAGTGCTGAGGATGCCTGTTCCTGACTGAGCACGTCCTGGAGTGGGGGGACCTCGGGAGGCAACGAAGAGACAAGGAAGATGCTGCTGTGCTGAGAGGAAGCCCAGATGCTTGTCGGTTCATCCGAGGGACTCAGGGTGTCCTGCTCTGGTGTCTTGTCAACCCTCATCACCCTGAGGGTGACACCGAGGCTCTCGAAGGGGACGGGACCTGCCCATGAGTCACAGCCCACCTCGTGTTTCCCACATCCAGCTGCCTGCTCTGTGCTAAGCACCTCCTTGTGTCCATCAGGGCCTAAGGGCCACAGACAACACAGAGGTTACGACTCTTAAGGGGCGTTTCATCCAGGGTCTACAATACTGAGGCGGGTGGAGGGACCTCAGGCGATGGCGATGGTGGTTCACCAACCACAGGGCTAGTGGGCAGGCATTGGTCGCCGCTGCCTGGCCTGGGGCACAGCCAGAGGGACGGGGTATCAGGACCAGAGCTTCGTGAGCGGGGGCTGCCTTGAGTGGAGCAGTGACCTTGACGTGAGAAACAGACCTTGGTGTGATGGACCCAGGGGCACGACTACCTCTCCTCACTCTTCTTTCTCCCCACTCTCCTTCCAGGGCTCCCTGTTGGCCAGAGCCAACCAGAAGGAGGAGAGCAAGAAGCCACGGACACTGTCAGCGTCCATGCCACAACCTCACAGGCATGGCCAGGGGGAGCGGTGGGTGGCCCAGCCTGCGAGAGAAGCAGACCCTGCTCAGCCCACCCCTGAGATCACGCAGCCGGCACCGGCGCACTCTGGGGGGACTCTGGGCCCTGCTCTCACCTCGTGAGTCTGAACAAGTCACCTCTTCTCTCTACGCTTTAAACGCTGCATCTGTACGGCAGAGATAAAACTGCAGCTCCTCCACGGGGCTTCCGTGAGGGTTAATGAAGTAACACACGCACGGCAGCTGACATGCAGCAAGGGCTCAGCCACCGTGAGCTTCTCAGCCTCCCCGGGGCTGCAGACCCAGCACCTGGGGCCTCACCTTCCCAGAGACTGGCCCAGGTGGTAAAGCGGCAGCGCGAACTTCCTAGGAGTGAGGGACGAGGGTGAACAAAGGGCATGGGAGGGAACAAGGGCATATTTCCTACCCCTTAAATTCAAGCAGCTCTTCGAGGTCCCAAGAGCACTTTCAGCTGAATGCACATGGATGCCGTGAGGCCGCTGGAGACGGTGCGTTGTCTGAATGGTGCGGAGAGAGCTCCCGAGGCTCACAAAGGCTGGGCGATGTGCCCAAGGCCGTATGGCTTGTTACCCGCGGTGCAGCCATCAGTCCTGGATCTGATTCCAGATTCTGAGTATCTGCCGTGCACATGTGTGTGTACGCGGCCTGAAGCAGGCATATCTGCCTATGCTAATGCATGCACTTTACACACACAGAGCCTGGGTGCATGTGTCTCTGTGCTCAGTCTCCCCACAGGTACGGCAGCCCCCCTGAGGGCAGGCATTGTGCCTGATGCACCTTTGTCTCCAGCAGCACACAGTCAGGGCTCAGCCCACGTGTGGGCCAGTGCAGCGTTTTCTCCAGAGCCTGCTCCAGGAAGAGGAGGAAATCTTCTCTCTGACTACTGGGAACTTAACAGGAAGAGGAGGGACAAGTGTGCTCCTATCTGCCTACTTGTTCTCCCTCCATGCTGAGGTTTTTCTACCTCCACATGATTAAAAAACGGCAAATAAGTTAGCATATGAAAATATGTAGCAAGGGTGAAAATGGCCCTGCGGGAGGTCACAGCCATAGTGACAGTGTTCCAGGCTTCCAGGTGTACCTGCCACACCGGGCCGAGTGGAAAGAAGGCCTTCCCAGAAGGGCGCCATCTCAGTGTTGGCAAGGCCAAGGCTCCTACATGACTTTCTTTCCAGAATCGGTGTAACAGTCCCATAAAGGATGCTTCAGTTTTCCAGCAATCTCCTCTCCTGGGTGTGGGCACTGCTGGCAAGCAAATCAATTGGTCCCACAGCTCTGCCATCCAAGACACAGAGCTGAGCTGACATCCTCCAGAGAACCCCAGAGACTCACACCTGGGCACCTGGGCCCGTTCAACACGGAGCAACAGGCAGGCACTGAGCGTGCTGTCAGCTGAGCAGTGAAAAGGGACGAGCTGCTATGTCAAAAATGACACGCCGGCTTCTGCTGGTCTTGCAAAAGAGCTCTGCAGTGATGTGACTGCAGCTGACATCCCGCAACAGCAGCGGCTGGTTTCTGTGCTGGATTGAAATTCATCCAGCTCCCTGTGTTCACAGCGATGACTTCCAATGCTAATTCTCAGCGAGCAGGGCATGAAATATATTCACAGGCGCTGCTTGGTGAGGGCCCTTTGGAGTTATTTGAGGTACCTGTGATGAAAACATCTGTGCCACTTGCTTTTGTGCATTTTTGTTCCCTTGGTTTCAATTATGCAAAGAATCTTTGGGCAAGAGAAAGAGAGAGGGGGAGAGAGAGAGTTTGCTGATGTAGTCTTTTTCCTTTTTGATAAGAGTGAGTGCCTGGTCTGATGCCTGAACAGGGGAAGCATAAGAAGAGAGAGGCAGACTTTCATCTTCCGCAAAGACACAGGGACGTGCTCTGCCTCATGCAAATGAGCTGTTCTAAAAGCGTCCCTGTGTCCTGCTGAGCCGCCTGGGCTCCCTTAGCCCTTCTCTCCACAGGACAAATAAAGGGTGAGTTTACTGAGTTCATGTCTGTGAACATAAGTAATTGAGGGGGATGCTGGCAGCAGCGAGGGTGGGTGGATGACGCAGTGGAGGAAGCCCACCACCCAGGGCTGTGGGCACGTGTGTGCTGTGCGATTTCCACCTAATGCCTTTCTTTCTGGCACTGCAGCCTGGAAGAGCCTCTTGTCTTCACTGAAGGTCTACCCATTTGTTCTCTCCTGAAGAATGTGGCCCAAGCATGGGGTCTACAAGAGGTGACCAGAGATTCAAGACTCGAGAAGGGCCAGGGTCCCCTCGAGGCAGAGATGAGCTTGGAATCCAGGTCTTCTGATCTCACAGGGACTGTGGTTGGGTAAAGTCCCTGGGAGCTGCTTTTTCTAGGGCTGACCGAGATCCCATCCCAGGGTCGCCGGTGTGGGGCGCGATGGACACCTTGCCCGTCTGCAGTCTTTTCTCATCTACCCTGAGCTCTCAAATCTAGTCGCTAATGGTTTCACAGGAAGCATGTATTGATCCCTGGACTGCCTGAGCCATCTCAGCAGTGGTGAGAGACACAGGAAGAGTCTGCTTCCTATTATTCTGGAAGCAGGAGCCACAGGCAGGGGCAGCACAGTCATGGGCTCCTCTGAGTTCTCGGTGTCTGTGTGTGGTCCCTCGACGTGGAGCAGGGGCTCCCAGGAGGCCTGGTCACTGGGGGCGAGGACAGCACTGCCCGCACTGGGAGGGAGGAGAGGCTGAGCGCTTCACCCTGACACTCAGGCACAGTCTCCAAACCCATGCTGCCCCCACACCATGAGCGCCCCAATCAAGCACCATCTCCTGAACTGGGATTTGTGTGGGAATCTGCTCTCTTCTCTGCACATGCGTTCTCTTCTCTGCACGGCTGGGTGGCTCCCTGGTGCCCTCACATGCCTGCACCCAGATCAGCTCTCCCTCTCCACCCTCCTCAGTGACCACGAACTCCTTGTCTTCTGGTTTCTGACCCAGTTGAACCAGTGGGCGGCACTATGAGATCAAAGCTCAGAGGCTGTGTGGGTGGAGTTTGTGCCTCCTGCCCCCCTGCAGGTTTTCCACAAGCGGATGGGGTCCTTCACCTGTGGCCCCAGCCCCTCAGCCAAGTTCCTGATAAAGTTCCTTGTCGGTTTGCCACAGCTGCTGTAACAGATTCCCACGATCTAAGTGGGCGCAGAGCCACCTATGGCGCAAGTCACTGCTGGGATGGAAGGTCCTGGCAGCCAGGTGTCCGTGGCAGCAGGGCCGTGCTCCTTTGGAGCCCACGGGGGATTCTTTACCTTTTTCTGATCTGAGGCACCAGCCAGAGTCCTCGGCCCAGGCCCCTTCCTCTCCCTTGACGGCTCACCAGGAGCACCTTCAGCCTCTGTCTGGCCTCGGCCTTTGCCCTCTCACTCCTTCTCTGACTCCTGCAGGGACCTGAGTGATTGCCTTGGACCCCCTGGATAATCCAGAATAATCTCCTCAATCCCCAAATTCTTAATTTAATCACATGTGCGAGTCTCTTTGCCAGTGAGGTGATGTATGACAGGTCCCTGGGCAGGGCACCACTGGCATCGTCTGTGAGTCTCTTTGCCAGTGAGGTGATGTATGACAGGTCCCTGGGCAGGGCATGGGCACCACTGGCGTCCATGGTTCTGTCTGCCCAGGCTCCCTCCCTCCACGGCTGCCACTGGTGGGTGCCTCACTGCCCTGTGGCTTCCTGCTCTCTGCTGAGCCTTCAGAGAGACAGAGAGATGCCCATCGTTAAAGGCATCTCCAGCGATGTGTTTCTGCTGGCTCCTCTGCATGACCCATCTGGGCTCCCCACACTGGCCTCTCCTCTGAGCTCAGGTCGACAGCCCTGAGCTGCCTGCACCCCTTCTCCTTTTTCCCATCCAACAAGGCTGCTGTTGAAGAGTGGGAGGGTGGTAGGGAGATCCCTGCTGGAGGATGGACCCGGCAGGGAAGGAGAATGTCCCCTTGGCTCTCTGAGGCCCTCAGGCCGTGCAACTCTGACCTGCACACGTGCTTTCTGTGCTGCAAACCGTCACCCACTCAGGACAGTTTCCTTCAGCAGTTCCGGAGACTGTGGACAGCAGGCCCCCAGCTGGCCCACCTTGTATCCCCTGTGCCCTGCACTGAGCCGGTGCTGAGGTCGACGCCTACTGGTGAGGCTCACACCAGGCCTTCCCTGAGCCTCCTTTTTTGTGGCTCGCATTGCATTTTGATGAAATTATTTATTTAGCCATTGCTGCATTTTCTTCTATGGTATCTGTGTACCAAGTTCTCTCTCCTTAGACCAGGAGCCGTGTGCAGCAGGCCTGGGAGGTGCCCCAGTGGCTGCGGAGGAGACCAGGGGACAGCACAAAGGTGGCTGTGTTGACCCCCACCCCCCCCCACCGCCATGTTGTGAAAGCACCCTTCCTCCAGGGCGTTTACCCTCATGGGCCTCTTCCTTCCTCCTCTGCCCTCAGGGCCTGCCTGTTCTGCTGCTGCCGCCCTCTGATAACACAGAAATAGGGCACCCAGCTAAGAAACCAGCAGCTTACAGCTAGTAAGGACAAGCTTTGTACTAGAAAAGAAAAAAAAAGAAAGAGGGAAATTTTCATCATAAAGACCTAGACTGTAAATGGAGGAATTTCAGGCCCAAAGCAAATAAAATGTGGAAGTGACAGGCCAGTCCCCACCCTCAGGCTCTGTCTGACTCCACAGTCAGAATGCCCTGCATCCGCCTCCCTCCCTCCAGGCCTCAGTGGGCTCAGGTGGAACGTGAGGACGGAGTGCATAGTGTGGGTTCCGACAGTCCAGATCCCTCCCACCCCACCGCTTCTCACAAGGATGCAAAGACCCCAGCATGTCTGAGAGCCCCGTTTCCACTCGGCTCAAGAGGGGTCTGGCAGGGTCACGGGAAGAGCCCAGCCTTGCTGGAATCTGCTGGTCCTGGATGAACAATCACCCCAGCAGCTCACTTGCCTTCTCTGTCCTCCAGTTCCCTAATCTGTAACATGGTTATTAATACCCAACTCGCAAGGTTTTCTTAGGAAGGATGCTCAGGACAGTGCCCGGCATGTAGCCCTTACTCAACAATGTGGTTTGCTTTATTTTCACTAGTGTCTTGCTTCCGTCTTGTTCCTAGGACAGAGTTATCCACAAAGAAGAAGTGAGATCCCAGGGAGGGAAGGAGGAATGAGGGGAGGAGTGAACGGCAAGCTGTGTGGCCAAGACATCGCTCAGAAATGTCCTTGAGCGCAGGCCCTTCCGAAAGGCATAGAAGCCGGGATCAAACACAATTGCCAACACGATTTTTCAGAGCACATTTTTTGGCAATCAGTATGTGTGTGTATGAGATGGAGACAGGGTGGAGGACGAGTGGGCGTTGGTCTCGGCTTTTCAGAGAGGAGGTGGATCTGGGGAGCCCTTTTCTCTTCTAATTATTTCTGGATGGCTGCTGCATTTTCTCCCCTCCTATCTTAACGGACTCGTGCAAAGTGTCTACAATCGATAGCGGCTCAGGCTGAGAGCTCTTGGAAGGAGCCGGCAGAGCCACTTCAGCTGCCAGGCAGGATGGAGTCTGAGGTATTGGGCAGAGACCCAGGCTGGGGAAGTGGGCAGCCTGCCGCACCCCATGGCTGGTCCCATCCCATCCCATCCCATCCCGTGCTTGCCCGGACCTTGAAAACACAAAGGAATGAACCAGCAGCTCTTACAGGGCCTCTGTGGACCCTCCCGTGCCCTAGTCGGTGTCTCATTTAGTTTCTCAACAACCCTGAAGGGTGGATTTTATCCTCCTCCTCGTGAAGAGCATGGGTGAGGCGCTGTCCTGAGGACAGACCTGGGGTTTGCCATCTCCCGACTGCAGTGGGAGAGGTGGGAGCTCTGCCCGCAGGCATCCACAGGGGAAGGCCACAGGGGCCCTGGGCTCCCACGTGCTGAGTGCCGTTTGTGGCTTGTGAAGTCTAACATCACACCTGCTACCCTTCCAAAGACGAGGTAGACTGAATGCTGTGTTCACTAAATGACAAGATCTCACCCTTGTGGGTTGAGGCTGCAGCCCCCTAGTGCCTGCTGGTTACTCTGCTCCTTTTGGGGCAAAAGGGGTGGAGGTTATGTCAGTCAGTTTTATATCATTTTCTCCAAAACCAGTTTTGTGACCCTGACCACTGTGACTTGAAAGAGGGATTGGGGCCGGAGCCAACAAGAGCCTTCCACAGCAGCCTGAGGAACAGCCATAACCAACCTGGCCAGACTGTGCTTGGGAGGCTGCAGGGAACCAAGCTTGGCTGCATGAGCAGGCACCAGCTCCTACAGAGTGGCTGACCAGGCCTTTCAGTAGAAGCCTTGCCGAATGTGCCTGGTGTACTCTGAAATAGCCAAACTATAATACGGGTCCTCTTCCTTCATAGAGAAACACAATACTCATATCAGCCCAGTTAATCATGAGAAATTGGCAAGGAAATGAAGAAGGTATGCCGCCTCTGTTTTCCAAATTGCAAGGACAGATGTGCTGTTAGCATCCTGCAGGTTTGGTGAAGGATGAATACGACAAAGCCCCTGCCTTCAAGGCGCTCACAGCGGGGAAGCCCACCCAGAGCCCCTGACTCTGCTGCTAGCGCACAGGACAGGGCTCAGAGAGCAGAGAGGGAGGAGGACAGGCCACGCCACTCCCAGGGGCAGCCAGATGACTGCATGGAGAGATGGGATGGGCACCTGCGTGCACGCCTGGGAGCACCGTCACTAATCCCACTGCCCAGAAAACTGCCCCCAGTCACAGAGCGAGCAGCAGAGGCTGAGTGCAGCCGGATTCAGCAGGCTGCAGGATTTGCATCCTGTCTTCCCCCACCGCCCACCACCCTGGACCTTTCCTCTTCATTTAAGGAGGGTGCTTCCTCCAGGCAGGAGAAGGGATGGTGCACACAGGGATGGGCAGGGACTGCCTGCCAGGTGCACATCTTGTTTCCTTATGTTCCCAATAAACGGAGCACCAGAGTAGTAACTGAATGGAAGGGGAGTGTTCTAATCCTATATTTGCTTTAGTAAATCCCATCACTATAAGATATTTATGTAACTCTAAAAAGATGGCACCAACTGCATTTGACACGCCATTGATATTAAAATATATTTTTCAGCGTGTACCTTAGAATTGATGGAACAGCTTATTGGCAGTGTGCTTTTCAAGCAAACTCTGCTGTGCCTTAATTTAGTCATCTGCGACATGGGAGAGACAGTGTCGCCCTACAGGTTGAGAGACATGGTGTCTAGTGATGGTGACTTTGGTTTGTGAACACTGCAAATGTGCCTTTCGGCCCTCCTGCCACTTCGGCCCTCCTGCCACCATCCAGCAGATGGACTGGCCCTTGGAATCAGGGTGGTCCTTTGAGGTGCACCTTCGTGTGGCAAGCACTGGCTCTCATCTGGCCTGGCCCTGTGCGCTGCATCTGGGCCTGCCCTGGTTTCCACGGAAGGGAGATGGGAGGAAATCAACACACCTCTAAGTGCAGCTCAGGATCTGTGCGGTTCAAGCTGCTCCTGGGGCTGGTCTGTCCTAGCATTTGGGCATTGAATAACACAGACAAGAGGCTCTCGCTCCATTAATTATTAATTGTACTTTTTGCATTTCTTAGGACAGCAAAGAGCTGAGCTCTAAGGCGGAAGAAAGGGAGACTGGAAAGGATCAGCAGACAGAGCTGCCCCTGTGCTTGCCCCTGAGGGACTTCCCGGACTCCGCTCCGGTCATGTCCTCAGACTCGGGACATGCGACGGAGTCTCTCCACCTTGCATGTGGGTTTGCGCGTACGGGTGTGGGGAGGCAAAATTTCCAAGTGCACGGTGGGAGGGGGCTGTCCCTATTGGGAAAAAGCAGGAGGCTGGCTCTGGAAAGAGCCTTCTTTGTCTCTGAGCCCAGCCTTGCCCGAGCCACCTGTGCTGTGAACTCTGGAGAAGGTAAAGAGCCAGCCCCGCGTGGGACCTGCAGGCGACGTCCCTGTCAGCTGTGGGGTGGGAAAGTCACTCTCCCTGCTCCCTGCACATGTTCTGGGGATTTTGCCCATGTCAGCTGCTCTTTCTCAGCGGCCCTCTCTCCTGCCAGCCAGCGATTCCAAGCCCCCAATGCCCACACCCAACGAGGGCCCTGGAAGCACCGTGGGACATGCGGGCCCTCCGAGGACAGTGAAGGCTGGTGGGGGTCACCCTTCTCTGAGAGAACCAGAATCCTTTGCTTCCCACACATATTCCCCTATTATCTTCCTAATGTGTTCCTTATTCTGGAGAGGTAGAATTAAAAAATAAGAAGGGGAAAAAGAAAAGAGAAATGTTTTGCCTTAGTTGGACTTCGTTTAAATTGTCTCCTTCCAAGATGCAGAGGAGGGTTCACCATGATCATCATTATTATTAGAGTCTGCTCTAGAGGGGAAGGGGAGGATGGAGGGGAGCCAGCCAGGGCTGGAGCGTTCTCCTGACTGTGACCTTGGCACAGCCTGGCTGTGAAGACAAGGACCAGCCCACAAGTCTAGGCCTGAAGGAGGAAAAAAAGTTGCCTGGCAAGGACCGTACGTCTCAGAGTCTTCCCACATATTTTGCCAGATAGTAAAACTGAGTCCAAAAAGGAAAGTGTCTTGCTCCCAATCTCAAAGCCTGTTAATAACAGGGCAGGATTTTTATAAAGGCTGCAACAAAATCAGCCAAGAGAATGGACCCTAAACTCTGAAGTGGATTATTTATTATTCACAAAACCGTAGGCTTAAAGGCATGCATGCAGATAACCAATTAAAGAGCCTTCGCTGGTGTTTTATCATCCTGCGCTCCCCAGGTGCTGGGGGCCCAGCCAGGAGGGGCTCAGGTCTGCAGTGGCCCTCTCTGACCCAGCCCCTGTTTCGTTCAGCATTGAGGTCTCACACCACTGCCTCTGTCACAGACCTATGTACAGAACCCCAGCTGGCTTTGAGAGGGCTCCAGGTGTCTTTGCCGCGTCTACACCTGGTTGGTGTTATCTATGCAGAACACCAGGTAGGAAATCTGGGTTTCCATCTAAAGTGCTTAACGGTGATTATGTGATCACGGTGCGTCTGATTCATTATCTGATTTTCATCCCCACTCCAGCCGCATGAGATGAGCATTTCTTTTCCTTTTCTTTTTGCTTTTTTCTTTTTTTGAGATGTAGTCTCACTCTGTCACCCAGACTGGAGTGCAGTGGCGTGATCTCAGCTCACTGCAACCTCTGCCTCCTGGGTTCAAACAATTCTCCTGCCTCAGCTTCCTGAGTAGCTGGGATTACAGGCACGCGCCACCACGCCCAGATAATTTTTGCATTTTTAGTAGAGACAAAGTCTCACCATGTTGGCCAGGCTGGTCATGAACTCCTGACCTCAAGTGATCCGCCCTCCTCGGCCTCCCAAAGTGCTGGGATTACAGGTGTGAGCCACTGCGCCTGGCCTGAGACCCGCATTTCTATCTTTGCTTTACAGAGCGGGAAGGTAGAGCTTAGGGAGGCTCTGGGAGTCTCCCCTGTGGCTTGGACTCTGGCTGTGAGATTACACACTGGCCCAGGCCTCTCCCAGGAGCCACACTGCGCAGGTCACTGCTGGTTCAGTCATTCTCATGTCAATTCATTGTCATTTCCTCGTTCTCGGTGTGTGAACTCCCCTTTACATTGCAGAGTAGTGTTATCATGAACCATTTCGCTAACTGTGGACATGGTACTGTTTTTATTTTTAATACCATAAACAGCAGTGTCGCGAACATCCTGGTGAATACAGTTTTCTTCTTGTTTTAGATTATTTAATTAGGAAAAGTTCCCCAAAGTTCCTTGACAGCTATTGCTTCCTGTAAGTATCATTTTATTCCACGTTTACTTTTACCATCAGCGTAAGGCAATGTGTGTGTCGCTGCTCTCCCACTCACTAGTAACAACCTGGATTATTAATCTTTTAAAATTTGATTGCCAAAGGAAAACGAAGCCTCTCCTTTCACCCTCATCACTTGGATCCGTGGTGCACCGGGACAGCGCTCACAGCTCTGTGTGCCCTCTTTATTTCCTCCCCTGGGAGTTATTTGTTCCCAGCAGGAGGCGTCAGCAGCGAGCGGGGGCTGGATGGAGAGCTGCATTCCAGGCCTGGTGTCCCAGGTGACGAGGCCTCCAGCCAGAGCATCTGTCCTTCCTCACAGCCCAGATGTCCTTGAACCCAAGGTCAAGTCCCTGAATCTTCTGCCCATCCTCATTCCTCACCACTGGCCCCTGCAGGTGGTGCAGCGCCCACCTCCTTCCGTGCTCCTGTCCTGAAGCCTGCGTGCCTCCACACAGTCAAAGCTGGGACATCTCCAGTGAATCTATCACTGGCAACACAACCATTTCCTGACTCCTACGGCTTGGTCAAATCCCTCCTTCCACCCCAGGCCTCTGGACTGGAAGGCTGTGGTCATGCTGGTTCTTGCAGCCCTGATGGCTCCCCTCGGGCTCCTGGTGCCACGTTGTGCCTGTCCAAGCCACTCAGCTTCAGGACGAAGAGGTGTTTGCCCTGCTGGCTCCCTGCAAGGTAAGTAAGCGTGTGTCAGGTGACAGCTTCCACACGCAGGCAATGTGACCTCACCCATGGACGTGACAGTGCATCCACAGCACATGAGCGAACATTTCCTTTCAGCCACAGGAGGGCGATACCATAGTCTTTTGATCTCTCAAGAAAAAATACACACTGGAAAAATGCAAGGTATTATGGTTACTTATATAAAGCTTCTTACCTGTGCACATGGGCCTCAATAACCATAAGAATCATCAAACCTAAGGAAGAAACATTCTCAATTAATTCTGGGTTGGAAGTGAAGAGACAGGATTTGATATCAGAAAGGACGCCATAAAAACTGTCATGTGCATATCACTTAAAAACAGATGCTGCCACGGGGCTTGAGCCACCAGCCCAGGGAATGTAGCTCCCTTTTCCTGTCACCCACCTTGGAAGTCACAGAGAACGCGAGCAGCCATTAGGTGCACGCCTGGCAGTGCCGGCTCAGGGAGGCTGCAGGAGAGGAGCCCAGGCCGGAGCTCAGGGTTCCTGGTCCGGGCTGCCCTCTGAAAGTGTCCTCGATCATGTCGAGGTCCTGGGTATTACAGGGTATGCCCTCAGGTTCGTCATGTCAGGTTCAGGACCTCGCTTCCAAGAGCCAGTATCATATCCACAAAACTGGAACTAGGGTGGAAGCTATCCCTCTGTAACAGTTTCCCTCTTTGTAAAATGGGAATAATACCACTTAAAGCCTTCATTCTTACCCTTGAAAATGATAGAGTTCTGTGACTGTAGAATGCTATTGAGGACATCCTCCTCCTTCCTGCTTTTTACAGAGGATGCCCCATCCCCTGTCATCTTCCTCCAGTGCACAGTGTGGATGATTTCATGGGCTCGTCTTTGCCACATCTAGGCTCTGGTGGATAGTTCAGCCTGTGATCCTGTCACTGTTGGGTGTGACCTGCATAAGCAAATTGGTCACAGTGGTGTGGCCGTCCAGGCACCTCGCTATCCCAGGTCTCTTCCGAAACCCATCACCACCCTCGCTGGACTGATGTCTTTTCTCTACCCAAACCCACTCCTCCTCGTGCGTCGTCGAAGACTCTGTGCAATTCTCAAACCAGAATGTCCACACATCCTGGGTTCCTTTCCTGGGCATCGTGGGCTATTTAGTAGCAAGTCCTGTTACTCTGTCTCCTTCACATACCCTCCCGCAGCCTCAGCTGCTTAGGACACCCTTCTCTCTGGCCTGGAGCACCACTACAGCCTCCTAGGAGGACTATTCTGGTTTCACTCCCTCAAATCCATCACAGAGAGATCTTCCTGGGGGAGATGTTTTAATTTTTTTGTTTTCAAATTTGTTATATTTTTATTAATAAATGATAGCTACATATATTTATGGGGTACAATGTGTTTCAGTATATGTATATATACACATTGTGGGATGAACAAATCAAGCTGATTAGAGTACCTGTCACCTCAAATGTTTGCCATTTCTTTATGGAAGAACATATTTAAATCCTCTCTTAGGGTATGCTGGCCAAAGGGAACAAAGTTTCAGATGGGTAGCAGGAATCAGCTCTGGTGACCTATTGCATAACACGGCGACTATAATAAATAACAACATATATTCCTAGTGAAAATCTTGACCAAGTCACTTCCCCATTTAGAATATTCAGAGGCACTCCACAGCCCACATGGTAAGACCCAAACTCTAACTTGATGCACGAGCCCTTGATGCCAGGTGTCTGAGCACATTTGCTGCCTGTGTCTACTAAGCCTCTGTCCCTGCACCCAGCCACCATCACACACACACTCCCGGTGTGCAGTGCCCTGCCTCTGGAATCGGTGGGTATGGCCATCTGGGCTCGGGTGCCAATGTTCCCTCCGTTTCACCCACTCACCCAAGCTTCATGACTTTCAGGAAGTCATCCAGACTCCTCCTGGCTCTGGGTGGGGCGTACATCCCCGGTGCTCCTGTGCGCATCCTCAGTGCTCCTGTGCACACATCTTCAGTGCTCCTGTGGGCATCCCCGGTGCTCCTGTTCACATCCCTGGTGCTCCTGTGTGCATCCCCGGTGCTCCTGCATGCATCTCTAATGCTCCTGTTCACATCCCTGGTGCTCCTGTGGGCATCCCCGGTGCTCCTGTGTGCATCCCTGGTGCTGCTGTGTGCGTCCCCAATACTCCTATGTGCATCCCCAGTGCTCCTATGTGCATCCCCAATACTCCTGTGTGCATCCCCAATACTCCTGTGTGCATCCCCAATACTCCTGTGTGCATCCCCGGTGCTGCTGTGTGCATTCTTGGTGCTCCCGTGCTCATCCTTGGTGCTCCTCCTGTGTGCATCCTGGTGCTCCCGAGTGAGTCACACACATTTCCACGGCCACCCCTCTCAGCTGTATTTTTACTCTCTGCTTCCATGGTGACCAGTCTAGATGGAGGAGCCCTCCACTGTGGATCCTTGTGTGTGCAGGCTCAGGGAAGTCCAGGCTCCAGTCACCCCTGCTGAATGAAAACACAGCTCACTCTCACCTTCCTCAGACCAAAATCTGCATGAGTCCGAGTTCTCCAGAGAAATAGACCGAGAGAGAGAGAGAGAGAGAGATTGATTTCAGAGAATTTTTTCACTCCTTTGTGGGGCTGGGAAATCTGAAGTCTGCAGACCAGCAGGCTGGAAATTCAGGTAAGGTCGATATTGAGTCCAAAGGCAGCGGGAGGCAGACCCGCCTGTGGCTCACCGTGTTGCTCTTCCCTGTCTGTTGCGATGAGAGGAGGCTGTGGTCACCTCCATGGCCACCTTTTAATCCATCTTAGCCTTGAGGACAATCGTCTTAGCTCTACTTACTTTACTGGGAGCTCATCAGAGTTTTCAACATCAGGACCTTCAAATTGCAGTTCTTTTCCTTTCTCCCTGTGCCCTTCCTAGTCCTCCCTCTCACCGGTACCAGTCTCCAGCTCCCTGGAGGCTGCAACACCCCTCCACCCTGGCTTTGACTCTCATTTCACTCACCTGGACCCGACTGTCAAGAGGCTCTAGGTCTCTGCTGGGCCAGAGAGGATCACCTCTGACCTCAGCACAGCCCCCTCACCAATGCCAGTCCCGGGTTCTCCCACTTTGCACTCTCTCTGCCTTCCCTCCCCGAATGCTGAGTTTTACTGGGAAGTCATAAAAATGCAGAAAGCGACAAGACCAAGAAGAAGCTATGTTAAACCTAGCAGAATTTTGAGATACCCTGCCTCTTATTCCTTCTTGAGGCCAGACAAGGACCCGAACGTTTGAATAAAGCAGAAGAATGGATGAGAAGATTGTGGTAGGCTTTTTTCCTTAGCATCTTCCCGACAGCTCATACCCTGGTTCTTGTTCTCATTTTATTCTCTCTTTCTTTCAGTTTTCCAGCTCTGCCCCCGTCTTTGCCACTAAATCTGCAGTGTCTATTGCTGGCCGTGGTCTCCCCGCTCCAGACGCCTTTCTGCCTGCATTGAGGAGAGAGACACTGACCCTGATGGGAAGCTTCCACACATGTGCAGGGGGCCCGCCCGTGGTGAGGTCTCTGCAGCATGATGGGGCTGGAAGCTGGCGGCTTTGTTGTGGTTATCTATAAATCTTCTGTTTGGGAACAGCCAGGCCTTTTCCTGAGTGGTCAAGGTAAGGTTGTGCGGCCATGCCCTGACCACCACCGTTCTTGGAGCTGAGCTTCAGGAGAGAGCTGGGGTCTCTGTGAATATTACGTAGGCATTTATTTAATCTCATTTCCAACATCGCACCCCTCCGACCTCTACTGGGCATGTGTTCCTGAATGTAAGCTTTGTTAAGTGTGCTCCCAGCCGACAGACAAAAGGGGCTCCCTGTGGCCACCTGATGCACTCAGAGTTAAAACAAGCAGGCGGCCATGGCAGGATAAGGAAGCGGCCACCCACTCTCTGTCTTCGGGAAGATGTTGTGAAAGTGTCATAGGACCTCCCTTTCTACAATCAGGCCAGACCAGTTCCTGTCGTTGGTGCTGAGCCAGACCTTGGCTTAAAATTCCCCACTGACCACCCGCAGGCCACCTGAGGCTGATGCAGAGAGACCGGCAAGGTCTCGCTTAAAGGCCTTCCCGTCTAGATCCTGCAACGAACTCCCCCTAAACTCCTATTCTGAAGGATTTGCCTTCATCATCTCCCAATCCCTGATCCCTCCACCTGTGTCTTACACCAAAGGCTGCGTGTCCACAATCACAGATTTTTCTAAAAGCAAAATCTATTTGCTTTTAGAAAATAAGGTTCTCCCGTTGCCTCCACAGATATCACCGGTCTTTTGTTAACAGCTTCCATGTCATTCTGGATGCCTTACGTCCTCAGCAGTAGCCAGGGCAAGGAGCCATGTGGGGAGGAGAGGGGTGTGGGACAGGCATCTATACCTCTCATGCAGACCTTGTCCACACTCTTCCTTTTCAGCCCGCAGGCTCCCCACCTCCCACAGCTACTGGTGCTCCAGTTCGGGAGCCTCTCCGGGTTCTTCAGAGAGCAGGGCTTAATTCCTAACAGCCCCCGTTTTCCAGGTGCCTGGGCTTCAGCCTTCTCAGCTCCACACACCATCTTTGCCACACACACTACGTTGGCAACTTTACCTGATACTGTATTTTCTCATTTTGCCTATTATTTTTGGTTTTGTGTATTTACAACATTTTATTCCTTTAGTTTTCATTTTAGAGAGGATTAGGAGAGAGAAGGAATGAACACTGTGTGAGGTCCGCCATGTTTAACCAGAAGTCCCTGTTATCTGCTTAATGACACCTTTCCAGAAGAAGAATTGCTGGGTCAAAAGCCATGCGTGTTTCACACGGCGAGTCGCGTTAAACTGTCCACCGGAAAAGTGCACTGACTTTTTTTAGCAGCAAGTAAGCGGGAGGGTTGCTCTTATTTTATAAATGCTATTTTTCTTTTGTATGATAAAAGAGACTTATTTTTGAGGCAACACATGATGACACCAGCGTATTTTAATTGGTACACTTCATTATAGAGCATCAGAAAAATAAAATCAGTGTGACGAGGCAGCAGCCCCAGAAGGCGGCCACTCATTGCAGCCACTGCCGGCCTGTGCTTTGTGAGCTGGACGGTTCTCTTGCCTCGTTCCAGCCTCAGTCTGCCTAAAAGTGGATATTCCAGACAGGAAATGTGTCTAGCCTGATGGTGAAGACTGTCTGGAGGATGGTTGGTTTTGAGGGGGATGATGATTTTGCAGGAAGGTTTCACAAAATTTGTCCAAGGTGGATTTCTGCTGTTGCTAAATTTTCCTGGTGTGCTAGGCAGGACAATGGTGGGAAAGTAAACCTGGAGTAAGAGAAAACACTCAGACTTCCCAAAGTAGACGAGAGAAACTTTGCGTTTTGCAAGGGAGGCGAGTGGAAGACCCTGTTGCAATTGTCTTGTGTTTCCATTTTGCTCAGTGAAGCCGAGTTTGCCCCGGGCCAACTGTGCTTGTCAGATGTGTGTGCTGGGGTGGGGCACCGCCATTATTAATGGCATAAGGTGGTGGGGTACAGGCAGGAGCAACTTGGAAATGGAAGCTCTGTGTCTTCCTTCGGGCAGCTGATTGCACTGGCTTGTCGAGAAGGTGTGGGTGTCTGGAAAGCGCCTATGAGGACCAGTAGTCAGGGGGCCAGCAGGAGCCACGGTGAAGAGAGACTGTTGCTAGTCAGGGAGCCGGCAGGAGCCACGGTGAAGAGAGACTGTTGCTCGGGGTCTCCCAGGATAGACCGAGTTGGGAACTAACTAGGTGGTCCCCATTGCCATGGAGACAACCTTCCCAGACAGCGATGGGGAATGGTGAACAGTCCACGAGGGAGACGCCGATTCAGGCTTCAGATGCAATTTCCTGGGATCCCTCGCTTACATTTTCTGCTCTTTGCTGAGTTCCGCTTTTCTCTCTATGTCTCCTTTGTTTTCTATTGTGTATTCTCTCCTTCTGGGGAGGAAGTGTGGGAAGCAGTGAAGAGGTCCTGCTCTGGAGATGAGGAGCCGGGTTGAAGGAAGAGTTGAGCACAGCGGACCTGGCAGGTGGGGGTGTCCAGAGAGGCTGTGGCTGTGCAGAGCAGCCGCCTGGGGGAGGCGTGCAGAATTGAGTCTGAACACATGGCCTTTCTGGTGCATCCGGCTAGATTGGGAATGTGTTGGTCTATCTCCCTTAGCAGCCCTGGTCCAAGGAGTACAATCAGAGAGATATAAGCCAATCACTCCAAGTTGTCATCTTTCTCTTCACCGTGCCTGGAAGAGGAAGGTAACTGTTTTGGTTTGTTAGAAAAGAAATACCAACCCAGCAGCTGAGAGATTTCCCCAGTGGACAGGCCTGTGTTTGGGAAGGAAAGTTAAAGCCAGTGGATTTCTAGTTCGCTTGTTTTCTCTAACAAGATATCAGAAGGGCTGCAGAATCCAGTTAATCCATCCAGTGGTATTTTTGAGATGAGGTAGCAGGTGCTTCAGAGCCAGAAAGACAGACTGTGGGTGGCTCATCCAGAGGCTCACTGAGGATTCTGCACCACAGATCTGTGTCCAGCAAACAAAGGAGCTGGGGTCAGAGCCAGTGAAACACAGGACCATTCCCCATTCAGTCTGGCAGATATTTGCTGAGACCTATAACAGAAAAGGTCTTTTACAGAGGTGTATGAAGTGGGTCCCTTGGCAACTGCTGTAATGCCTCCATACTCCTGGGTCAGAGACTGAAAAGAACTCAAAGATCTCTGAGAGCAGCATCCTGGGCTGCTGTCATGGCAATTCATGTACAAACGTTTGCAGAGTGCCCACTCTGTGACAGACACATCTCTGCAGGAGGATCCCGGGCATGGACACAGGGTGGGAGGTTTCCAGGATAAGAGTGTGCAGCTGTCAGGTGGCTTCATGGAGAAGTCTACACCTGAGCTGAGTTGGGAAGAATGAGTCAGACTTGGCCACAGGGAACAGGGAGGTATCTGTGTCCTGGAATGATCTGCAGGAGGAGAAGGAACCCACGTGTTGACTCGGAGCTGTCCTGGAGGGCTACCCATGGAGGGACCTCAGAAAAGTCTGGTCCCATGGTGCTCAGACATGAATTATAAACCATGAAGCCCAATATAAAAAACTGAGAAGATTGGGCCACTTACAGAAAAGGGTTGGGGCTCCAGAGCCCTGCCCTCTGGTCTAATCCCAACCTCTCAAGGCCCTGAGGCAGCTCTGGGAAACCCGACTATCTACAGAGCGTGGTCACCCTTACAGAGCCCGATCCCTGATTCTCACGAGTGGAGAGCTCATCGGTGCCGTGCCTCGCTCAAGCTCAGCGTATTGGTCTGTTTTCATGCTGTTGATAAAGACCTACCTGAGGCCGGGTAATTTATAAAGAAAAAAAGAGGTTTAATAGACTGAAAGTTCCACATGGCTGGGGAGGCCTCACCATCATGGCATAAGGTAAAGCCACGTCTTACTTGGTGGCAGATGAGGGAAGGAGAGCCAAGTGAGAGGAGAAAGCCCTCAGAAAACCATCAGACCCCGTGAGACTTACCCACTTCCATGAGAACAGGACGGGGAAAACCGCTCCCATGATTCAGTTATCTCCCACCAGGCCCCTCCCACAACACATGGGAATTATGGAACTACAATTCAAGATGAGATGTGGGTGGGGACACAGCCAAACCATATCAATCAGGACATGACAGTGGCAGACCTGGGCCGGGGTTGGAGCTCTCTAGATGGGAGGCAGTAATGCCTTAGTTACCTTTGTGAGGGAGTGAGAGAGGAGGGTGTGAGGGGGGAGTGAGGAGAGGGAGTGAGAGGGGAGGGTGTGAGAGGGGAGGGAGTGAGACAGAAGGGAGTGAGAGGGGAGGGAGTGAGAAGGGAGTGAGTGAGAGGGGAGGGAGTGAGAGGGGAGGGAGTGAGAGGGGAGGGAGTGAGAAGGGAGGGAGTGAGAGGGGAGGGAGTGAGAGGGGAGGGTGTGAGAGGGGAGGGAGTGAGAGGGGAGGGAGTGTGAGGGGAGGAAGTGAGAAAGGAGGGTGTGAGATGTGAATGTGTGTGGGAGGTTAGGGTGTGGGAGGTGAAGGTGTGAGACATGAAGATGTGTGAGAGATTAATGGTGTGAGCTTTTGAGAACCACGGGTGTGAGTGACGAATGTGTGTGACAGGTGATAGTGTGAGAGTTGTGGGTTTGACCAGTGAGCCATTCCCATCTTTCTCTGCTCATGCCCCTCAGGTGCTATTTGGGGTGTGGTCTCACTCAGGCAGACCGCCTGGAGCCTGCAGTCCTGGATGCTGGCCTTCAAGAGCCACTCTTTGCTTTATGTGGCCAGGCTTTGCCTAGCTGATGGTTCCTGGGACTTGAGCTTAGCAAGGTGGCTGTGGACAGGGACCTGGGCCGTCTCCCTGGTCTGGGGTCATCCCCGTGCCAGAAGCCAGCTCATGGAGATTGGGGCCAAACAGGAACAGTGTGAGTAGGGAGGAGAGAGGGTGGTGTGAACTCAGGGAAGAGGATGTAGGAGAGGAGGCAGCAGATGGGAGGCAGAAGGCAAGAACAGAACCAGAGAATGTGCCGGACTAAGCTCCCATGGGTGAGGCACCCTGGAGGATCCCACCCAGACAGCAACAGCCCATGCATAGAGGGTGGGGGAGTGAGGAAAGCAGCCCATGCATAGAGGGTGGAGGAGTGAGGACAGCAGCCCATGCATGGAGGGTGGGGGAGTGAGGACAAGCCTACCAAGCAGTGGTCAGGGCTGCCTGCTGCACTCCACGGCTCCTCCCCATGCTGCAGCCCCCAGGTGTCACCCAGCACAGTGGCCTGATGAGACCCTCCCACCTTTCTAGCAGTACCTAGGCCAGGTGGGGCTGGAACATCGAATGGGCAGGACAGCCGGATCCCACACCCGAGCAGCCACAGCGGTGGCTTTGAAGTGGCTTGTGAGCCACATCAGGCACTCAGGCTTTCTCCACAGACGAGGGCCTTGGGGGTCTTCCTAGTTGATGTCTCCCCAGGGCACCTGATTGGGAGGAAGACAACTGGCCCCTCATGAGCGCTGTGTCCCCGGCCACAGAACTAGTCAAGAGGGCTCTGTCTGAGGCTGGTGCCCTGGAATGATGGACACAGAAAGCCCTGGAAACGCCCCTCTGTGTCCTGGTCATTACTGTCCCCACAGCCCCATCCCTGGCTCTGAAACTTCGAAGGCATTAGTTTTACATCAGGCAGGCTCTGGGGGAGTTCTGTTCTCCAAATGCACCTGCTGAGATGGATCGGGAGGGTTTCGGGTAAGCCCTTTGCTCTGGGCAGAGCATTGAGGAGCTCTGGGGAAGGTCCCTGCCCAGGCGGAGCCGTTAGACGCCTGCTCCCTGCAAACCGTCACGCGCAGGGCGTAAGCGCAGCTGGCAAGCACATCCCTACTTCAGAAAGGGTTCAGAAAACAAGCATTGTCTGAGGATTAGGAGCACCTGACTACCCACACGGTTCAGCGCCACAACATCCAGGCTGTCAAGAGGAACTGTGGGAATAAATAATATTAAATGACAATTTGGCTGACAACAGAATGGGGTCATAAGAGCCATCAGCACTAGTTAATGGGAGGCTGTGAGGGTTCATTAGACCTGATACAGGAGGTTTGACTTGAAGTAATGGGGCAGATTGGAGGAGGAAAAAGTTGGTAGAATGATTAGGAAGAACAGGCGACGAGCTCTCTCACTCCGCGGGAAGTTGTCCCTGGAGGTGCGGTGGAGTTTCCCGAGATGCGGAAGATTAGACCAGGCAAAGACATAACATCCTCCGGGGATCAATTCTGCCTTGGCAAAGAAATGATCTCGATGATCGAATGCCTCTCCCGTCTCTGATTTAATGACGAGGTGCCCAGCAACAGAGAGGCAGAAGATATGGCCTCGAAAGGGAATGGGGAAATTATACTGTGAGGAGACTCAGGGTTGTCCCTCAATTTTTTCCTGTGCCGTGTTGACCAGGACACCTTGTTCTGTTAACCACTGAGTTCCCATTCACTATTTTCAAGGATTTCAAAAAGCCGTCCCCCTGGAAGACCATTTGATTCAACAACAAACGTACTGTTTTTTGACAAAGTGCATTGTATCCTTGCTACTCTAAGAGGTGAAGCATCTCAATTTGAACATGAATATTATCAGGAGGAACCAAACTACAAACTCGACACCACGCTGAGACATATAGTGTGGAGTGTGCAAGGGGTCTAAGAAACAGGCCCCAGTTGTGTGCCCGGTTCACTAAGGACAGACCTGTGATGTGTCTGGGTCTCCCTCACACTGAGAAACCGAGAGAAAGTAGGATATCAAATCACCAATGGGAAGAATGAGAGAAATTGTCCAAAACCAGCACAGGCAGCCTAAAGTTCATCAGCCCCGTGAGTGTGGTGGGGCTGGGAAGAGGCTTGCGTTCGTGGCCAGGGATGTCAAGAGAGGCCCTACATAGGGAGGAAGCAGGTGAGAGGAGCTGCCAGGAGGTTTCCTGTCACCTGTCAGTCATCCACGGCTGGTAACAAATGACCACAATGCAGTGGCATAAACAGTATTTATGATCTTGTAGTTCCTGTGGGGCAGGAGTCAGAGCTCAGGTTAGCAGGGGCTTTGGTTCTGGTCTCACAAGGCTGCAATTAAGACGCTGACCAGGGTGCATTCCCCTCTAGAAGCTCGACTGTGAAAGAATCCACCTCCATGCTCACATAGGTGGTTGCAGAATCCATCTCCTAGTGTTTGCAGGATCACTGGCCCCAGGTCCTTGCTGTCCATCATTTGGAGGACACCCTCAGTTCCTCGAGGTCATTCTCAGCTCCTAGAGGTCATCCGCAGTTCCTTGCTGGCAGGTCTTTCTTGCTTCATCAAGCCAGCAAGGAGAACCTCCAGTGTGAGTCTCCTGGAGAGGCGGCATCCAGGGTAGTGCAGTGTGATCACAGGCATGGTGTCCCTAACCCCTGCAACTGGCACATTCTGCTGAGTAGAAACCAGCCGCAGGTCCCATCCACCCTCACAGGGGAGGAGAGGCTGCCAGGGTGACAGTGCCAGGAGGGGACTGCCAGGACCCCCTTAAAGCCTGGGCTCCAATCCTGACAAACGTCCATCCTCAGGACATGCAATTCTAACTCTCATAGTTAGGTTTTCAGTTGCAATAATATATTTTAAAATATCAAGCTTCTTTTGAGTTTTACTCCTAAAAAATCTGAATAACCTCTTTTAATCTAAACAATTTTTCCTGCTAATTGTTAGTTTTATTCTACTAAAATTTGTCCAGTAGCATGTTTTCATGCACCATGTAAAGACAATTTTTTGAAGAGGACTCTCTCTCCCATAAGCTCCTGATCAGCTGGGGGTGACAGGACATCAAGGAGCTGTTTGTTCCCCCAGGATCCTGCCTCTGTCTCCAAGGCTGGGAGGTAGGTGGGGCCTCTCGAAGGCCTGCTGAGGAGGGAGGCGGGCCTGTGGGCTTGAGTGGTTGGCAGAGTGCGGGGGGTGGGGGGCCTGAGACGGATACATCAAACTGTGGGTCATTTATCTGTACTAATTATGTCATCAGAAATGCAGGTGAAAAAGGATGCATGAAGATAGTTTATTTTTATTTTTTAGTTTAAGTTCCAGGATACATGTGCAGAGCGTGCAGGTTTGTTACATAGGTTAACGTGTGCATTGTGGTTTGCTACACCCACTGACCTGTCCTCGAAGTTCCCTCACCTCGCCCTCCATCCCCCAGCAGGCCCTGGTGTGTGTTTATAAGGATGATTTCCTTCTCCCTAGCAAGACTTCCATGTGACAGGTGGAGGCCTCTTCCCACGGCCAGGCCCCTGCTTGCAGCTCTTCTCACTCCTGGCTCCTGCCTTCTCCAGGGCCCACGCTGGCTCCTGCATCCTCCACCTCAGTCACCCTGGGCCCCTTCCTGCAGGCACATCATGTGCTTATGTCTCTCCCACTTAAACAGCACATTAAAAAGTAAGAACAGGGCCACATGCGGTGGCTCAAGCCTGTAATCCCAGCACTTTGGGAGGCTGAGGCGGGCGGATACCCTGAGCTCAGGAGTTCAAGACCAGCCTGGGCAACATGACGAAACCCGTCTCTTCCAAAAAAAATACAAAAAAAAAAAAAGAAAAAGTAAAGTAAGAACATTTCTTGGTTCCCTTGCCCGCTCCAAGTGCTGCTTATTTCTTCTCTTCACATCCTTCCTTCCTGAAAGAATCATCTATCTTCTTCCTCTTCATCTGCTATCTCCCCTCAGATGGAGTCCCTGCCGTCCTCTCTGCCTTCCTCTTCTGTTCTTCCTTCATCCCACGTTTCCCTGAGCTCAGCGATGTCCTCTTTGATGGTAAAGGAAGCAGATACAACCCAGCCTTGGTTTTGCTTGGTCCGTCTCTGCACTGGACATAGGAGAGCTTGACCTGCCCTTTTCCTAGACCTCCCAGCTGCTCCTCTGCATCCCGTCCCTCCTGGCTGCTGCGGCTGTTTCCTTTGCAGGCTTTGGCTCCTCACGTGACCACTTCCTGTGCTCTCTCTGCATACATCTGCCACAGTTTTTATAAGTGTTCTTGTGTGATTAGACAATTCTGTTATAATATATAATTTTGCTAATGTAAAACATCAAATCTTCGTGTCTCGATGATCTCATCAGAATGAGCCTGCCTGGGTTCTCTGTGCTTTCCAGCCTCTGCTCCTCGCCCCTTTCCCTCTTCTCCGAATCCCCTTTCTAGACAACCTTCCCTAATCCCCCCAGTAGAGAATGATCCTTTCTTCTCTGAATTTTCTTCACCTTTCTATCAGACTTTCTTATGTCTTTTGTCACTTTTAACCTTGTTTTACATATTTTCATCTGTATAAGCTTCTCAGAGGCAGTGGGAGATGTATTCATCTTTGTGGCCCTATGTAAAATCTAACAAGTCATTTAAAGGGAAAGAATGTCTGCCCCACACTCTACCCCTAGAGACAGCACCTGCCCACACCTTACCCTCTATTTCCTTATGTGCAAAATGGAAATAGAACACCCATTTTTAGGTCTAATGTAATGAGGAGATAGCACACACATAGAATTACTAACATAATGTCTGGTACATTTAAGAATTCAATAGACACAGCAACTGCTATTATTATCATTAGGAACAGGAGGTAAGAATATTTGTTAAATGAATAAATGAATAATTGTATCAAGAAATTCCTTAAGATAGGAAGGAAACAAAGCGAAGTAGGTGAACAAACAAATCAAAAAGCAGCCAGCCACCCGGCCAATCCATTTAACTTCCTTCTGTTCTATGACATAAGCCACACAATAGCAACTCTTAAACATGTCTGTGTATTGGAAGTAACAGTGTCTTATATTAACTCATTAGGGATCCCTGCTGCTGTGGTTTGAACAGTCCCTCCAAAACTCAAGTTAAAATTTAATTGCCCTTGTGATGTATTAGAGGTGGGACTATCAAGAGGTGATTAGGCCTCATGAGGGGATCAATGTCTACATGGCAGGAGTGTGATCCTGAAAAAAGTGAGGTCAGCCCCCTCTTACCCACCCTTATTCTCTGAGTGCTCTTTTGCCCTTCTGCCTTCCACCCTGGGATGACGCAACAGCAAGACCCTCACTAGATGCTGGCACCGTGTCCTTGAACTTTCCAGCCTCCAGAACTGTAAGCAATCAATTATTTTTCTTTATAAATTACCCAGTCTGTAATATTATGTTACAGCAGCACAAAACGGACCAAGACAACTTCAAAAGCCTAAAGATCTCTATCATTTCCTCTGCCCTAAAAAAGACGGGGGGAGGGTGTCAAGTCTTTTGGTGGCAGATGTTAGAGATTTTCGAGCTTTAAAATAAAAAGAATTAGAAATTATCCAAAATTTAAGTTGAGGTTTATTTTTATCCCTATGGATTTAGATTCAAATCTGGACTTGCAAATTAAACTAGTGTTGAATGAAATGATTCACACTCTGCATTTTCTTAGGCCATTCACCTTATGTGCTCTTGATAACATTGTAGGCTTAAAAATACTCATATAACCATGTTCACAGAACTCGATTGCTTCTCTCCATGGGATTCATCAATATGTCTATAGATACGGCTGTTCATAATCAATGCAAAACTGCAATCCACCTCTATTCTTGTCGTACATTCATCTGTGAAAGGTTTGAGCCTGATTTTTCATTCTATATTCCTCTTCCAATTTTAATAGTCTGGGTCTGGGAGAAAAAACATGAGAATGGAAATTGCCTCTAGAGAAAGTTGCAATCCTTGATTTCAGTGAGGACTTCCTCATCTTTGATTCTTTGAGGTGGCTGATGAGGACGTGAAAAATTCGGCGATATGATCTGTATTTTACATCTCCACATTTATTACAGAGGTAGCAGCATGTCGACATGCGTGTCTTCGTGTAGATCTCCAGGAATGAATTTCCTGACATTTAGCTCTTAAAGAAAATGTATATATGTTGCTTGTCAAAAGCAGGTTATTTATAGGTCCTGAGATTCATAGGTTCTAGCAGCTAATCTTCAGGAATATTACTTGATGGGGCATCATAGACAAGATTTACTTGATATTTGTCCTTTTTCTAAATCTGCACATTTATTTAAAATAGTATTCTGGGCTCTCAATTGAGGAATGGTCTCTAGACCTAGCCGTTCTGTACCTGGGCTATTGCCAAACATTGATTGTTGAAAAGATAATAGCATCCACAGAGGCAACCCAGGGAGAGGGAGGAAGAGGACCTCTTGTAAGTTAAAAATGAACAAGAAGGCAGCTAGCTTGCTGCCAAGAAGCATATGGAGTAAACATAGATAAAGCAGATGGAGAATAGAAGACAGTTCAAAAATGTTTGCACGGTACGTATACAAATAAATGAGCCAGGCCTGGTCTCTGACAATTCTCGCCCCTCTTGCTAGAGGGTCTGCAGGGCTGGTGGCATGGATCCTATGTGACAAAGAAGAAAACAGATGATGAAGTCGGGGGGCTTAGAAGGCAACAAACTCTTGAGCCAAAGAAATGTTTGAGTCTGAAGTGGTCCCCAGTCTCCCAGGGAACCAGCAGGTGGGATTTTCTTTCAAGCAGCCTGCACAGTGGTAAGTGGGAAGTCAGCATGGAAAACCAAGGGACCATAAATCAGAGCTGTCTAGCTGTGAGGCTGAGGCCAAAGCCACGACTCTGTGGTCGGGAGCCCCGGCTCTGGGCCGTTAGTGCAGCTAAGTGCCTCTGCCCCTTTTTGGCTCAGTTCTCCTCCGTTATCCAAGAAAGGGGCTGGGCTGGTTGTAACTGAGGTCCTTGCAAGCTGTCAGGTTGTGTGGTTATCCTTGTGTCATGTTTCTGACCCTCTACTAGGCATCAGGATGATGCTGGGTTCCTGGAACACTAAGATGAATGGAACGTGGAGAGGCAACTACCCTTGGGCACTGAGGAGGGGAATATTCCTGGGTCTAAGGGTCACCATGATGGGCACCTGACCGCACACTCGGGAGGGAACAGAGGGCTTCCTTCAGGGGAACTGTGGAACCTTAGAGGAGGACGTGGCCGGGTGAAGAGAAGATTGAAGCACCCAGGAAAGCTGACTCTAGCAAGCTCAGAAAGGGCCTCAAGCAGGGGGTTGGTTTCACATTCTCAAACTTCCATTACTCCACCCCGTCACCACCACACACACACCCAGGAAGGAACCCCTGACTTCCCCAGATGTTCTCAATCTCACCAAGCACCATGGGGGCTTGTTGTCAGGGGACTTGGGAGCAAACAGCACCTCCTGGAGGCCGCCCGTGCCTCCTCCCAGCCCTGACCTTTGGAGCCTCCCGCCACTCTCTGCCCGTTATCCCCAGAACACCCTGCCGGACCTCCCTCCTTGTCCGTCCCGTTCTATCTACATGGCTTTGACATCTACCAGTCCAACTTTGAAATTCGCAGTCCTACTTCCTCTGCTTCTCCCTGAATGTTCCCTTCACCTTCCCCCCGCTAGCAGAAATCTGGTTCTCCCCCCAGACCTTGCTGTATCTGCAGCTTTCCCTGTGGGCGGTGGGTTTTCCTGTGTGTCTCTTTGCCTGAAGTCCTCGGCGCCTCCTCACCACCAGGCCTGGGCTTGGGAGCGGAACAGATGACTCTGTTTCTCATTGCCGCGTCCAGCACGTGTTTCAGGCCTTCTTCCTAAATTCCCTAGTGTGGCCTCTTCTGTCCCCAGGTGTGACACTGGGTCCCCAGCTGTGGCTGCTCCTTGTTTCTGGAGGTTCCTGAAATCTTTGAACATACCTCCTCCAATGGCTGTGTCCTCCATCCTGTGTTGGCTACTGACTATTTTCATTCCTCTGTAGACTTAGTGTGGTGAGTCCCAGCTCTCAGATTGCCGCCTCCTGTCCTTCTAGCTGAATCAATCCCTCCCTCCCTCCCTCCGGCATTTGACTCCAGGATCACTTGTCTTTACCACAGCTCCAAACTGAGCTACAGCCTACACTTCCCTCTGTCTTCTCTGCTCTGATCTGATCCCTTCCCTTGTCAGGGGTTCTCATCCCTCTCACACCTGCTCAGTTTCCTCGTGGTTCTGTCGCTTCCTACAACTGTCTTGGCAGAGCCATAACCCTGGGCAAACCCAATTTTCTATCAACGCTTTGCCTGCATCTGTTCAGCTGATTGTGTCAGAAGAAAAACACACTCACTGACTCCCTTTGAATTCATGGCCATGAGCCTGAGGGGACCTTTATGACACCTGCAGCTTCCTCCATCTAGTGCACCCCCCTCTCGCGTCTCCTACCTCTGCACACCATTGTCTCCTCCACGATGCTCATCTCCGCTGATGACCTTGCTTCCTGCGTCACTGAGAAGATTAAAATAGGGAACCTGCCAGGCCTTTCCACCGCCCTTCCCCCGCCAGCCTCTGCACCCTGCCCTCTGCCTTCCTGCCTGCGGCTGACTTCGACTAGAGATGAACCGTCCGTGGGTCCATCCAGAACCAGTGACTCCCACTCTCACTGGACACATCCTCTCGCAATCTGGGGAAACTGTCACTGAAGTACGTGTCTCTTCCTTCCTAGTTATTAACTGTGCCCACTCTAAGTCATTTCCATCAGCAAGTGAACGTGCCGACATTTCCATTGTGCATGCCACATATGTGGGCGTGCATGGGCATTTGTTTGTATGCTGGGAAATAAGTAACCAAGGCTGAGGCTTTCTCAAGTGGAGTATGAGGTTGCAGGGCTATTCCACTCACACATGCTGAAGGTCAAACTCCAGGATGCTCCAAGGGATGTGGATAAACAACTCAAGTCTGTATCTGCTACCTGCTCTTCAGTGCCTCTCAGCTAGCAGTACCCTAATGAGTTCACCAATCAGAACAGGTTTGCAATTTAGGATTGCTGTCCAGACAGTGAGCTGCCTCCAAAAACAACTTTTTGTGAAAATCCCCTACAAAAACCCTCTGCTGCCCTTGCCTTCCAGGACACTGCAGGGCAGCCCCATTCAGTGTATTCAAATGGCAATTCTTTGTTTTCCAAACAAATGTATTTCTTTCACCTTGATGTAAATCTTTTTTATTTTTTCTTTTTTTCCAAGTTAACATAGCTGATGTCAGAAGTAGGGCCTGAAGTGACCTTCCCTTTCCAGGACCTGTGTTCTCTGAAGTCGGGTGAGGTCGCCTCCACTCACCTTCCCAGACTGCTGGCACCCAGGCTCGAAGGCCTCCTGGGCCCCGACCTCTGTCCCTCTGGTTGAGGTTCATATCTTTACTTGGGAATTTAAAGCAAGTTGTTCCATTTGTGCCAACAAAGGCTTCTAATTGTGAGGAAGTTTTCCTAATTTACTAGAAGTTTTCCTTTTGGTGAGTATTATTATGATTATAATAATTATGAGTATAGGATTCCTTTTTATTTTGTAATATGGAGTTTCACTATTTTTGCCCAGGCTGGAGTGCGTGATCTCGGCTCACTGCAATTTCTGCCTCCTGGGTTCAAGTGATTCTCTTGCTTCAGCCTCCTAAGTAGCTGGAGTTACAGGCATCCGCCACCACGCCTGGCTGATTTTGTATTTTTAGTAGAGACGAGATTTCACCATGTTGGCCAGGCCTGTCTCTTGACCTCAGGTGATCCACCGGCCTTGGCATCCCAAAGTGCTGGGATTACAAGTGTGAGCCACCACGACTGGCCCTGAGTATGGGATTCTGTAATACTAAACCATGTAATGTTTGTCCTCCTTCTGGGACTCAAGCTGGTTATATGTTAAAAAATTATGGGATCTTCACCTGTATTTATCTGGAACTGTGGATGCTTTTACAATGGCCAAATTGAGGTTCCTTTGTCATATCAAAGCTAGACTTTCTCCAAACTGAATTATTAATAGAAGACCTTGATTCAAAAACAAAACAACCTGAATGCGGTGTGGGTTTTAATTGGCATTTAGAGGCATCCAAACATATTCAGGGCTCTAAAATTGTCTCTTCAAAATATACCCTCTGAATTCACAGAGGCTATTAAATAAGGGCTCTAAAATTATCTCTTCAAAATACACCCTCTGTATTCACAGAGGCTATTAATTAATCGAAGGGGAAAGAAAAAGTCTTTGAGTTTCAGGTTTCTTCCCTGACCCTCCTTCCCCCACTCCTGCTGCTCCCTACCTCGATATCCCACACGTGCTCAACTTCCCTTCTAATCTGTGGACCCCAAAGCTTCTCTTGATTTCCCTGTTTCTGCTAAACCTGTTCAAATTCTCCCTTTCCAGCTTCATCCAAATAAGAAGGGCCCTGTCTCAAACATTTACTATACATCCTGAACCAAAGCCGAACTTACGGCTATAGCCCAACTTCCCCAAGGTTCTTGAACACCCTCATAAATTTCCTGAAGAATTTCAAATTGTTGCCCAAATTGATGAACCTTTTTCCTCTGATCTTTATCAATTAATACGCAGGCTCATTGGAGAAAGCCTGGTAAAACGCTGGATGGCAAAAGCAGGCAGGGGCAATCTTCTATCAGACCTCTGATGCTATAGGCTTCCCAGGAGAAAAAAACCCAAGAAGGAGCTCAAACTTTATACCGAGCCGTTCCCCAAATGAGTAGCTTGGGACAAGATTCACACCTGCTCCCAAAAGGAAGGTGAGGTAGTGATTATTACAACAGACTTGAAATCACTTTCAAGAAAAAGTCTGGACTCCTTTCAGGATTCTGAATCTACCAAAGTGGCTTTTAAACCTCTCTTCAGAAATGGCTGAGATGACGATCTTACAATTCTAGTTAAATAGGCTCAACTTAATTGGTAAACAATTGCATTAGTCAGGGTTCTTTTAGAGGGACAGAACTAATAGGAGATATATATGTGTGTGTATACATATATGTGTGTGTGTGTGTATATAATAAACACACAAATCACAAGGTCCCACAATAGTCTGTCTGCAAGCTGAAGAGCAAGGAGAGCCAGTCGGAGTCCCAGCACTGAAGAACTTAGAGTCCAATGTTCAAGGGCAGAAAGCATCCAGCACAGGAGAAAGATGGAGGCTGGCAGGCTAGGCCCATCTTACCCTTTTCACGTTTTTCTGCCTGCTTTATATTTGCTGGAAGCTGATTAGATTGTGCCCACCAGGTTAAGGGTGGATCTGCCGTCCCCAGCCCATTGACTCAAATGTTAATCTCTTTTGGCAACACCCACACAGACACACCCAGTATTAACACTTTGTATCCCTCAATCCAATCAAGTTGACACTCAGTATTAACCACCACGAGTCCACCCCTTGTCAACTCGAACCCATACACATCTCCTGAGATCATACATTATCTTCAAATAAAGACAATAATGAGGTTATAATTACACCTAACATAATACAACTATCCTTCACACAACTGGAAACACACCAATCCCCAATCCAAATACGATTACATGAAGTTAGAAATACTTAAATGTTGGTATGAAGTCAATAAATCTTATGTTACATAATAAAGGAAAATGAAACAAAATGAAGATATTTTCTTAGTACAAGTGTATACATGCACAAAGATGTTTTTAGAAAAAGAAGGAGGAAATACTCATGACAATTACAGTCTTCATTTCTACAGCTGGTCCCGTGGTCGTAGCTGGTCCCAAGGTCGTAGCTTGTATTGATGTCTACATTCTTCTACTACCCATTCTGTATTCCCTTTGCCTTCAGCAAGCACCTCAGCAGGTTGTGCTTTTTTTTCCTGGTGGAGTGACCAAAGACTTCATTGCTGAAGGGTCTGGACCATTTGTAGTTCTGCCTGGATTGGGTTGTCATAGTTTCCCATTGACCTTAATCACAGGGCATGGTAATACTAAGAGATGCCCTAATGAAGCTCCTGTATTCCATGTATACCCTTTCTTACCTCTGTGTAGAGTAGTAGACTGTTTTCATCTTGATAGTCTGGGTCAATCATCCCAGCCAACACTGTAACTCCCTTCTTAGCCTGTTGACTTAAAGGTAGGAGGAGCCCAAAGTGTCCAGGTGGCAATCTTAACTTCCAGTTTAATGGAATTGTCCTTGTGTTTCCTGATGGCAGCGTTCCTCCTTCTGGAACTAAGACCTCTAGGACAGGAGAACGTAATGTCGCAGGAACAGAAAGCAAAAATTTTGCTGGTGGATCACTAGGGGTGATGGTGAGTGGTGCCACCTCCATTTCCATCCCTTGATTCTTGGACCTGTGAATCCTGGCTATGGGAGAAACAGTACCATGTATTGGATGCTGATTCAGAGCATACACAGCCTTCTGGAGAACTTTGCCCCAGCCCTGCAAAGTATTGTCACCTAGTTGTGCTGTAATTGTGACTTCAAAAGGCCATTCCACCGTTCTGTCAATCCAGCTTCTTCAGGATGATGGGGAACATGGTAAGACCAGTGAATTCCATGAGCATGAGCCCACTGCTGCACTTTTTCAGCCATAAAGTGAGTGCCTTGGTCAGAGGTAATGCTGTGTGGAACACCATAACAGTGGATAAGGTATTCCGTGAGTCCACGGATGGTAGTCTTGGCAGAAGCATTGCATGCAGGATAGGCAAAGTAAGTATCTATTCCAGTGAGGACAAACCTCTGCCCTTTCTATGATGGAAGAGGTCCAATATAATCAACCTGCCACCAGGGAGCTGGCTGATCACCCCGAGGAATGGTGCCATATTTAGGGCTCAGTGCTGGTCTCTGCTGCTGGCAAATTGGGCACTTGGCAGTGGCTGTAGCCAGGTTAGCCTCAGTGAGTGGAAGTCCATGTTACTGAGTCCATGTGTAACCTCCATCACTGCCACCAGGGCCACTTTGTTCATGGGCCTATTGGGTGATGACAGGGGTGTCTGGGGAAAGAGGCTGAGTGGTGTCTAGAGAATGGGTCATCCTATCCACTTGATTATGAAACTCCTCCTCTGCTGAGCTTATCCATTGGTGCACACTCCCATGCATACAAATATCTTCAGTTTTTGACCACTCAGAGAGGTCCATCTACATACCTCTTCCCAAATTTCTTTGTCACCAATTTTCCACTCATGCTTCTTCCAAGTCCCTGACCATCCAGCCATACCATTGGCTACAGCCCATGAATCAGTATATAATCACACATCTGACCACTTCTCCCGCCGTGCAAAGAGCACAACCAGGTGCACTGCTCCAAGTTCTGCCCACTGGGAAGATTTCCCTTCACCACTGTCCTTCAGGGATGTCCTAGAAAGGGGCTGTAGTGCTGCAGCCCTCCACATTCAGGTGGTGCCTGCATATCGTGCAGAACCATCTGTGAACCAAGCCTAGTCTTCTCTTCCTCTGTCAACTGATCATAGGAAACTCCCCATGAGGCCATTGGCGCAGGCTGGGGGGAGAGAAAGCAGAGGTGGCAGGAGTGGAGACCATGGGCATTTGACCCACTTGTTCATGTAACTTGTGCCTTCAGGACCTACTTGAGCCCGATCACATATATGCCACTTCCATTTGATGATGGAATGCTGCTGTGCATGACCCACTTTATGGCTAGATGGGTCAGAAAACACCCAGTTTATGATAGACAGTTCAGGTCACATGGTGACTTGATGATCCGTAGTCTAACGTTCAGTTTCCACCAAAGCCCAGTAACAGGCCAAGTGCTGTCTCTCAAAAGAAGAATAGTTATCTGCAGAAGATAGTACAGGGCCTTGCTCCAAAATCCTAGAGACCTCCACTGGTCCTAGAGACCTCCATAGGCTCACCTATGGAAGCCTGCCAAGGCTCCAAACAGCATCCCTATCTGCCACTGACACCTCTAACACCATTGGATCTGCTGGGTCATATGGCCCAAGTGGCAGAGCAGCTTGCACAGCAGCTATATATATATATATATAGTGTGATAAAAGACCCCTTAATAAACTGCCCTCTGTATCCCTTAGGGACTGCAGGTGCTCTGAGGAAACAGGTCTTGCCTCTTAATCATTTGGGCAAAACTACCCCCCTGATTGGAAAGGAAGTTCTCACTGTCGTCATAGACTGGGAAGCAGGCCTTTCTGGGACTGACATCACTGGCCTCAAGTAGCCTTTTCCTTGGAGCACTGAACAAATTCAAATGTTGGAAGTTTCTAATGCACCTTTAACAATTTGCAAATCCTTACCCCTGCTTCTTCAACTAGGTCATCTCTGGGACAGTCATTCATTTTTTGAGTTATCTCGGCCCCAGTTCACTTCCTTGGAAGGGACTTCTTAGTAAAACACCTGTTGCTATTTCCTTTTCCCGAAAGTTTCCTTTTCCCATAGTTTTAAAAATTGAGTAAACCCCTGCTTTAACTGCAAGCAGTAAGAATTTTTCTATACTCTTGCCCATTTTTGCCCTTAACCTAAATAACAAAAATGCTGAGAGATTAGCTCTTTCAAAAGAGGTTCCTGAGGAACTTTGGGCTAAATCCACAACAGACATTGGATGAATCCATCCAGCTCCCCCGAAAAATTTCAAATGAACTCAAACAAGCCTCTTTCTAACATCAGATAATACCCCCTAAACCTGAAGCTCTTGCAGAAATTAAACCAATTACAGAAGAACATAAAGTCAATAATCTAACGGTATCTTGCACTAACCCCTGTAATAATACTACCCTGCCTGTGAAGAAACCTCACGGATGAGGGAAGAGCTTTGTCGTTGATAGCTCCACCCTTCTGAAAGTTAACAAACCAGTTCCCTTGAACTGGAAAGGAATGCCCACATAGCCTTCCATCAGTTAAAAGAAGGACTTCTAAGTTCTCCTGCCTTACAGCACCTCAATTATTATCTCCCCTTCTTCCTTTCTGTGAACAAAAGTGAAGTGAATATGTTAGGGATCCTTACCCAAAGAAATGGAGACCGACAGACCCCTTGGCTATTATAGTAGCAATTAGAATCAGAGCGAAGAGACTCCCTCCCTGCATGAGAGCTGTGCCAGCCACTACGGCTTTAGAGGTACAGAGGAGATGGTCGTGGGCTCTCCTCTGTCAACTATACTCCTCACACCCTGGAAGCTTTCCTCCACTGTCGTCATACCCAACATCTTTCTGCAAGTAGACTAACTGCTTATTAGGCTTATTAGGCCTTGCCATTGACTTCTCCGCATATTATTCTTTCCTGTTGCAGTAATCTTAATCCAGAAGCCTTTGTTTCCTACTTGATGATGAGAAACCTCATGATCGTGTAACTGACCAACGACTAAAACCTAGAGTTAATTTATAAGAAACCCCAAAGCCAGACGGAATTTCATGGTTTACTAATCAATCATATAGAACAGATAATGCAGGAAAAAAGTGTGCTACGTATGGTATACCCACACTCTGTGAAGTAGTGGAAGCACTGCCAATGGCCACTTTAGCCCAACACGCAGAACTTTATGCCTTGATCACAGGACTTGTCTTCTGGTGAATGGTCAAACTGCAAATATTTACACCATCGGTATGTATGACTTTGTGGTTGTGCTTTTGGTCTGCTGTGGAAACATGGAGAATTTTTAACCTCTGGAGGAAACCACATTACAAATGAACCTTTGTCAATAATTTATTCAATTCAATTCAACCTCTCTTTGCCTCGGCCGTAATCAAAATTCCTGGCCACTCAAAACTGGAGTCTGATGAGGGGAAAGGAGACAATGCAGCAGATCATGCAGTGAGGGCAGCTGCCTCGAGATCCACAAAGACTGAAAATCCTGTAGTTAGTACTGGTTATTTTCCAAAAAGGATTTAAATGGTGTTCTTTTTAAAGGGTTTAAAAGGTGCTCAGTCTTGAGCACATAAAGAAAAATCTTATTGGACTAATGGTTGCACTTTTGGCCCAAAGATAAACTTACGGTATGGTCCCACTAATAAACCAATATCACCATGATCTATGAAGATCCCCTAAGGAAAATGATCCTTGAGATGATTTGCTGGGAAACTGGTGAACTTCTATTCTATGATAAAGTATTGTTAGAGAAACATTTCAAGGGCCACTACAGAGGCACAGCTGTCTCACACTGTTTGTCCAGAATTCAACCCAGCAGAGACCATTTAGACAATTCCAGGTCACTTCGATCTGCCTAATGGACTCTTTGAGATTTGGCCAGTGAATTTCATCCAGCTACCTCCCTATCAAGGTTATAAACCATGGTTTGTGTTTTCCGTTTGGGTAGACGCACTCTCTTGTTGACAGGCCACTACCTCAGCGGTTTCAAAGCTGTTGTTAGAAAAGGTTATCCTACATGGGGCAAACCCTCAGACTTATATGGTGACTGAGAAATGCACCTCACTGGCCATGAGAAAGAGCAAATTTGCCAAGATTGGCCCATATTTCAACCCTTTCCTTGTGCTTATCTCCAATCTTCCTTATTGGCAGAAAGAACAAATGGCATTCTCAAAACCCAACTGGTGAAATTTGAGGAGGCATTACAGCTGCCCTGGACAAAGGTACTTGCTCTGGTCCTTTTGAGTCTAAGGTATGCACTTTTTGGAAAACATAACTCGTCACCTTTTGAAATTATTACTGGATGGCCAATACATTTAGCCCACTCTGCTTTTAACATCCAGTTCATCAAAGGAGACAGTTTCCAACATTATCAAGGAATAATTAAGGCTTTAGACGCAAATCATACTCTGGTAGAACAATCTTTCCATAGTGTGCTTCCAGGAGATGAAGGCAGCAAATAGAACAACCTGCCTCCTGGTGATTTTGCCTTTTGGGAGAAAAATTTACAAAATCATTGCCTCAACCTCAATAGAAAGGTCCATATGAGGTGCTCCTTGCCCATTTCTGTGCTGCCAAACTAAAAGGTTCACTCTGGATTCACACTTCTTATTTAAAGGAAGTTCCTACCCCTGCTGGAATTCAGAAACAATTAGAGGCCTGAAGCTAAAATCGACCTAGGAGTGGAGCAGAGAACAGCTAAAGGTGACCACACACCCAAGACCCCTGGGCCAGGCCTGGATATCATTAAGCTCCCGGAAATACCTGAAATACTTGGCTTCTTATCTGTTGCTTTCTCTATACTCCTAGTTTTTGTCTTTCACTCCCTTGCACAACAGAATTACTTTAAATTCTATCTTGCCCTAGTGCTGTAGCCAGTACCTCGTGTTATACTGGAATAAATACATCTAAAAAAGTAGAGCCCGAGTTGGAAACATTCTCACTACTTAGCTAAATAAAGCATTCACCATGGAATATTCGGCTACTTGATCTCTTCGGAAGGTGGCTAAAATCCAGTCTTCAGCTTTTGTTACTCAGTCTCGTGACTATTGCTGTTATTTTTGTAAAACTTAAGTCACTTCTCCTTATCCACGTGTGCTTAGAAATCAGTTTAACCAAAGTAACAGTCCTTAGAAGCACGATATGATATTCATCAAGCATATGATGTGGAAAACACATCTGATCTGACAATTCTGGGGACCTAAGCAGGCTTGACAGCATTCCTTTCAAAACCACCTGTTAACTCAAATGTAACACAGTCTAGTCTTACATTTCCATAGGCCTAGAGACCCCCTGATAAGGAACGTGACTCCCTGGGACAGGTATATCCCAGCGACAAAGAACAAAATCAGACTCACCGGTTAATCTGAGATGCCTTCTGGATAAAGATCTTGATCAAAAGGGGAACATGTGGAAGGTGAGGTAACTAAGGCTTTCTAAAGAGGGGTTGGAAGATGGTGACAGCATTGCACCCACACCTGCTAGATGCTCCGGTAGACTTGAGGAAGCAACTGAAGTCACTGTCCCCCAGCCTTCTACAACTCTTCACTAGGACCACACTGATTATCTCACCAAGCAGAACAGGTTTGCAGTTTAGGATCTCTGCCAAGCCAACAAATGGCCATGTTGGAGACAGGCACAGCCCTCAGAACTGACCATCATCTCTTCCGGAGGATACACGAGTATCCGTGTCCAGTCCCAGCTGCAGGACTCACAGAGTGACCCTAAATGCAATATAAACCTGGCTTCCTTAAAGGTTTTGCTTTTTCAGCTTCCCTGAGATTTTTGGCGTTGCCATGGAGCGGCTGACTTAGGCAGCGCTGGCGCAGTTGCTTAACTCTCTGGCTGTGCAGCTTCTTGTCCACCACACGGTGATGGGCCATGTGATTACCAGGCCACGGCCAGGACCTGGGGACAGCGGGGCTGAGTAGGACTCAGGGCCTCATCAAGGAAAGGCCTCGAAAACCAGCTTTTTGTGAAAATCCCCTTCCAAACCCCCTCACGCGCCTGCCTCGCAAGACGCTCTTCAGGGCTGCCCTGATTCAGTATATTCAAATGGCAGTTCTTTGTTTCTCAGATCAATGCTATTTCCTTGGGTCTTTGTAGCCATCTGTTTTTTTTTAGTTAGTAATGTGTTTCACCCAATCCGCCCTTTCAGCTGCTGCTCCAGGGATCTGTGCCTCTTTGCAGTAAAACCCTTGGGTCATCCTGTGAATTCCAATTCCTCCCCTTCTTTTCTGTCTTAAACTCACTCCAGCTGGACTTCTGCCTCGCCCAGGCCCCATGATGACGAAGGCCCCATGCGGCTGCCCTTCTGGGACTCCCTCAGCGTAGTCATGGCCCATTGTCCCTGGAAAGCAGGACTCACCAGCTCGAAGAACATGGTGCCATCTTGGTTTCCCTTTGAACCCACTGCTCATTCTCAGACTCCCTGCTGGTCCTTACACATCTTGAAGACCTTTTAACTGTGGCCCTTTTGACTCAGGGCTCAATGTTTGGTCTTCGTAGCATTTCCCTCCATTTTCAACGATGTCTCTCTGACGAGGATTCACCAGCTGATAGATGTTCTCCAGCTCACACCCATTCCTGCTCTGTCTACCTCACATCCGGCCTGAGTGTCAAATAGGCTTTTCCAGCTTCGCCCGTCCGGAACTGAAGGTACGATCTTCCCCCTGTGAAGTGCTTCTTCCACAGCTCCCTTAAGGTCCTTCTTGTGGCTTTTCTTTTTTTTTCTTTTTTCTTTTTTTTTTTTTGAGACAGAGTCTTGCTCTGTCACCCAGGCTGGAGTGCAGTGGCGTGATCTCGGCTCACTCCAAGCTCTGCCTCCCGGGTTCACGCCATTCTCCTGCCTCAGCCTCCCAAGTAGCTGAGACTACAGGTGACCACCACCAAGCCTGGCTAATTTCTTTTGTATTTTTTTAGTAGAGACGGGGTTTCACCATGTTGGCCAGGATGGTCTTGATCTCCTGATCCATCTGTCTCGGCCTCCCAAAGTGCTGGGATTACAGGCGTGAGCCACCACGCCCAGCCTTCTCATGGCTTTTCTGTCTGCCTCGAATTCTTCCCCCAGAGCCTGTTGGATTCTTTCCCCCATCCTTGCAAGCTTTCCCTCAAACACTTCCTTCTCAATAGGGGTGACGTGGCCACCCTCGCTGACTCTGCTTATCCCCCACGCTCACCTTCCTGGGCCTCCTGGACCCCTCTGCTTCCTCTTTCTTTCACAGCACATTTAACCTTTAACAAACTCTATGCTTTCTCATTCATTCAGTTCACTCTTCATTGTCTGTCTCCCCCAGACACTGCAGGCTCCACCAGGCAGGAATTCCTGTTGTGTTTTTGTCAGTATCATGAGCAAATAAGGTCGTGCTGGCTCTGGGGTTGGGTTGTGAAGTTGGATTTGGGGTGACAGGGTGAAGGAGTAAACTCAGGTAGAGGTCAGGTGATAAAGAACCCTGAAAATATGGAAATAGACTGGAGGTCGATTCTGGGGAACCATAAAGACAGTGAAGTGAGGACCAGCATTGTTGGACTTGACTCTGGAGAGGTGCCTGGCTGCAGTGGTGAAGGAACGGGAGATGGCAGCCTGGGCTGAACCAAGATGGAGAGCGGGAGACGAACTGAGCAGAACTTTTCAAAAGGCAGCCCAGCAAAGGCATTTTGCCTTGTACAGCTGGCTTCATGAAAGGCAATTAAGCATGAATTAGAGGAGGAGAGACCGGCTCAGTGTCAGGGCGACCTGCTCCATTTGGGCAGCTCCATCTCCGTGGGACAGTGCAGAGCCCTAGGCTTCTCCCTCTTGCACCGGCCAGGCACTCTGTGGCCTCCTGGTCCTGCTGTGTCATGCACACCACCCATTTTCTCTCTGTCTCATATTTTTGTTTTCTGATTTTAAAATGTGTACGATGGGGACAAGATGAAGTAGTATTCTCATGGTAGGCGAGACATGAATCTTCCTTGAAGTGGCACACATAGAATGAATGGGGGGTAACTGGCCCATGGAGAACACTCGATAAAGCTCAGGGATGAACACGAGCTCGGCAATCCTGGAGTTGGAATGTGCTGCCGTTAGCTCAGAAACACGAAGCTGAGATCACTGAAGGACGCAGTCTCAGCCCAGGGGCTTCAGGGGTTGGGGGATGTGGTCCCAGGTCAGGGGCTCCAGGGGTTGGGGGGCTCAGTCCCAGCTCAGGGACTTGAGGGGTTGGGGGATGTGGTCCCAGGTCAGGGGCTCCAGGGGTTGGGGGATGTGGTCCCAGGTCAGGGGCTCCAGGGGTCGGGGGATGTGGTCCCAGGTCAGGGGCTCCAGGGGTTGGGGGACTCAGTCCCAGCTCAGGGACTCAAGGGGTCGGGGGATGCGGTCCGAGCTCAGGGGCTCCAGGGGTGGGAGCGGCCACAAACCCCTCTCAGGCTTGGATGAAGGGCTGGGGTGTGGGGCCCCAGGGGTCCTGCTCTCCCTCTGTGACTCTGTCCCTCTTCTCGGACTCCCACCTTCCACTGCTGCCTCTCTGCTCTGTCCCATTCTCTCGTTTTTATAGCTCAAAAATGTTCCACCCTCTCTGGGTCCCATCTGACTTCTAACTTTTCTCAGTTCAAGCATCCAGAGAAGCCAACCCACACCTCTGTGTTCTAGTTCCTAGTGACCAGGAAAGAAACTCAATGGGCCAGCTCCCCCAGGCCGCTTGGCCAGGCAGGTCCGCAGGCCTGTGGCCACTGTCACCAGTCACGCTGATGAAGGGTCATGAGGCTCAGGGCATTGGAGGCCACTGCCAACGTTGGCCCTCGGGCGCTTGGAGCAGCTAGAACCGGCCCTCGGCTCCAGGTCCTCACCTGCAATTTCACGGTCAGGAAAGCCCTTGGCTCCGGGTCCTCACCTAGGTCTTCCTCCCACCTCGCAGGGCAGCCCTGTGCCCCGGCATGTGAGGCTGAGGCACGTGCCTGGGACACTGTGCGCATGGGAAGGGACGTCATTAAGTCCTTCAATTCCAACACCGTGGAGGAAATCCCCTAGGATGCGTCCTCCCAGAGATTCGGGGGCCCTGACTCCTCGCTGCATGAAGGGGCCTGAGCCCACCTGAGCCAGGGGCAGGTACATCCTGTTTGCTCAGCCCTGCCCTGCAGCAGCTACCTGACACCCGTGTCCCACCACCGGGCCATGTGTGTGCTGGGGCCTGACTGGAGCCCGATAAGGGGGGTGGGGGGAACAGAACCTGAGCTGTGGCTGCTCCACACAGAGATGCAGCAAACCCGCTGTGGCTGCACCTGGACCAGGCGTCGCCCCAAGTGAGGCTCCTGCCGTTTCCCTGGGCTCCGTGAATGCAGCTTCACTCCGAGCTTTGGCTGGCAGCAGCCCCTTGGACACCTCCTTGATCCTCGGGGCCCTTCTGTGAATCATTCTGACCCCTCACACGCCGCCAGAATCACCCGCGTCACCCTGGGTGAGACCATCAGCAGTTCGCAGGCCTGTCCTGGAGGTCCCACACCAAGGGAGTACTCAGGGCTTCCTGGCTGGAGACACTGCTGAGACCCCGGGAAGCAGGCTTGGCTGCAGGAGAGTGAAGAACGGAGGATTTGTATTTCGCACGTAAAAAGCCAAGGCAGGAATGAGCCGGGAGTGTACGGTGTGGGGGAAGAGGGAGCACAGCCCACGGGCAGGCAGGGTCCGCACTGGAGGCCATGGGTGTGGGGCCCCTGGCCACTGAGGGTGGAGGGGTTGGTCGAGTTCCCCTGGGCCTGTCGGGACCACTGGGCATTGGCCAGAAGTTTTTTTGCAGCCACAGAGGCAAGGGTGCCATTCTTTTGAACAAATCAAGATTCCGCTAAGCGAATGACAGGTGTGGCCCACTATGGCCAGCAGTCTGCAGGGCTGGTCTTCTGCATGAGGGAGGCCGTTTTTGTGGAGGCCGAGGTGGACAATGACTCCAGGCAGCCCTACTCGGCCGCTTCTCTGGCCTCCGCAATCATGTGGCATCTCTTCAGGTGACAGTTTTAATCAGGAACAGACAGAGCTCGAAGGGTGCTTCAGTTGCATTGTGAAGATGACCTGGAATCAGGAGCACTCATCCAAGTCTTCAGATGCACTGAAGAGAGAGGGGTTAATCATGACTGCAGTTTCCATTTCAGTGATGTGCATAGCGCTCAGAACTGACCATCCTCTCTTCCAGAGGATACTCCAGTACCCGCTTCCAGCCACAGCTATGGGACTCACAAAGTGACCCCAAGGTAACATGAACCTTGCAACCTGTTTTCTTAACTTCACTGAGGTTTTCAGCATTGCCAGGGAGAGGTTGACTTAGGCAGAGCTGACACACATACTCGATGCACTGGATGTCCAGCCTCTTGTGCACTACACAGCGGTGGACTGTGTGATCACCAGATCACAGCCAGGTGGCCTGGCCAGGGCTCATGGCTGGGCCAAGTGGGGAGAAATTAGAGGGAGCTGTCTGGTGGCAAGTGGCCAAGTGGGAGGGGAAGGGACTTGGAAGGTGCCTGAGCTCTGAGACTGAGGCTGGCATCCAACCTGGAAGAGCCGAGACTGATGTCCTGCACCAGGTCAATGTGCACCTGAGCTCTCTGTGCAGGAAAAGAACTGGGCGCTGACAGGAATTCTGCTGTGCAGCACCTCATGGTTAATCGTGACAGCAGCCCTGTGAGGCACTTGTCTTCACTATTTACAGATAAGACATCCGAGGTTCAGAGAGATTAAGCTGTATCACCTGGGAGATGTCAACCACATTTCAAACGCGAGTCCTTTTCCTCCAGGGCTGCTGTTTCCCATGGAACAGTTATCTCCCTGCACATAGGCTGCAGTGTTACAAAATGGGGAGTGATGTTTCTTGAGCAGCTACTGCTAGCCAGGAATGTGTATCGGAGATCTCTGCGTTTCCACAACACGTCTGCTGCATTAAATCATCACCTCCATTTGACAGGTGGTCACTGTGACTGGTGCCCTCCATATCACCTGGGGAACCCGTAACCGACCCTCCCTTGCATTTGACAATAAACCTCAGCATGGGCCTGCAGAATGCAGGTCTGGGCTCCTGTCCCATCTGGAGGTTCTGAATGGAGAGCTTGGGAGTCCTCATCTCCTAGCCTGGTTGTGAACTTGAGTCTCAAGGCAACCCACTGCCGTCCGGAAGAGGACCCTTGCTGGAAGGTGTCGGGGTTTATGGGCAAAGACCCCTCAAAGCTTCGCATGTGTTTCCAGGTAGCCTTCAGATAGTAGTAACTGCTCAGCACAGTGCATAGTGTACATTCAGCTTTCACTGCCACAGGTGGGGATCAGTGAAGTCACTTAAGGGCTATTACAAAAGTCAAAGAGTGAGCTGAAGTGGCCAAGTTCAGGACAGAGGCTGTGGCCCTCTAGGTCTGGCATGGGACTGAAGCTTTCTCTACAAAGACAGCAGCATGGCCGGGCACGGTGGCTCACACCTGTAATCCCAGCACTTTGGGAGGCCGAGGCAGGCAGATCACTTGAGGTCAGGAGTTCCAGACCAGCCTGGCCAACATGGCGAAACCCTGTCTCTATTAAAAAATACAAAAATTAGCTGGGTGTGGTGTTACATGCCTGTAATCCCAGCTACTCGGGCGGCTGAGGCATGAAAATTGCTTGAATCCTGGAGGCGGAGGTTGCAGTGAGCTGAGATCACAGCACTGTACTCCAGCCTGGGCAATAGGGCGGGACTCTGTCTCAAAACAAACAAACAAACAACAAACAGCCTCGTCCCCATGCCCAGGAAGAGGAATGCCTTTGCATGATTGCTCAGTCCATGTGTTATCCATTTGAAATTGAAATTCAAACAGTTAAATGTGGTATAAATATATCCTACACCTGGCTTTGGGGAGCGCTTGGTGTTAATAATAGGTTTTAAGTAATAGGAACCTCTTTGTGGCTTTGCTCTGTCTAAAATATGCAATGATGTTTTCACCATTTGAGGCAAATCAATGCGGGGAAAAATGGAGAAAGTAAGTGAAATGGAGCACATACACAGAACTCTAACACCTCGGTACTGCTATGCATGGTATCTACATGCTGTTAAATTGGGAGCTTCACCAGTTCCAGTTTCAGTGGACAGGCACGTTTGAGGCCCTTGCTCTATCCCAGGCACTGCTCCATTCTGGGAATGCAGAGAGTAACCTGTTCTGTAAGGATTTAGAGGGTCTTCTGCGTGCAGGCACCCAGGGGCCCACCTCGGCTTTCATGGAGATGGGACAGGACACCGGCATTTCTCAACAAGCACTTGTAACTTATCAAATGCACGTGTGAGATCCCGGAATGGAGAGCATGGTGTGGAGAGGAAGGGTGCAGCAGGAAGACCGACGAAGGGGCCGACTTCAGCGTGGTAGCCATGAGCCCAGGAAAATGAGTGCATTCAGTAGCGAGGTGAGGGGAGTGGCAGCCAGCAGTCGGGATGCAGAGGGAACCTGGCACCTCCCGGGAGTCCAGGAGGACTCGAGGAGAAGGCCTCATTGGGCCTGGACAGTGAAAGAAGGGTTGGGTGTGGCCAAGCTGGCCTGGTGCATAGGGCACATGTCCCTGAGAGTAGAGTGTCCTTGAGGGCCTGCGTGTGCTGGGTATGGGGCTGGGCACAGTGAGGCCTTGGGGAAGGAGGTGAGCCGGGGCTGGGTTCCGTGAGGCAGGGCTGTGTCTAGACCCCCTGCTGTGGAAGGGCACCTGACTCCCCTTCCCACGAAGGTGAGGCCTGCCCCGGTCGCTCCAGCTGTCGGCAGGAGGGAAACCCAGGAGCCCCGTGTCCTCCATCTGTGAGTCAGCCGGGGGCCTCCGTCTGTGTGGTGAGCCAGGGACCTTTGCCTGTGTGAGTCAGCGGCTTCTGTCTCTGTGAGTGAGCTGGCGGTCTCCGTCCATGTGAGTGAGCCAGTGGCCTCCGTCTGCATGAATGAGCTGGGGGCCTCTGTCTGTGTAAGTGAGCTGGCGGCCTCTGTGTGAGTGAGCGAGGGCTTCTGTCTGTGTGTGAGCTGGCGGCCACTGTGTGAGTCAGCGAGGGCCTCTGTCTGTGTGAGTGAGCTGGCGGCCTGTGCACAGCCCGAGTAACTCGGAGGCCTTGGAACCTGTGAGCCTGAGCCAAGGAGCTCCCCGGTGGGTGGGCATGGGCAGGCCAGGGCCCAGGGCTCTGCAGGTCTCACGAGAACTTATAGGGGTGCAGCCGGTGGACCAGGCAGCCTGTGACCCAGAGAGCAGACGACGGCCCTAGCAGGGCCAGAGGCAGCCACTCACACTGGACAGCACGGCAGTGGGGACTGAGAGGTGGAAGCCAGGAAATCCTCTTATGGAGAGAAAGGCAGCCTCAGGTGGACCTGCCCGGGTGATGGCTTCAGAGAAGTAGAGATGAGAGTGAGTGTGCAGGTGTGCGGGGTGCGTGCATATGTGTGTGTGTGCACGCGTGGGGGGATGTGCTCGTGTGGGGTGTGTGCACACGTGTGGGGTGTGTGTACAGATGTGTGCAAAGTGTATGTGTGCTACTAGGTGTGTGTGACTGTGTGCTGTCTGTGTGAGTATATGAGTGTGTCCCCCATGCGTGAGTCTGTGACTGTGCCCCGTATTTTCTGTGTGCATGTGTGTGTGTGAGAGCGAGTCCCACGTCCTGTGTGTGTGCTGTCTGTATCTGTGTGTATGTGAGTGTGTCCTGTGTCTTCTGTGTGAGTGTGTGACTATGTGTGAGTACATGAGTGCCTCCTGTGTTCTGTGTGTGAGAATGTGTCCCATGTCTTCAGTGTATGTGTGTGTGAGAGGGGGTCCTCTTCATGTGCGTGGAAAAATGTCAGTGTATAGCCTGTGTGTGTGAGCATATGAGAGTGTGTCCCATGCCCTCTGGGTGTGTCTCAGTATGGAGAGTGTCCCATGTCCTCTCTGTGTGTGAGTGTGAGTGTCCCATGTCCTCTCTGCGTGTGTGTGTCCCGTGTCCTCTCTGCATGTGTGAGTGTCCCATGTCCTCTCTGTTTGTGTCTGAGAGTGTCATGTCTACGAGTGTGAGAGGGTGCTGTGTCCTCTCTGTGTGTGTGAGAGTGTTTTGTGTCCTCTCGGTGTGTGAGACGGTCCCATGTCCTCTCTGTGTGTCTGAGGGTGTACTGTCTGCGTGTGTGTGTGTCCTGTGTCCTCTCTGTGTGTGAGAGTCCCATGTCCTTTTCTGTGTGTGTGGGGGGGTGTCCTGTCTGCACGTGTGAATGTGAGAGGGTCCTGTGTCTTCTCCGTGCGTGTGTGTGAGTGTCCCATGCCCTGTGTGTGTCTGAGTATGGAGAGTGTATCCCGTGTCCTCTCTGTGTGTGAGTGTGTGTGAGTGTATTCCTTGTCTCTGCGTGTGTGTCCTGTGTGACGCCCTCACACACTCCCACACAGGGAGGACGTGGGACACCCACACACTCACACTGACCTTTACTGGGAGCTGGGGTGAAAAGTGCTCCCTCCCTGAGCAGGAGTCCCGGGACCTTCTCCAGGCACACAGTCAATGCCCGACTGAGTCATAAGTGCAGTGATTCCCAAGTACAGCCTTCGTCTCCCGGCCCCACAGGGAGGTACAGGACTCCGGGCAGCTGCTTGGAAAAGGAGGGGGCTGCCCATGGTGCACAGCGGCTCTGGGAGAGGGTGCACGGTGGATGTGGCCAGGTACGGTGGCCGAGATCATGAGGACAGCGGGACTTTCGTCGATCTACCTGTCAGTGGCGATGTACAACCCCCAACCTGCTGAGGGGCAGAGGCTCAGAGGCCAGTAACCAAAAGGTAGACACTGGCAGATGCCGGAGGTGGGCACTACACCTGACTTCCCTCCCCATGACTCTCGGCAACCCGGCAAGACCCTTACCACACAGACGCCACTCCGAGGGGAGGGGGTCCTCAGGCGTGTGTGGCTGCCTTCTCAGCCCCTGAGGTCCCGCAGAAGTGCCCCATCTTACATGCAAGAACTCTTAGGCAGAACAGGGGCTTGAGAGACCAATGAAGTTTTGACGTTTGCTGAGACAGAACTAAGGTGACTTTTTTTGGCTCACTTTTGTACTTTTTTGAAGACTCTAGGTGCATTGAAATAGTTGTGCTTCCCAGTGTGAAATAATTTGCCAGGAAAAATCCTCAGAAATAAATGGTAAGCAGTGTGTATTGTTTACTGGAAAGGTTGGCGAGTGGAGGAACTGCACCTTCAGAGGGCTCACTCGCCGAGAGCACTGCACTGGACGCTTGGTGCAGTGCATCTGATTTCATTCTCGCAGTAACTCTCTAAGGTAAGAATCATACTCCTCGTTTCTAAAACAGAAAGACTGAGACTCACAGAGGATATGTTATTTGCCCTGCGTCTCCCAGCTAGAAAGTGGTTGAACTGGATGACTTGTGTTGGATGCACGGCTCTCGTTTTTGGCAGGAGAGACTCCTGTGTTTGCTCAGCTTCTGCTCACATGAGTCACAGAGAAGAGGGTTTGTACCCTGCTAGGGCAGGTGAGGGCTCAGGGCCTCCCAGGGGTCTGGGTCATCAGGACAGATACCCTGGGAGCTCAGGACCAAGGGGAGGATGGGCGTGGAGGAGCGGGTCCCCAACTGCCTGGGACATTCCTTCTGGGGCCATGAGCTACCTTTCCCCAGAGTGCGGGCAGGTGTCCTATAAGCCTGCAACCCCCACGGGAAAGCAGACATCGCCACAGCTGGCTCCGCCCTGCAGCACAAACAGGGAATTGTCTTATGTGGAGAGTGGCCTCCTAACCTGCCAGCCCTGTCCCTGCAAGTCTGTGTGGCTGTTGAGGCTGGGAGGCTGGGACGAGCAGACACAGCTGCGGCTCTTGGTTGTGAATGCTCCAGGGACAGCACAAGCTGCGAGCACCAGGGACAGGCGGGTAATGTGCAGGTGTGTGTGTGCTGGTGGGGACTGGGGAGGTAATCAGAGCTTGGTGCAATATAAACAAGAGCTTGTGCAGCCATTTCAGTTGCCGGGACTGACGTGGGCTGCCTGGGGAGCTCGTGTGGATGACAAGGGCTGCCTCGTCTGCCTTGACTCCTGCCGGCAACTCAGGAGAGGCTCATTACTGGGCCCTGCACTTCCTGATTCATCTGAAAGCTGGCCAGGCAGCCTCTCGGCCAGGCCTTGGCACCAAGTCTTCTGGGCAGTGAGCACTGGGTCATGAGATCTGGTTGTTTAAAAGTGTCTCCTCTAAACACTAGCTCAGGAAGCTTCAGGCTAGAAAGCAGGGGCCCCAGGGCAGCCAGCTCAGCAGGGCTGCAAAACAAAATGTCAGCAGAGCCTGTAATCCCAGCACTTTGGGAGGCCAAGGAGGGCGGATCACGAGGTCAGGAGATCGAGACCATCCTGGCCAACATGGTGAAACCCCATCTCTACTAAAAATTCAAAAAATTAGCTGGGTGTGGTGGCACGTGCCTGTTGTCCCAGCTACTCAGGAGGCTGAGGCAGGAGAATGGCGTGAACCCAGGAGGCGGAGCTTGCAGTGAGCCGAGATCACGCCACTGCACTCCAGCCTGGGTGACAGAGCGAGACTCCGCCTCAAGAAAAAAAAAAACCAAAATCAGCAGAGTGCGTGCCCTCACTGGACCCAGCCGCAGCGCCTGGCTGCCTGGTCTACCTAGGGCTGCTGTGACACATTCACACATGTGGTGGCTTCAAACAACACACAGTTATTGTCTCACAGTGCTGGGCTGGAAGCCAAATGCAGGTGTTGGCAGGGCCATGCTTCCTCCACAATCTCTGGGGGAGAATCCCTCCTTGACTCTTCTGGCTCCTGGTGGTTCCAGGTCTTCTCCAGTCCATGGCCGCATTACTGCCGTCTCTGCCTGTATCGCCATCGGGCCGTCCTCCCTCTGCATGAGGCTCTGTGACCTCACCCCTTCCGTCAAGAAGCCAGCGACTGGTCATAGGGTCTACCTGAAATCCTACCTTGATGACATCTGCACACGCCCTATTCCAAACAAGGTCGCACTCACAGGCACCAAGGTTAACACTTGGATGTGTCCCTTTGGGGACACAATCAGCACACAGCACTGGCTAAACTCTATCCAAAGGGGAGTTAATTTGGATAAGGAATGGAGATTCTGGGAAGAAAACCAGGAAGGCAGAGCTAAAACAAATAAACAAATGACAAAGACAGCAACAAAGTAAAGCCTGGGTTTACTTTGTAACCCAGCAATAAAGTAAAGGGTTCCTGAGCTCTCCTGCACCAGGAACGTCTGGAGAGTGATGTCATACCTGCTGTCTGTCCCTCCCCACAGCCTTGATAGCAAGCTGGAGCCATCATTCCCCGGGCTCTGCTGTGGGGGTGACGCCCACCTTATCCTGGTCCAGGACTCACTTTCCTGTGTGTCTCCTGTTCCATCCTTCCTAAGGCCGACCCTGCTTGGTCTGCTGCCCTCAGGGGTCCCCTGCTGCATATCCTTCACCTCCTGCTTCCACAGCTCAATCCCAGCAATGGATTCCCAGGCAACGTGGTGAGATTCCAGAGCTGACTTTCCCGTGCCCCTAGCTCTTGTCTCCAGCACATACTGCACTGCGCCTCTGTGATCCAGATGTGTGTGAGATGGTGTGGTTCTGTGTCCCCACCAAAATCTCATGTTGAATTGTAATCGCCAATGTTGAGGGAGAGACCTAGTGAAAGATGATCAGATCATGGGGCCAGATTTCTCCCTTGCTGTTCTCATGATAGTGAGTTCTCGTGAGATCAGGTTGTGCAAAAGTGTGTAGCACTTCCTCTGTCATTCTCTTTCTCTCTCTCTCCCTCTGACCATGTAAAGACCTGCCTGCTCCCCTTTCACCTTCCATCATGATTGTAAGTTTTCTGAGGCCTCCCCAGAAGCAGAAGCTTGCATAGCCCACAGAACCGTGAGCCTATTAAACCTCTTTTCTTTATAAATTACCCAGTCTCAGATATATCTTTACAGCAGTGTGAGAACAAACTAATACAGGAAATTGGTTCAAGAGAACTGGGGCATTGCTATAAAGAGACCTGAAAATGTGAAGTGACTTTGGAAATGGCTAATGGGCAGAGGTTGGAACAGTTTAGAGGGCTCAGAAGACAGGAAGATGTAAGAAAGGTTGGAACTTCCTGGAGACTTGTTGAATGGTTGTGACCCAAATGCTGATAATGATATGAACAGTGTAGTCCAGACTGAGGTGGTCTCAGATGGAGATTAGGAAATTATTGAGAATTAGAGTAAAGGTCACTCTTGCTATGCTTTAGCAAAGAGCCTGGCAGCATTGTGCCCCTGCTTGAGGGATCTATGGAACTTTGAACTTAAGAGACATGATTTAGGGTATCTGGTGAATGAAAGTTCTAAGCAGCAATGTGTTCAATATTTGGCCTGGCTGCTTCTGACAGGGTGTGCTCATATTCATGAGCAAAAAAAATTACCTGAAACTGAAATTTATATTTAAAAGGGAAGCAGAGCATAAAAGTTTGAAAAATTTGCATCCTGGCCATGTGGTAGGAAAGAAAAACCCATTTTCAGTGGGAGGAATTTGAGCCAGCTTCAGAAATTTGCATAAGTAAAAAAGATCCAAATGTTAATAGCCAAGATGATGGGGAAAATACTTCCAAGGCATTTCAGAGACCTTCACAGCAGCCCCTCCCACCACAGGAGGCCTCCCTGGAGACCTAAGAGAGAAAAATGGTTTTATGGACCAGGCCGGGCCCAGGGCCCCACTGCTCTGTGCAGCTTTTGGACATGACACCCTGTTTCCCAGCCACTACAGCTCCAGCCATGGTTAAAAGGACCCCAGATATGTCTCAGGCCACTGCCCCAGAGGTTGCAAGCCATAAGAAACCTTGGTGGCTTCCACATGGTATTAAGCCAGTGGGTGTACAGAGGGCAAGAGTTGAGGCTTGGGAGCCCCCACCTAGATTTCAGAGAATGTAGGGAAATGTCTGGATGTCCAGGCAGAAGCCTGTTTCAGGGGTGGAGACCTCATAGAGAACCTCTACTAGAGCAGTGTGGAGTTCTCTACTAGGGGAATGTGAGGGGTCTCCACTGGGGCACTGCCCAGTGGAACTGTGAGAATAGGGCCACCATCCTCCAGCCCCCAAAATGGTAGATTCACAGACAGCTTGCACTGTGCCTCTGTAAAAGCTACAGAAACTCAATGCCAAACCTTGAGAGAAGCCATGGGAGTTGAGCTCTACACAGACACAGGGCAGAGGTGTCCAAGGCCTTGGGAGACCACCCGTTGTATCAATGTGGCCTGAATATGAGACATGGAGTCAAAGGAGATTACCTTTGCGCTTTAACATTTAATTACTTCCCTGCTGGGTGTTGAACATATATGGGGCCTGTAGACCCTTTGTTTTGGCCAATTTATCCCATTTGGAATAGGAGAATTTACCCAATGCCTGTAACTTGGAAGTAACCCTGTTTTTGATTTTACAGACTCATAGGTGGAAGGGACTTGCCTCGTTTCAGATGAGACTTTGGACTTGGACATTTGAGTTAATGCTGGAATGAGTTAAGACTTTAGGGGACTGTTGGGAAGGCATGATTGTGTTTTGAAATATGAGAAGGACATGAGATTTGGGAGGGGCCAGAGGTGGAATGATATGGTTCGACTCTGCCCCCACCCAAGTCTCATGTTGAATTGTATTCCCCATGGAATAAAATGAAGGTGATTGGATCATGGAGGTGTACATTCCCTTTGCTGTTGTTGTGATAGTGAATGAGCTCTCATGAGATCTGGTTGTTTGAAAGTGTGTGGTCTCACTCTCTCCCTCTCTCTCCTGCTGGCTCTGTGAATATGTGCTTGCTTCCCTTTCACCTTCTGCCATGATTGTAAGTTTCCTGAGGCCTTACCAGCCTTGCTTCCTGTAAAAACTGTGGAACTGAATTGATTAAACCTCTTTTCTTCCTAAACTACCCAGTCTCAGGTAGCTCTTTATAGTAGTGTGAGATTTGACTACTGCAGTGCAGGACTGGTCATCTCTTGCTCACTCTATTTTGAAGACACTAGATGCTGTTAATCTGGCCTGCTTTATTTATCCTCACTGTCTTTGTATTTTTGGTTTTGCTTTTTGTTCTGGTGCAAGCCTGTTTACATGAAGATTGTTAATTCTATCTATTTTGAAATGGCCAATCTCATAATGATTCTACAAGAAATTCAATAATATTATCCCCACTTCAGAAAATTTTGTTTAAAACCCCTGCCATTCCACAGTCTACACAAGGAGTTAGTTCAATCACTACCTACTCTGCACAGATGAGGAAACTGATTTTGAACAAGTGTGACTGGGAGATTAGATGACATTTCTGCAGCCTGACTGTGGACCCTGAGTTGTATTTCTCTATCTTGCAGTGTTGATAAAAATCACCTACCCCAGGGGGTTCTCCCCAGGCCTTACGTCTCACCTAGCAGATGGTGGGATTTTTATGGATAGGTCACTGGACATTTTCAGGAAGCAAGAGGGGCATCCTCAGGAATGTTTTAACCATGAGGGAACAGAGAATTTGCAGAGATGGGCAGGAGAGGAAGAACATGAAGGAGGGCAGCAACCACCTGGGTACAGGTGTTTATTTTGACCATGGAGGAACCGTGAATACCACCCAATGAGTTTCCTGCCACGTCACCACAGTCACCTCTAAATGACCCTCTAGGGCAGGGGCAATTGTTATTTTCCTCTGAGGTGAGGCACAGCAGGTCAGCAAATGGGAACCGTTAGCTAGCTGTGGGTGTGTCTGGCCTGAAGTCAGGTCTGTCTGTCCTCAAACTGCACTCACAGCTTTACCTTGCTGTGGGTCTTCCCTGCTGGGTGCAGGCGGGGGCTCCTCAGGCAGAAAACACCAGAGAGGTCCTTGGTTCTGAACAGCACTGGGTGGAACATGCCACCCAAGGGAGGTGGGGCTGATGTGCACAGCCTGGGGTGAGGAGGCTGCGTGATCCTTTGTGAAGTGAACACGCAGAAGAACATGTGGGTACCTCTCAACAGAGATGCTGGTGGGGTTTCCTGGGGCATGGCAGCCAAGCATGTACAAGAAGCAGCAGTGGAGCCGTGGGGAGCGTTGGAAGCTGCACCAAATGCAGACCTTGCCTCTGAGGCGCTCTGATGCCTGGGTCCAGTGTCTGCCTCTCTGAGCCACACTTCCTTCCTCGTCGGTGGGGTTGCTATGAGGACCAAAAGACAGCTCCGCGGGTGCAGCGATTGCTCGAGGGAAACACAGTTGAGGTGGAGTCTGGGTGATGTGCTGCCACATGGAGTGCTGCAGCAACTGGGAAGGAAAGAGGGCTGGGAAGAAAAAAAAAAAAAGACTACACCTGGCTCAGGTGTGCTGAATTTGAAGGAATCCAGGTGAAGGTGTTCCACGCACAGAGCCCAGGTGGCAGGGAAGTCAGGCCTGCATTCAAAGGTCCAAGTACCATCTCACTGGACTTTCCATAGACATCCAGTAGTGAATGAGCTCCTCCAGTAGTTTATGCAGAGACAAAACAAAACAGTAAAAAGCTAAGGCCTGAGTCTGAACGGCAAACACAAACAGAACAGACAGAATCAAGAATTCGGGGAGGGGTCGGAGGCTGTTGCAATCTGGGAGAAAGCTCCCAGCAATGTGGGGAAGAGCTGGGCACAGCAGCTGAACTCTGCTGCTCAGGGTATTATGCATACCCTCAAAATGAACCTTTCCTTGCCAGTAACACCAAATGCTTATTGTATTTCCCCTCCTGGCTTTGCAAGTCTATCGATCCTTTCTTTTCTTCCAAAGTGTCTGCAGCCAGTGTAGGAGTGACTTCCCACAAAGTGTTAAGCGACAGTGAGACGCTGGCGGTTTTCCAGGGCACTGAGGCCGTGGGCAGGCTGGCTGGCCCCACCAGGGGAAGTGTTTGCAGTCCTGGTCGATGGGCACACAAGGTAAGCGGCGAGCCCTTCCGGATGGGTTCCTCCCAGGCACAGGCTGCCCTGCTTCACATCCATTTTCTCATAAACCTCAGACTGAGCCCTGAGAGGCTATCATCTGAAGGTTTAAAAATGCCAAATCCAACCCTTTGGGACACAAAAGTACAAGATAAACAGCTCTCTGTTCTGGAATCCGAGCAGCCTGCCACCGTCTTCATTGTCTGCCCTGGCTGTTAACCCAGCGCCGACAGCCACGTGTGAGGGCTCTGTGCTGACCCCCTTGCGGCTGCTCAGAGGCAGAAGTCAGGATTCCCGCGGGGGCTGCCTCTCCGTGGGTCACTTTCCTTCTCTGTCAAGGGCAGATAAGAGCCCCTCTACTCAACACAGTGCAATCTGGAAAATAAATACAACCGTGAATGGGAATATGTTTTGTAAATTTAAGCAATCTGAGTAGTGGAGGCGTTATGAATGCTGCACATTTGGGTACAGAATCTCCCCCTGGAACAAGATGGTCCCTGCATATTGTATTTCTTTCAAAGCTAGCCTTGTCTCCATCAACACATTTTCATGGTTTTATTTTTTCATAGCCTGAAAATGTTTCTCCTGTGTGCTGGTGCAGTCCGGCTATTTTTGAAGAATGCTTGCTCTTGTTAAACAAAGCCTGAGCCCTGTTGGGATGAGGCTGTTTTGAGCTGAGGCAGAGCTAGAAAGACAAGGGTGAAACACTGTGGAGAACCCTCATGGATCCTCTAATCTGTGCATGATCTTGGAGGCCACACTTACACTGACTGCCACCCCCACACTGCTGGGCACCTGTGGCTCAAACGTTTCTCACCGTCTGCCACCTGCATCCCTCGGTCTCGCCCTTGACACTGCAGGGAGGAGCTGAACCCCTGTGCTGTGAGCACTCTTCAGATGGATGAGGATGTAGCAGCAGCCTCCCCCAGGCTTCTCATCACCTCTGCCCTTGTCGCACACTCCTGTTAAGCCCATATCAAATCATTCCATGCATAAAACAAGTTGCCAAGGAGAGAGACTTACTGCTATTTTTTTTTTTTAAAAAAGACCCGAACCCTTCTGTTTTTGTCAAAGTACACAATGGAGTAGAAATTTTGGAAAATAGAGGAAATAGCTTTAAAAATAATCACATATAATCTCCCAGGCCAGAGAAAACTACTGAGAATGTTTCACGGTACATCTCCGTTTCTTCCAGTGCATAGAATTAGCTTCTACATGGTGTTAATAGTATTGTATTGTACTTATTGCTTTATAATATCCTTTTATATTTTAGAACATCCTAGACTTTTTCACAATTTATTAAGTATTCTCTATGACATTGGTTTCGTGGCTTTAAGCATTTCTGCTGGAAGAGCCCTTGATCACTCTCCATTTCTTTCCTTTTCAAATTTTCTTTCACGGCATGCATTGCCATCTGCCATTTTACGATGTATTTAGTGATTTCTTGTCTGTGTCCTCAGCTAAAATAGAAGCTTCAGCAGGATAGGGTCTTTGCTGGTTTTGTCCACTGTTATATTAAAAGAACACAGAATAATAAGTGACACATGGCAGACGGTCCACAAATATTTGTTGGATACATGAGTGGCTTTAAGCAGTCATCCACTGATGGACACTTGAAGTGACTATGCAATACACTACATTGTATGTAAATCTTTTTGCTGTTAAAGCAAATCTTCAGTGTGACCTTTCCAGGTCAAAAAGTATGGATTTTAGTTGGCTTTTAATAAAAATAAATTATCTTCCAGAAATTCTTCTCTAACTTGTATTCTTGCCAACATATAAGAGAACTCTATTTTTTCACTTATTCCACGATACTCATTGGCATTTATTAATATTTTCATCTCTACCAATTTGATAGGTATGAATGGTAGATAGATTTTATCTTAATTTGAACTATAATTCTAATGAATTAGAATGTTTTCACATATTCTTCATTTATATTTTCAATTGCCTGTTCATTTTCTTTGACAGTGTTATTTTATTCTTATTTTTATTTTTGGTTAGGTTTCTTTATATTTTAAGGATATTGATCTGTCACATGTAGCAAATATTTTTCATTTGCCACTTGTCATTTAACATGGGTATAGCGTTTCGATACATAAAATATTACTCTTGTATATAGTCAAACATATTTATGTCTTTAGGACTTCTGGTATTTTGTGCATAGAAAGCTTGTGGCAATTTTAAATTAGAGCCTGCCTTAATAGCAGGATCGCCTTTTAAAAGAGCGTTCCTTCCTGAATTTAGGCTCTTCAGCATCCCTGCTGGAGAGGGGGAAGGAGCCATACATCTTTCAGGGTGGATTACAGTTCAGCCTCGTAGCAGAGACAAGACGTACAGCCCTTTTGTAAGGGCATATTGCAATGGGCACCTAATGCGGGCTGTGCCTTAGGATCCAACCAGCAATGAAATATTAAAGAGGGAAGAGCATTTCAGAGCAGAAAAGGCCATTCTGTCCTGCACACCTGTCCTCTTAAAATTTATCTTAATCCTGTGTTCCTGATGTTTTACCATCTGTCGACATGCCTTCCCTCCCTTGAAATAAGTCAGGGGCTTGAATTAATTTTTTGCTACATTTGCCTTGTCTCCTCATTTATTCCATATGTTCATTACCTTCAGTGTGCAGTCACTCCTGCCCAGATCTCTCAGCTTTCATCACAACTCTTTTATTTCTTTACTTTGGTCTACAAAATATGCTTTATTGTCCTTATTAATCCCTCTACTGATACCACCTCAAACTCTATTATTTGTCAAGAAAATTAGAGCCATTTTTAAAACCCTTATTATTTTATGCAGGCGAAATAAAAAGAGATATCTTCCAATGGACAATGTCTTCACCAAATTTATATCTTAGCCAAGTCTCACTCTGACAAGACTTGGAAATTTTCAAAAATCTGAACTTGTGATTTGACTCAGTAGGAAATGGAACTGTGGGAGAGAACACAGAAAGGCCATAAAAGCAGAGGACTCCAGAGGGTGTTGAATAGGAACAGGTTATTTAGAGCTCAGATTGCAATCACCGGCTCTCAGTGTTCCGTGCACAGGGTAAGTCCCATTAACTCTGATGGCAGATCACTCATGGGCATCGGAAGGGAGACCTTTCTGTGTGACTTACTGAGCTTCTCGCAGAGGGGAGGAGAAATGCAGCTTCCCTGCTCCTTGTCAGCCATTCACTTCTCACCTAGCCCTTGTCAGGTTTCTCCAAAGCTGCCTTCAGTGTCTTGGAGTCTTTTATTTAAACTGAACGGCCTGATGCCCTGATCTGAAGAAGAGGGCAGCATGTGCTGGGCTGAGCCGAGACTCCTGGGCAGACGGGCTTCGTGGCATTGAGGCTCTGCTGATGGTTCTTCCATTTCAGGAGACAGAGACTTGAGTTTTCTAATTTGGTATCAGAGGAAATAAGCATCATCCGTACAGTCAGGAGCTGGGAAATAGTAGTCAGGGAGCCCGCAGCCTAACTGTCTCTCTAAAATTTAAGTTGTGAAGTGTCATTGAATTATCTTGCTTCATTTGTTTTTTTAAACTGCTTTTGGAATGAGTTTAGATGTCAAAGCTGCTGGTTTATCACTTCAATGAGCAATGCTGGGCCAAGGCCATAACTTTGCCAATGTCATCAGTATTTATTGGACAACAGTGAGGCATTTGTCTGTAGACGCTGATACCAGGTGTGCAATCTATTTGGGGCAGCAGCTTAAAGTTAGGTAGGCACTTTGCTGTGGAAGCTAAAGGTCAAGTTGTGGAGATAGACAGTGAGTTGCAATTTGGCAAAGTCTGTGGTGTCCTGAGCATGTAGGGGGAGAAGCTGGTTCTGCTTGGCTTGTATCTGGAGGGTGGGAGGCAGACACGCCCCAGACCTGGGCTCCCTGGCTTGTATGTGTGGCCCTGTGGAGGACTGTGTGTCCTGTACTCTGAACAGAAGGCAGTGCATGTGCACACACACCCACAGTATAAATGCACACAAAGTATACATGTACACACACATGCCCACACATATAGCATTCAAGCACACACACAAATTTAGCATACATACACTCATGCTCACACACAACATACACACACAAATACATGCATAGAGTACACACATGTGCATACACAGCACACACACATGCATGCAGCATACACATATGCACACACAGAGCACACACACACATATAACACACATATATAGCAGACACACATACACATAGAGTGCATGCACACTATACACACACATCTAGTATGTAGGCACACACACTAGCACACACATAGCACACACATACATATAGCATAAATTCACACAGCATACAAACACACATGTTGCGCACACAAGCACATTGCAACATACACACACATCTCGTGCACATATGCACTCACATTGTGCATGAACATATATTATGTAGACACACACAGGCACACATACAGCATACACAAACACACACATAGCATACATACACATGCACACACATTACACATGTAGAACACGTGCACACATGCAAACACACACATAATATACAAGCACATTCACAAACATAGCATATCCCCATAAGCACAAGTGCAAATGTAGTATAAACACACATACAGAATACAAAACATGCACATGCACAACATACACACACATGCAAGCACATAGCATATACATACAAACACATAGCATGCACACACACAGTATTTAGGTACACATACAAATGCACATATAGCATACACACACAAAGAGTGTATAATCTACAGTCTGGTTTTATTTAAGAATCAGTATTCATCCAAATGGATGAGGACAACTCCTTTGAATTCCCTCTAGGGACTGTAAAAGTTGTTTTTCTTCCCAGCCTGCCTCCCTGCTTTCCCACAGTGACTCTTCTAACTGGCCCCACCCTGCAGCCAGGTCTGTGTCCCTGATTCCTGTTTGCCCAGCACAGGGCACTTTTCCCTCCCTGCTATTCTCTGTGTCTGAGTCTTTCTCAGGCCTCATGGCACCTGCTGCTGCAAATTTTTGCACCTGCCTCATTTCCTATAGAGGTCCGTGTGCAGGAGATCACGTCTAGACAGCAATAAAATCACTAGTATATCAGCATAGGCCAATTCTTCCTAACAGTGAAAAAAACACAAGCAACAGATTATTAAGGACCTGATGAAGACCCGCAAAACATTCTGTGACATCACCGGTACCCAAGGGCCCTCTGAGAACTTGTCCTGTGAGAGCACCATGCTGGGCACTGTGCAAGACGTGGGCAGAGCACGCCTGCTGCTTGGACCCGACGGAGATCTGTGCCGGGCAAGGGGCTGTTTCTCCTGCAGGCCATGGGAAGCCCGGGAGAACTCCAGCAGAGTGTGATGGGGTTTGCAGTGCAGCTCAGGTGGGTTACCCCAAGACTGTGTTGCAAAGGGGTTCAGGATCTGGGAAGCCACCTGACCCCTCAGAGATGCGGGGAGCCTGGGGAAGGCTGGCTGAGGCGCTGGAGAGGCACAAGGCTCACCTCTTGGGACCCACGCTATGTTATGCCCTGGCCTCCCAGGATCCTGCCCTTGGCATCGGGATTTTAAAAACTCAAATAGGACCCTCATCTTTCCCCAAACAACCTGTTAATAAAAAGTGTGCACATTTTGTCCAAGCAGGAATAACGTTTCTCTGATGGCTGTGTGGACCCTGCCTAACTGTGCAGAAATGCTGTATCATCAAATAGGGCGTCCAAGCCTGAGCGACAGAAATGCTCCGTCATTTACTCCACGGAATACATGTTGAACCCCTCTCCGCTAGGGTCTCCAGCTTGGGACAGAGGATCTGATGATTCCAGGCCCTGGTGCTGACATCCTGCGTTTGAGGAGGAGACAGGCAGGAGGCAAATGTGCCCATAATGCCTGAAACCGTCCTGTGTGCTGGGCCCTTGGTTGGGTCTCAGGGACGCAGCAGCAAGCAAATCAGATCTCAGGGACGCAGCAGCGAGCAAATCAGATCTCAGGGACGCAGCAGCGAGCAAATCAGATCTCAGGGACGCAGCAGCGAGCAAATCAGATCTCAGGGACGCAGCAGCGAGCAAATCAGATCTCAGGGACGCAGCAGCGAGCAAATCAGATCTCAGGGACGCAGCAGCGAGCAAATCAGATCTCAGGGACGCAGCAGCGAGCAAATCAGATCTCAGGGACGCAGCAGCGAGCAAATCAGATCTCAGGGACGCAGCAGCGAGCAAATCAGATCTCAGGGACGCAGCAGTGAGCAAATCAGATCTCAGGGACGCAGCAGCGAGCAAATCAGATGTGACCTCTGACCCCTGTCCTGCTCATAGGGCCTGGAGCCCTGTGGGTGAGACGGAGTCCCATTTCTACACGAGTAATTAAGCGCAGTTACAACAAGCACCAAGGTGAACAGGTGACAAAAGCCTCTTGGAGATGTCCAAGCTGAGCGGCAAGATGAAAGTGATCAGTGGGGCTTTAAGCAGGTCGAGGAAGGCGCTCATAGGCAGAGGAGGGCGTGGGGGAGGGCACCGTGTTCAGGGAGTCCAGGGGACTCAGACGGCCACAGAGGGTGTGTATTAGATAATCCAGGATGCTGGGCTGGACAGGTATCAGGAACATCACCATCAGCTCCCACGGCTGGGTCTAGGGTAACAGGAAGGCTTTCGCTCAGAGAGGGCGCATGGGTAACCAGGCTTCCGTGGGAAATGTTCCTGGGCCCACCTCAGGTGGAAGTGTGGAGCCTGTGCGGACGCTGGGGCAGAACCTGGGGAGGCCATGGGGAGAGGATTAGGTCAGCGCCCATGGGGTGCAGAGGCAGCGGCAGATAGAGGAAGCGCCTGAGAGGGAAACCAGCAGCACTTGGCGCTAAGTGGAATGTGAGGGCACAGGAGAGGAAACGTAGGCTGCCCTGGACAACCAGAGGCCGGATCTAGAGACAAGGAGAGATAGGCATGGCTGGGAACCCTTGAGGAACTTGAGCTATGGGTTCTAATGAGGCCCCTAAGGGTAACTCCGTGGTGAGCTGTGTCTGCATCTGCACTGGCGGCGTGACGTGGCGAGTGCCATGGATGGGCAGTGACACTGCTGGAATAAGGTTTTCCTGGGAGTGAGAACTGAAGGACCACAGCGTAGCCTGGGAACATCACTACACGTGGGGCAGGAGGATGCAGGGACTGCAAAGGAGATGCCGGGAGGTGGCTGCAGAGGCAGGAAGCTCAGGAAAGAGGCTGCCTGGAAACCAAATGAGGCTAGTGGGGAGGAGCAGAGTCCCACGTCCCACCACCGAGGAAGCAGGCAGCCCGAGTGCAGGTCCGCATCGTCGGAGTCTGGGCGTCTGGACAGAGAGGTCTTTCAGCAGCTCTGCCAACCTCAGCAGCCCACGGGGGCTGGATCCCGGCCGCAGAAGTGAGGGAGGGGAATGCTGCCTGTCCAGAGACGGGGCTGCAGAAGGACGGGGAGAAGCACAGCCTGCAGCAGGAGAGGGATGTGTTGTCGGAGGAGGTCCTGGCTTTGTGTTCTGCCATTAACGAAGTGGGGTCTGGGTGTAAGGCACTGAACACTCTCCAGCCTTAAGGAAAAGGAAGGATGCGGAGGCTGAAGGTGAAGCAGCCGAGGGAACACGGGACGCAGACGACCAGAGGGCCGGGTACATTCCCCATTCCCTTTCGACAGGAGCAGGAGACAGGAAGGGGAAGGCGTGGGAATGCAAACCAACAGATGAGCAAGCTTGGGCATAGAGTGAAATTATTAGAATCATTGTTCTTGTGTTTCTTGCCTAGTGATTTGCTAATTCTCTGCATAATAATACATGGGAAAGAGGAGTTTTTCTTTTTCTTTTTCTTTTTCTTTTTTTTTTTTTTTTTGAGACAGAGTCTCACTCTGTTGCCCAGGCTGGTGTGCAGTAGCGTGATCTCAGCTCACTGCAACCTCCACCTCCCAGGTTCAAGTGATTCTCCTGCTTCAGCTTCTTGAGTAGCTGGGATTACAGGCATGTGCCACCACACCTTGCTAATTTTTGTATTTTTAGTAGAGATGGGGTTTCACCATGTTGACCAGGCTGGTCTCGAACTCCTGACCTCAAGTGATCCACCTGCCTTGGTCTCCCATAGTGCTGGGGTTACAGACGTGAGCCACCGCGCCCAGCCGGAAAGAGCAGTTTTTCAAACACTCTAGCTGTCATCCGATTCTCTGAACAGTCTAGATAAGGGCAGGAGTTCATTTGTTCCATACATTCATTTTTTTCACAACTGTGCCCTGGGTGCTGACTCTGCACAGTGCTGGGTACCTGTTGGTCAGCCACAAACACGTGGCACCTTCCTTCCTGTGTGTCACTGCCTGTGAGTGGAGAAGGACAGAGATTCCCCCCGCCCCCAATATTCTTTTATCCCTTCTTAATTGTAAAATTTCAAATTCTTAGTGAGACACGTGGCCATCAAATATGAGATTATATTCCCCCATTTCCTCTGTAGACAAGAGAATGAGAATGGGCTCTGATCCAAAAGGCAGGAGCAGAAGAGTGGGGTTAAAATTCCAGAAGGTGCCTATATAAGGGAGAAGGCATCTCTGTTTCAGTCCCTTCCCACTTCCCACTGGCTGGAATAGGAATGCGAGGGCAGGAGCTCAAGCAGCCTTCTTGGAGCATGGGTCATGTCATGTGGGGATGGCTGAGGAGTGGACTTGAGGGAACCAGAGTCTCTGATGTTTGTGGAGCTGTCACACCAGCCCCAGACTGCTTATCTCTGAACTTATTTTATGTGAGGTAAAAATAAACCTCTGTCTTATTTAAGACCCAGTTATTTTCAGTGTCCTATTACTCACACAGCTGAAATTCTCCCAAATAATGTGGGTATACAGAAAATAATCATATAAACAAATAAGTATGCTATTATAGCTTGAAATAAGTGATCTGGTGGCAATGAACATCATGCAGTAATGTGGACGGAATGGGCAGGAGGGAGGGCATCCCTCAGAAAAGCTTGTCGGGGAAGACTTCGTTAAGATGAGATCTTAAGAAGAAAAGGAGTGAAAGCTACGAGGGTGGAGGGGAGAGAATTCCAAGCCGAGGGGATGGCTCATTTCCTGCAGGTGCACATGAGTCACCGCATGGATTACAGTTGTCAGGATTTCTGTCAGTAAAACATAATAATATGTACCTCTGAGGATGAGCGAACGCTTGCATGAGGCAAAAGCCAGCTTAAGCTGTGCACCCTCTGAGAGGAACACTTGGCCCACATGACCAGCTTGTGGGAGCGGCGCACACCATGGGTGCGGAGCCCAGGGCAGGTGTCCTCAGAGCTTCCTTCTCATTGGTCTTCTCAGGGTTCAGGTTTCTTCTCTCAAATCAGCTCCTCCAAGAGGCTGGGGCCTCTGGCCTCTGGCCACTTCCTGCTCTGAAACTGATATCTTCGTGACCAGCAAGAGAACAGTTTCTCTGTCTAGATTTTAAAATCTCCAGAATTGTGTATGAATTGTACCTCAATTTTTTAAGTCCCCAAAGAGTTTTCTGAGTGGCATCTCCTCTTGGGGCTACTCGGAGTGGGACAGCTAAGACATGAGGAGTTGGGGGACGGCCCAGATGGAAGGGTCAGGATCCCACCTGCAGGTGCTGAAAGGTGCAGGGAGAGGAAGGAGGGCTGGGAGGGAGGCACTAGCAATCTGAGAGCTGCCAGATCAAAGGGCTTTGCTTTCCATTTCACCGCAGTGATCTCCTTTAATCTGAACTCACATTGTGCTCTGGAGGAGGTGCCAGAAATGGGGTAAACACGTGGGCTCTGCAGTCAGAGATACCCAGACTTCAGTTTCTGTTCTGCCACTCACCAGCCACAGTAGCTTGATGAAATAAGACCATGTCTATACATGCATAACACAGTTTGTGACACATAGTCAATGATTAATAAATGTTGTTTTTTATTAACAACACTAGAAATAGGACTTTTTAACATTGTTTTATGGAAAAGAAAAATGAGTCCTAGAGAAGTCCCACAGAAAGCATGTCGCTGAAAGGGGTTCAAATCCAGCTCTGTATAATTTCAAAACCACTCAGCAGCCTCCCCCGCACCCTCCCTGTTACCTCCTGGAGACAAGATGCGTAGGTGTGACGAGTGCAAAGCCTTCTGTCACACCCTTCTTCAGTGCATTAATTAAAGCTCTTCAGGCTCATCCTTCCCTAACTTTTAAACTCAAGGGTCATTCACAGACTTCAACAACTGAAATTCAACAATTTTTTCCCAAAGTAAACAATAATTATCCAACTTAAAGTTGAATTAAATAAACTAAACTTACAGAAAACTTGCATTCCACATTAACCCAGGGATTATCCATTCATCAGTTTCTTGAGCACCATCTATGCCATGCGAGGTTCTGTGTGAGGCTTGTGTGGGGTAAATAATAGAATAACCCCCAGGGTCTCTGCACTCACACATGCCCTGGATGCGAGGGGGTCGGTGCCAGGTGTGTGAAGCAGCAGAATAAACCCACCAGATGGTCTACACTGGCACCTTGTATGCTAACAGGAGTTCGGCTCAGTTTTCTGCTGTGTGACTTCGGGTAAATCACAGAGCTTTAAAACCATGGTTTCCTCACTTTTGAATAAAAAAACACAGAATACCCATCCACCTGTATTAGTTAGGATGAGTATAACTGCTATAGAGCTGAATTCCTATAACTCCTATAGGAAACCTGATTTCAGTGGCTTGGCAACACTGAGGTCTGTTTCTCACCATGGTCAGAGCCAACTGAGGCAAGCAGGTGCCACGGGTACAGAATGAAGGTGAGGCCACCTGACCCTGCGGGGTGCAGAATGAAAGTAAGGCCACCTGACCCTGCGGGGTCCAGAGAGGGCTCCTGCTCACAGTGTGCCCCTGGAAGCCTCCTTGACCCCCGCCCTGGCTGTGTCTCGCGTTGCAGGAGAATGGTGATCAGCAGGGCCCTTCCATGTGGTGGCTCCTCCCGCCGGTCCTCAAAGGGTTCCCCCATCAGCCCACTGGGGAGGAAATTCAGGCTCATAGGGGCCTCTCAGGTTCATGGCTGGAAGTGGGGCTGGGCTCTCGGCTCACATTCCGGTGACCAGAGCTCCACCTTGCAGCCCAAGGGGGCTGGAGATACGAGCCCAGCTGTGTGCCCAGGAAGGAGGGGAGAGCGTGGATGCTGGCGAGCCCCATGGCCTCTGATCAGTGTCCTTTCTCACAAGGTTGTACAAGAGACACTTAGACAATGTGTGGAAGAGTTCTGTCAACTCCACAGCCTGCGCCATGCAGGCGCTGCTACCGTGTTCAGCCCTGGTCCTTTCCATGTCAGGCAGAACGGCCGAGTGCTGTGTGGGAGCCACACAGAGATCTGGGAGCACACAAGGTGCAGGCAGCCGAGGAGGCCAGGTTTTCTGAAGGCAGTGGGTGGAAGGGTGGACAGGGTGGCCAGAGGTGGAGGGGAGGTGGTGGCTAGAACGGCGGACAGGGTGCCCAGAGGTGGAGGGGAGGTGGTGGCTAGAACGGCGGACAGGGTGCCCAGAGGTGGAGGGGAGGTTGTGGCTGGAATGGCGGACAGGGTGCCCAGAGGTGGAGGGGAGGTTGTGGCTGGAACGGCGGACAGGGTGCCCAGAGGTGGAGGGGAGGTGGTGGCTGGAACGGCGGACAGGGTGCCCAGAGGTGGAGGGGAGGTGGTGGTTGGAATGGTGGACAGGGTGCCCAGAGGTGGAGGGGACATGGTGGTTGGAATGGTGGACAGGGTGCTCAGAGGTGGAGGGGAGGTGGTGGCAAGAGCTGCTCTCACAGGATGCAGTCCCAGGGGCTCTGAGCCCAGAGGACAGGGCACAGCCACGTGCTCCTCTCAATCCACACCTGCTCCTGAGCTCAGCTCAGCGATCTCCCACCCCAGGTTCTCCTCCAGTCTGGTCATTGGTGGCTTTTAGCTTGCAGCTCCTGCCTATCTCTGCCCGCTTCTACTTCACCAAGTCTCCGAGAAGAGGCCTGACCAGGCAGGAATCCCTGTGGAAGACTGAGGAGGGGAAGAGCTTGTGTGGCCAGGCCACAGCCTCCAGAGCAGGCGGGGAACTCCGGGACGCTCTGCTGCTGCTGTTGTGGTGGTGGTGTTGTGTTGTGTAGTGTTGTGTTGTTGTGTTATTGTTTTTCTGTTGTGCAGTTGTGTTGTTGTGATTTTGTGTGGTGGTGTGGTTCTGTGATTGTGTTTTGTTCTGTCATTGTGTGGTTGTGTTGTGATGTTGTGATGGTGTGTGATAAGGTTGTGTCATTGTTGTGTGGTTGTGTTGTTGTGTGCTCTGCCACTGGTGGTGGTGGTGGTGTAGTGTGGTTGTGTGGTTGTTCTGCTGTGTGGTTGTGTTGTGATGTGGTGGTATTGTGTGGTGTGGTTGTGTTGTGTGGTTGTGTTGTTGTTGTGTGGTTGTGTCCTCTGTCACTGGTGGGAATGTAATATGGTGGTGGTGTGTGGTTGTTGTTCTGCTGTGTGGTTGTGTTGTGATGTTGTGTTGCGGTGGTGGTGGTGTGTGGTGTGGTTGTGTGGTTGCATGGTTGTTGTGTTGTCGTGTGCTCTCTCACTGGTGGGAATGTAATGTGGTGGCGGTGGTGGTGTGTGCTGTTGTTGTGTTGTGATGTTGTGTTGTTGTGGTGGTGTGTGGTTGTTGTTGTGTTGCTGTGTGCTCTGTCGCTGGCGTTAGTGTAATATTAGGGCAAGAAGTTAAGGATGCCACCTGGACAGGTTCTGCTTCACGGCTTGCTGGGGCCTCAGCCGGGTCGGGGCTGGCAGCAACCCCTGTGCCTAGGCTGGGCCTCCTGCATTCCCTCTGCTGGGACCAGATTCTCTCGAGTTGGCACCAAGTCAGACAAGGGGAGACAGCCCAGGGGCCCACGGGCTGGAGGAGGCCCCAGTCCAGCTGCTGAAACCCTGGTGCTCCAGGACGTCTGGTGGCCAACGTGGGCTGACATTGACCCCGGTGATGTCGTCCAGCCTGGCTTGCTTACTGTGGCCTGAGCTTCCTGGGCATGCGACAGAATGACCTGACATTCCCTGATGTCTATGCCCAAGAAGGGGCTGGATGGACCCCTGGGTCCCTTCCCAGTGACAGAAAGAGGCACCAAACCCCAGAGCACAGCCAGCCTCTAGCATGGGGCACAGAGCATCTGGCGCAGACACAGCGGCTGGTGGGCATCCGGGGCTGGCAAGTCAGGACTCAGCCTCTTACGGCCAAAGTGCCTCCTCCGCCAGAAGCCAAGCTGTTCAGTGTAAGGAAATGTGACAGCAGAGATCCCCAGTGTCGTGCCAGTCCCACGCCTGCTCAGCACCATGGCAATCAAATTTCACACCACGTGGCTCAGTCTTGCCCTGCTTGTGAGCCCACTGCGATCAAGGTGCAGCTGCGTGGGAGCCCATTTCTCAGCGCTGAGGGGTTAAGGTTTGGCCTCTGTGTGCCGCCTGTTCCCTGCATCCTGGGCTGCCCTCGTTCCCCCAGGACGGCGAGTCCTGTGTCGGCCTGGTGGCCTCTCAGGTCTGTCTCTGGCTGTCCATCCCCTAGCTGGGGCTTCCCAAGCCCATGGGGCTGCCACCTCTGGCTGGGTCTGGCTCTCGGAAGCTCCGGCTACTCAGAAAACTGTGCCGCCTTGCACCTCCCCATGATGGCAGGCAGACCCTGGGAAGATGATAAGTTGGTATCAGACGGTGTTCAAATGCATTCAACAGCATCCTGTCACTTTATTTCATGGTATTCTAAAAATGTGTACTATGTTTTATATACTTCCTGATACAGTTTACAAATTTGAGCAAAAGAAAAAGTGCTACAAAAAATGTTTAATTCCCTAGGCTCACATAAAACAATCTGCATGCAAGGTTGTCTTAAGAGGTAACATTCTTCTGACTCTTACTACTGGCTGGGCTTAAATAGCCTATAAATTAAAATGCCGAAATGAGGATAAATAAAACATAATAAGTAGTAAGATTTACTCTCTGTAACCATATAGAAAATATTTTAATTTAGAATTGTCTTTAAACCATGCTTCTAAGGCATTACATCAGAAATTAGTATACTGTAGTCTCTCTCTCTCCCGCTCTCTCTCTCTGGATCTCTCTCCCTGATTTTCCCTCTCTCTGACTCTCTACTTCTTTTCTCATTGAAATAAATTTTTTCAACAAACCAAACTTTCCTCATATGTTTTCCTAGATTTTCTAGATGGCTGGTTTCTCTCTGGATACCATTATTTGCTCAAGGTTGAGATGCATGCCTGCGGCTGAACCCTGATCATGGTAACATTGACTCACCTGAGACATGACTGCTGTCTAGGTCCACTCTGGTGTCGCCAGCCTGTGAAGGCTGCCTGTCTCTTTCAAGGACCAGGGAGCTCATGGACTGCAGCCACACAAGCCAAACAAGCCCTGCCATGAACCCGGGGGGCAGGCCGCATGCCAGAGCTCCCAAGGAAGCTGAGAACAGGAGCACTACCTGCATTTCCGGGGGCAAACGCAGCCCTGACCGCAACTGCCGCTCACACCACAGTGAACAGGACACCAGCTCAGCCAAAGCCTGTCTCACCGCACATCAAGGCTGAAAAGAGGTGGCCTCTGTGATCATGTCTCAGCACAGACAAAGCAACACCACAACCAGAGCCCGGAAGTGCCAGATACCCCTGTTCCTGGGCAATATGAGTGACTCATGTGCTCCCACAAAGAAATCCTTAACCTCACTCCTTAGTCGTGCCTCCTGGTTAAGATTCACTGCGATGGCCATCCCTCCATGTCCCCTATTTCCTGACAGCAGCCTGGGCTGAGAGCCTCTGACCCCCACCCACAGTGGCCTGACAGCAGCTTTTCTCAAAGCTCCCCCGCCGCTCAGATTCTGGACAGCGTTGCACCCGGGACTGGGAAATGGAGGGCATGCTCTGCTGTGGGAATAACTCAGCCCCAGAGGAGAGCCAAGGGTGAGGCAGCCTCACCGGAGACAGCAGTCCTGCTGAGAAACCCTGGTCACTGGGAACTCACAAAGGACCCAGGTATGAGACCAGATGTTGAACCCTGTGACCATGAAGAGCGACTATCCTTGTCCCCAGCAGTCTGGACAGAGCTCTCCTCCGCTCTGAGATGAGATCTTCAGGTGGCCTCTGGCTCTCTCCTGACCGACCTCCACAGCTGTCTGCCTCCAGAGAGGAGTGTGCAAGAGAAGAGGTCTGGTGTGTGTGCATGGCTGCACACTCTCAACAGCACAAGGCACCCCTCGGCCACCAGGCTGTGGGACCCCGAGAGAGATAGGTAGGGCTGCCTCTGTGTCCACTGGAGGGATGGTGAGGGCAGGTGTGTGGTCAGGAGCTGCTGAGAATGCTGCAGGGTGGGGGGCCCAGCTCTGCAGGAGGAGCCGTAAGGGGAAGCTTCCCCAGGGAGCAGGGGTTTGAACTGAGCCTTCAAGGACATGTTTTCCAGGCAGAGAGAAGCAGTTTGCAAATAACACACCTATGAAACATGGGGTGTGCTTGAGAAACAAAGCTTGGGTGTAACTGGGACTTGCACTGTGCTCCTGGGTGGTGCAGGAAGGGCTGCCACTCTCCCAGTTCCTGCCCCACACCCCTTCTGCCTCTGCTTCTGCTCTCGCTTCTCCTCCCCTGCCACTGACCCTCCTGCCTCTGTCCCCTCTAAGGGCCCTAGTGATTGCCTCGGGCCACCTGGCTGATCCAAGTGAATCTCCTGTCTCAAGACTGTAGCAGAAGCATGTCTGCCAAGTTCCCTTTGCCACAGGAGGTGACATATTTGCAGTTTCCAGGGATTAGGAGCTGAACGTCATTGAGGGCCATTACTCTGCCTCCAGGGCTGTGTGTGAAGCAACTTTGACGGCAAATACAGAATGCACAGAGCAATGCACCTGCTTGTTCACCAACACTGTGAACACAGTGCCAACTGCCTTTTTCTTTCCCAAACTGTCACTGAATTTACACTAACAGGGAAGAATGAAGTAGGTTACACACTGATGACACAGCACACCAAGCCAAGACATCGGCCTACCTCGTGTCTGCAAGAATTAGAGCGAGAGAAGGACCCACGGTGCCATCTTTGGGGCAGAGCCTTTGCCCTTCCCCCAGTGACATCTCACTCCATTTACAGTGCTGTGTATTGCCCACATGGCAGAGAGGCACTGAGGCATGGCGTCCACATTGTGACACTGTGTGCTCCAGGAACGTCAGTGATGAGCTCAAGGTCACCAAGCCCAGCAAGAGACTGCAAGTGAGGCTCCCTGCTTCCCAGGGGAGCCACAGTCATCAAAGCCCCGCACATTTTGCTCTCAAAAAAATTTTTTTTGATGGAGTTTTGCTCTTGTTGCCTAGGCTGGAGTGCAATGGTGCAATCTCGGCTCACTGCAACCTCCACTTCTTGGGTTCAAGTGATTCTCCTGTCTCAGCTTCCTGAGTAGCTGGGATTATAGGTGCCCACCACTACCCCCAGCTAATTTTTGGTATTTTTAGTAGAGATGGCATTTCACCATGTTGGCCAGGCTGCTCTTAAATTTTTAAGTGACTTTCCCCTGCCGTGACATGTAATCGTGGAAGGAATATTGTTCTGGGCTGGTAGAACGCTCTGTGTTTTGATCCCATGCCTGCCCTGCTGGAGGTGGTCATTTGGGAGGATTAAATGGGACCGTGCCTGCAGAGCTGCGGCCACAATGCCCCTTGCTTCTTGAGCAGAGCTGAACAGATGCCAGCTCCTTCCCTCCGGCAGGCCTGCGCTCTTCAGAGCTCGCCTCTGGCGGCTTCTGCGGGAGGCTGATGCTGGTGAGGAATGGTGTTTCCTCTCCACCTGCAGATTTCTGCTGCTCCCCTCCCAGAATAGCTCAAGTAGGCTGTGACCTCAGCGAGCACCCTTGAGAGACTCTCGAGGCGCCTTGAGAAGTCGCACACGAGGCTGCTGCATCTGGGCTGGATCCATTATTCATGCACGCAGGTCTCGGCAAGCACAGTAATTTAGAGTTTCTCGAAGCGCACGCTGCAGCAACCATAAACTACGTTCTGTGTGCTTCAGGGAAAAATTACCTTTCCCTTGCCGAAGCCAGGGGTCATGGCAGAAAGCTCACACAGATGAAGCAAGGGGCCGAGGAGGAGATGGAGGCGGTCCAGACCTTTCAGAAAAGCGCTTGGAGACCCCACGCTGGGAAGCCGCCCCCGATCACCTGCATGACCTCTGCAGCCTCAGCTTTCTCCCTGGGAAATAAGTCACCGAGGTCCGCAGGTGCACCCCTCTCCACTCTCCCTGCTCCTCCCATGACCCCCTGGGAGTAACTTACTGTTCCCCCAAATCATCTCAGTAGATGATGCATGCCTATCTCCCGTTGTTTCAGGAACCAAAAACAGTGCATGTACTGCCCCTGGCACATGGAGACAAGAATACATCTCACACGTATATTTATCTCCATCTTCATAGCTCCCATAAAAAAGCATAGCTTTTATGTCTTCAGAGAATGTAAGTGCAGAAGCGCAGATTTCTCCAGAAAACATAGCACTGAGAAAGCAAATGAGCAAATCCTCACAAACACCACTCATGCTAAAGGGGTGGAGATAAACATAAATAAAAATGAAAGAAAGGCAGCAGCAGCCAGTTTTAGGTGCTGGAATGCAATGAGGACAAAGCACCTTGAGGAATCTGTGAGGTCAGTGCTAGCTTCTCACTCTATCTTTTGCTTTCTGAACATGACAGATCCGGCGTGGCTGCATCCCCCTCCTCAGCTGCAGCGCCGGCTTCTCATTTCTATTCTCCCCAAAGCCCAGCTTCTCTGCAGAAATGAAGGATGTGGCTCCACAGTGAGCAGGCGGGCTGTGTGTGAGCTGGGCGGCAGCTCCAGCCATCCCAGGACACACGGGGATCTCTCACCATGCGGGTCCTCTGTGGCCCTGTGCCCGCCTCCTGCCTGGCCAGAGCCACACAGAGCTGGGTCCTGGGGCTCTCAGAGGCTTCCTCTTCCATCAGGCCTGGGCTGCCTCCTCTCTTCTGGTCCCCTCAGGACCTGGACCTGGTGCTGTCTTCAAGCTCTCCTTATGTCATAGTTGTTGACTGGTGACAAGAGCATCTGTGTACGCGCAGACCCAAGGGAGGGTTAGGGGGCTGCGGCCTGAACACGTGGGGCCCCAGCAGGTTGGTGATGCCTTCTCAGGCGGCAGGTGGAGTTGAGGACACATGACAGGCTCCTGCTGCATTCCTGCCCACGGGCAGTCTCCGGATTGTGTCCCTGTCAGTGTGTGGGACAGTGACATCCATGGGGCCCAGGATGAGAGCCAAGACCCCCTCCTTTAGTTTCCCAGGCTCCTGCTTGATCTCTGTCCTGTCTATACAAAAACAGATCAACCTATCAATGGCCCACCTGGTGGCACACATTGTGACTGTACCAATGCCACCGAATTGTTCACCTGAAAAGGGTTAATTTTATGTCATGTGGAGTTTGCCTTTTTTCCCCATCATATAAAACAGCCTTCTGAAATCTTTAAATCTTTAAGGCTGTCTAGGACCTCAGAGGTCATCTTCATCAATTTCCTCATTCCTCAGATGGAGAAACCGAGGCCACACCCCAGATCCTGTGGCTCTTTCAGATTCTCTCAGGTTAGAATCTGGCTCTTGTCTCCATCATCCCGCCCTGGCCCCCCACACTCTCCTATTCCTTTGGGCAAAGGTTAGAGTTTGAAAGAGGCCGAAACCTCCAAAACAGAGGGCTGGGGGCTAAGAGCAGCACTGTCTTTGCTGCACTTTTTGGACAACGTATTTATTCGTCCAGGTTGGGGGCTGGAAGAATGAATGCCAACAGCTGCAGTTTGCAGCAATGCCAGATAAAATGCATTGATCTCCAAGGCCCCTTTATCGTTTTATGATTCTACAATTAACAGGCATCAGCTGCTGTGGGGAGGGTCTCCCAGGCCCTCTGGTGCTCCACTGCCCCTCCCCATCTGAGCAGCTGGGCGGTCAGCAATTCTGAGTCCTCACAGCTCAGCCTACACGGCAGGCAGATTCTGAGTCCTAACAGCTCAGTCTACACAGCAGGCAGATTCTGAGTCCTAGCAGCTCAGCCTACATGGCCAAGCACGGCTCTGTCCTGCTCACAGAGGCGGGAACTTCCAGAGCCTTCAAGAGGGGACAAGCTATGCAAGTTCCTGAGCAGGGTGGGGCTCAGGGCAGGCGAAGAAACACCCCAAGTCCCGCCTGGATCTCATCGAGGGGGTTCCAGCGAGATCCACTTACTCCCAAAAGAGCTTTAAAGGCAGGATTTTCTGAGAACCCCACAAGGGTGAGCTGCCAGGAACCTGCTCTTGCCCTGTGCGAGTCCACGCGGTGATGGGACATGGTGTGAACTCACGTGCCTCTGGCATTCCTCCAGGCCCCTGGGCACTCAGTCCCACCCCATAGAACATCAGTGCAGTCCTGATGGAGAGCCACTGAGGTGTGGGTCAGGGATGGACCTCTGTCTTTTCTGGCCCATCTTCACTGAGCAGACTTTATGTATCAAGCACCTACTGCACGCCCAGCCTGACACATGACACTACTGGTGCAATAGGAGCTGCTGGGGCAGCTGTGGCATCGGAGGAGCAGGTGGGATCCGGATGAGTGACAAGCTCAGCTGTGGAGAGCGTCCAGTGGACATGGGGGCCTATAACACCTGAGGCTGCTGGGCCTCCTCTGGGAGGACCCCAGGCCCTGGAGGACAAATAGAAGTTGTCAGTGGAAGGAGGGAAGATGACAGGGAGGCAGGATAGTCACATGGGGCTGGAAAGGAGAAGTCGCCCAGAGCATTTGAGCCAGAAAGGCCTCAATCACCAGGAAGGAAAGCTGAGCCTTGGTGGGAAGGAGTGCAGGACGAATGTGACCAGAGGTGCCCCTGGGAAGATATTCTGAGCGCCTGGAACAGAGGCTGGCTTGGCTGATGGGCAGGACTGGGTCAGGGAATGTGTGACAAGCCATCAGGGTGAGAGACCAGGTGGCTGGATTAGAAGTGTCACCTGGTCATCTGGGCATGGTGGCTCACGCTTGTAATCCCAGCACTTTGAGGGGCTGAGGCAGGCGGAGGATCTCTTGAGGCCAGGGGTTCAAGACAAGCCTGGCCAACATGGTGAAACTCTGTCTTTATTAAAAATACAAAAATTAACTGGGCGTGGTGGTGCACACCTGTAGTCCCAGCTACTTGGGAGGCTGAGGCAGGAGAATCTCTTGAACCCGGGAGGCAGAGGGTGCAGCGAGCCGAGATTGCGCCATTGGACTTCAGCCTGGGTGACAGAGCAAGACTCCGTCTCAAAAAAAAGAAAAAAAAAGAAGTGTCATCTGGTCTTTATGGGGACGAGGAGATAGACAGGTAGACAGGTGCCCAGAGGCTGGTGAGGGCTGGAAATCAGAGGCTTGGACCCGACTGAAGGGTGGGGGCAAGGGGGCAGGGCCTTCTCTGTGGTCAGCTTCCGCATCTCTCACTCTCCACGTGGAAGAGGTGGGCCCACGCTCAAGCTCTGACATGCAGGATCCAAGGGCAGCGATGCCCCCTCTGCCTACACATCAGAGGCCTAAATACAGCCGTTGACAGGGCACGTAGCCTGAGCTCCAGCGCCAGCCCCCAGCACCGGCAGGGCTGCTAGCCTCCAGCATGTTTCTTATTTGTGCTGAGACCCAGTTTCTTTGTCTGTGAAATAAGGACGAGGTCTCCTAGGGCCAGGGCTGACTCCCAGATGAAGTGATCTCCTTACGGAAAGCTGCGCACGCGGGGAGACAGGCTCAGAAGTCGCCCCCTGGATATGAGCTTTTTCTCTAACCTCCACGCTTCTGATTTAACATTTTTAATCCTGCAATGCTAATTAACATATTTGACCCCACACTGCGGGACTGCTTGTCTCTTTGAGTGATTTCTTGTTATGAAAACACACCGGGCAGCCCCCTGAGCCAGGCCGTGGTGAGGGCAGCACCTGTGACTGGCTTCTCATCTGCAAAGGAGATGGGATTGGGAGTCAGGCCACATTTTAGGACAAAGATGAAGGAATTTTCCAGATCTAAGTAAGGCCCCAAATCAGCTCAACTTTAAGTAAATGCAAAGATGACCCTGGGTGGGTCTGGTCTAATCAGGTGAACCCTTCAATGGAAGGTGTTTTTCTCCTCCTAGCTCAGGGATGGGGAGCAGCAGAGTCACCTGCTGGCCTTGAAGGGCTCAGCTGCCATCTCCAGAGAGAGAGTCCTGGGGCAGGGAGCTGCTGGCAGCGCTGGGAGCTGACAGCAACCCTTGGCTGACTGCCCACAAGAGAACGGGAACTTTGTCCCTGCAATCACAAAAAACTGAGTTCCAACAACAAACGCATGCACTTCCAGGAGGACTAGGTATCCAGAGAGGCATGCAGACCAGCTGACACCTTGACTGTGACCTTGGAGGACTTGGAGTGGAGGACACAGCTGAACCATGGCGGACTTGGAGCAGAGGACACAGCTGAACCATGGCCGTGCTTTGACATGGGGAGCTGTGGAATGAAGACTGCCTGTTTTTCTAAGACACTGAGTTTGTGTAATTTGTTATGCAGCGGCTGGTGACCAGCACACTCTTTAAGACATATTTCTGCTTTGTGACATCCATTTTCCATTGTCCTAACAATGGGAATCCTAACAACCATCAGAATGCACCCACTACCTGCTGAATTTGACATTGTTAGAAAAGCAGAGGCCGGCATCAGCTTTTTCTTAGTCTCACCTCTAAAAAGGGGCTGAAGGCTGCAGACTCACCCCAACTCCAATTAACGAACTCACCCCAACTCCAACTAACTTACTCCAACTCCAACTAACTCACCCCAACTCCAACTAACTAACTCACCCCAAATCCAACTAACTAATTCACCCCAACTCCAACTAACAGCATGGCCACACACCGAGGAATTCTTCTCCAGTGTGGGTGGAGACGTAAAAACCCTATCGGGGAGAGTGTTAGGCCTGATGACCTCTTTGATGTTGTGAAAATTAGTTTTCATTGTAAAACGAAGGTGACGCCATTAAGCTACTCCTATTTTTCTTTTTTTACATTTTGGGGGTATAAAAGGCTCCTCTGAAAGCAAACACTCAGGCCTTGTGGACAGGAGATAATAAAACAGAAAATATATATATTAAAAACAATAGTAGGATCAGCAGTTACAAAATAGGCAGAGGCTGCATTTATAATAATAAGAAGATATTGATCATTGGTAGGTGGAGACGCAGAGGGAGACATGGGATAGAAACAACACCGGGGTCCAGAACCCTTAGGAAAAAATGTGAGGAGCCAGGTCAGTGCCAAGGAAGTTTGCTTAAAGCTGAAGAAGAGAACCACCAATAAAGGGGCATGAGAGGTAAAACCGAGAGGCATCCGGGCATCAGAACACAGTCTCCCAGGCTCACTGCAGCACTGCTCACCACAGCACCGAGAGGCATCCAGGCCTCAGAACACAGTCCCCCAGGCTCACTGCAGCACTGCTTACCACTGCCAATGTATGCTGCAGCCTAAGCGCCCCTCAACAAATGACTAGATGAAGAAAATGTCGCACACACACAGACACACACAAACACACACTCACACAGTGGGTTGTTACTCAGCCTTGATAAAGGAGGACATCTTGCCCTTCACAACAATGTGGATAAACTGGAGGTCATTGTGCTGAGTGAAATGGGCCAGGCACACAAAGACAAGGACTGCATGATCTCACTTATGTACCTGGGGTCTAAAAAAGTTGAAATCACAGAAGCAGAGAGTAGATGGTGGTTACCAGGAGCTGGGAGGTGAAGTGGGGCGATGTTGGTCAAAGGGCACAAACTTGCGGTTATAAGATGAGCAAGTTCTGGGGATCTCCTGTACAGCGCAAGTGATGACGGAGATGATAAGTTGTGATCATCATTACATAACGGATGACTATATCAAATCATCACAGTGTACACGTTGTGTATACACAATTTTATTTGTACATTAAATATTTAAAAATATTTTAAAAAGTAACTTTCTTATAAACAATGACAACAAAAAAATAGGTCCAGGCCATGGAATGAGAGCTTTTAAGAAGAAATGTAACATGATACCAACAACTCAGAAAAGTAGTTTTGGAAGGAAGTTTGCTTTGGGATGAGGAGAAGGAACAGGAAACGGGGGCTATGAAGAGCTTCGTGTGTCTGGGTTAGAGTCCTAGGGCCTGAGCGTGGGGAGTTCAGCTTCCATGACATGGAGAAGGGCCCTGCACTCCGTGGCATCCCCTCCTGAACTAAAACTGCAAACCCTGTTGGCATAAACAGCACGAATGAAGGCAACAGAGATCCAGCCTCATCCCATCAGTGCACAGAGAAAAGATCCTGCAAGCCCGGTGGGTCCTGCCAAGGTCATGCAGCAAATTAGCAGCTGCGTCAGGATGAGAACACAGAACGGAAGTTCACAGTGCCCTGGAAGGTCACCTCGCCTGCAGCCGCCTCTGGGGGACTCCGCTTTTCCTACAGCCCCACAGCTGGGAACAGTGCTCAAGACAATTAAGTAAATTTCTTTTGTGAATAGATGATTCCAAATTCCTCACCAGATTTCTGCTTATGTGTTCCTTTACCTTTTCTGAGCATCACTTACAGTGTTCACCCGGCTTCCTTTGAGGATGTCAGGTAAGGGTCTGCTTATTACAGCGACATTAGTAGATAGGAAATTCCTCGTGGATCTTTGTTCATTGGCTGGGTTTCTCAGGATGGTTTATCAAAACCTTGTGAACTTTTCTTCTGGCTCTTTATCAAAGGCTTAAGAAAGGCAGTCTATTTGCATGTTAAGATGAGGAAGAGAACAACCATTTTAAAAGATAAGAGTTGGAATTTATAAGCCTTTACAAACTGTTATTTCTTTCACTGGGAGGAAGTAAAAATGGGAGATAGTAAGGAGAGGCAATGGTATTGCAGATAGCATCATCAGAGGATTTTGAAACCTGGTATAATTTATCATTATATAAGATGCCTTGGTCGGCAGGATCAAAAGCAACTGGCGTTCTCTATCCACATGCAGCAATCGAATTGCCTCTTCAGAATCCCAGACAAACATTTCATTAGTTACCATTCATCAGTAAATTGGGATGAAACGCCAAAACACTTCTTCTTTAAAAAGCTGGATTGCATTTCCTACATATGGTGCTTTAAAAAATAATCATTTATATTGCACTTTTCTTTCAAGTGTTCAAACGATGCTGCTTTCCAAATATTTGCATAGTCTTCATGACCCTCTTTTTCAGTCACAAGTATTATTCTTTTCATTTCTTAAGCGGATAAAGTAAGAGATGCAAACTGTTCCAACACATGAAGTCAGTCTGAATTTAGCCAAGAAAACCATAATGCTATGAAAAACTATTGAATTCAGACAACTGCAGACTCACTTTTTGCTTGAGATTGGCAAGTGTTCCACCAAAATGATTCAGTAAGCTCCATCAGAAACCTAAAATGGGTCAGGCAGATAGGTTTAATATTATGTGAACCTCTAGAGCTATGTATTGACAAAATTCCTGATATTACATCATGGATACAAAGAACAGAACAAGGGTCAGCTAGGAACATTATCCATGGACTGGGAGGACTAAGAGCATCATCCGAAGGCTGGGAGCACTAGAAGCATTATCCAAGGACTGGGAGCACAAGGAGTATGATCCATGGGTTGGGAGCACTAGAAGCATCATCTGAAGGCTGGGAGAACTAGGAGCATCAACCATGGACTGGGAGCACTAGGAGTCTCATTCATGACTGGGAGCACTAGGAGCATCATCCATGGGCTGGGAGCACTAGGAGTGTCATCCAAAGACTGGGAGCACAAGGAGTGTCATCCAAGGACTGGGAGCACTAGAAGCGTCATCCAAGGACTGGGAGCACCAAGAACGTTATCCAAGGACTAGGAGCACTAGGAACATCATCTTAGGACTGGGAGCACCAGGAGCATCATCTTAAGACTGGGAGCATTAAGAGTGTCATCCATGGGCTGCGAGCACTAGGAGCGTCATCCAAGGACTGGGAGCATCAGGAACATCATCCATCGACTGGGAGCACTAGGAGTGTCATCCAAAGGCTGGGAGCACTAAAGTGTCATCCAACAACTAGGAGCACTAGGAGCATCGTCCAAGGACTGGGAACACTAGGAACATCATCCAAAGACTGGGAGCACCAGGAACGTTATCCGAAGGACTAGGAGCACTAGGAGCATCATCCATGGACTAGGAGCACTAGGAGCATCACCCATGGACTAGGAGCACTAGGAGCATCACCCATGGACTAGGAGCACTAGGAGCATCACCCATGGACTGGGAGCACTAGGAGCATCATCCAAGGACTGGGAGCACCAGGAGCGTCATTTAAGGACTGGGAGCACCAGGAGCGTCATTTAAGGACTGGGAGCAGATAACTGGTGTATCACAGGCTTCATTATTTTCCCCCTTATTTGGATCAATACTGGGGCAGTGGGACCTTCTAGCTTCCCATTAAGATGGAGAAGCCAGCCACACACTAATGCTTCATTGAGAACATGCAGAAAGGTCAGATTTTTAAAAAGTGAGTTTGCAGACATCAGCAAGCTGCCCAAGCAGTCAAGACTAGAGAAATCAGGATCCCAGACAGAAAGAGCCACCTAGAAGTGAGATGTTGCCTTCCTCTGTGCTGGGAGAGAGCCCAAGAAACCTGCTAGGCACTGACTGAGGGTCACTGAAGCCGACGAGGAGTTTGCTAATCCCATGCATGTGATGAGACTTAAGGAACGAGGATCCCAGAGAAAAGGGAGGTACAGGGGTGTCTTGGGCATCTCAGGATGCCATAACCGAATACCATAGACTAGTGGCCTTTAAGCAACAGACATCTGCTTTGTCACAGTATGGAGGCTGGAAGTCCGAGATCAGGGTGCAGCATGGTTGGTTCCTGGTGAGGGCATCTCCTTGGCTCACAGATGTCCTCTGTCTTGTTGCGACCTCACCAAGCAGAGAGAGCCCTGGTGTCTGTTCCTCTTCTTATAAGGGCACTAATCCTATCACGGGGACCCCAACCTCACCATCTTATTTAAACCCATTTATCTCCCAAAGATTCCATCTCCAAATACAATCATATTGAGGGTTAAAACTTCAGTGTATAGGCAGGGCCCATAGCTCAGGCCTGTAATCCCAGCGCTTTAGGAGGCCGAGGAGGGTGGATCGCCTGAGGTCAGGAGTTTGAGACCAAACTGGCCAAAATAGTGAAACCCTGTCTCTACTAAAAATACAAAAAAATTAGCTGGGTGTGGTGGTGGGTGCCTGTAATCTCAGCTACTCGGGAGGCTGAGACAGGAGAATCGCTTGAACTCGGGAGGTGGAGGTTGCAGTGAGCCAAGATCATACCATTGCACTCCAGCCTGGGCAACAAGAGTGAAACTCTGTCTCAAAAAAAAAAAAAAAAAAAAAGGAAAGAAAAAAAATTCATCGTATAACTTTTGGGGAGAATAAGCATTCAGTCCATAATAAGAATGCTCTGTCATAAACCTGTGACTTCCCCGTGAAAGCATTCACTAAATTATTAGGGTGAAGGGGGGAAGATTCTAAGAAGATAGGCACAAAGCCCTGGAGTTTGGAACTTTTTATTTGATGGGGCTGAATTAGAGTTTAAAGACCATGTAGGTGTTAGCAAATAGTCCGAGCTTTTGGTTAGGACCTTGAGGGGGCGTCCTAGAAAGGAAAATGATACTAACAGAAAGCCTTGCAAAAACAGCACCAAGAAAACAAAACACGCAAGTAAACAAGGACCGCACTGTAGCCACAGGAACTCAGCCCAGGATAGACTAAGGAGAACCCTCCCTCAGCGTGGGTGCCAGAGGAAGGGTGCAGCCTTATCCGGAGCAGACAGCATCACGCAGAGCCGCCGTAGAGTCCATGCAAAACACGCAGCAATTTACAGACGATCGCCAGATGCAACCGAGAAAGCGGAAAATAGAAAGAGCTTCAGATTCTCCTGCCTCAGCCTCCCGGTGTGATCCCTCCGTCCGGGTCACACACATGAACTTAAGTAGATCTGATTAATACCATCAAGCAAAGATGAGAAATTTAATCAGAAAACTTAGATCTACAAAAGAAGTCAACTAATTATTTTATCAGTAAAATTTCAGTCATCGAAACTAAGAACTTAATTTTTAAGTTTAACAGCAACCTGGAAGACAGGATTGGATTATGGCATGATGAGTTAGTAGAAAATAACCCGGTCTAAGCAGAGGGAAGGAAAACGCAGGACAAGCACCAGGCATGTGGAACATAGTGGAAAGTTTAGCTGTGGTTGGAATACCAGCACGGGAAGTAAGACAGAAGGTGGAAAGGAGAATTAAAGGGACAATGCTGAGCCGGGTGCTGTGGCTCACGCCTGTAATCCCAGCGCTTTGGAAGGCTGAGGCGGGCAGATCTCTTGAGGCCAGGAGTTCTAGACCAGCCTGGCCAACATGGGGAAACCCTGTCTCTACTAAAAATATAAAAGTTAGCTGGGTGTGGTGGTGGGAGCCTGTAATCCCAGCTACTCATGAGGCAGAGGCACGAGAATTTCTTGAACCCAGGAGGCATAGGTTGCAGTGAACTGAGATCGCGCCATTGCACTCCAGCCTGGGTGACAGAGTGAGGCTCTGTCCAAAAAAAAAAAAAAAAAAAAAGAGAGAGAGAGATAATGCAGAGAATTTTCTTAAACTGATGGTCAAACTCAAGTCACTGATGCACAAAGCACTAGGAACCCCAAGCAGCACAACTGAGAGCCATTATGATGACCCGTGGTAACTACAACTGCTGAAATCCCAAGATGAGGAGAACAAAGTAACTACTACCTTCAATGGAGGAACACAGATTCTAATAGTTGACATTTCAACAGCAGCAGTGGGAGCTGGGAGACAACAGAATGCCTCCTTAAAGCTCTGGAAGAAAATAACTGGCAACCTAGAGTTCTGCCTGAAGAAAACGTCCTTCACAAGTGAAGTCAGAATACATTTCCACCCCAAGCAAAAGCTGAAAGATTTTGTTGCCAGAAGATACACAAAAATGAATATTAAAAGGAAAATTGCTTAAGAAGAAAGAAAATCATCCCAGAGAGAAACACAAAAATCCAGGAATAAAGTGAGAAAAAGGGTAAATTAGAAATATATATGTAAATATAAATAAATATTCACTGTACAACAGTAATAATACATGCTGTAGTCTAAAATAATTGAGATTAAAAATGCTTAACAATAATAACAGTGAGTGATAACAGAAATTACATCTTCTAAGGTTATTTGAGGAATAAATAGTATTAATTTAACTTACACTATAATTCATAAAGGGTACATTTTGTAACAGGGAGTTTGTAATCCTAATCAGGATCAGAACTGTTCACAAAGTTAATAAAATAATACAGATAAAAAGTTTAAAAATACTTGCTTCAATCAAAAGTAGGTAAGAAGTAGAGAAAAGAAACATTAAGCAGATAAAAATATAGAAGAACATGTCCTTTGTAGGGATCATGGATGAAGCTGGAAGCCATCATTCTCAGCAAACTAACAGAGGGACAGAAAACCAAACACCGCATGTTCTCACTCATAAGTGAGAGTTGAACAATGAGAACACATGGACACAGGGAGGGGAACATCACACACCAGGGTCTGTCAGAGAGCAGGGAGGGGAGGGAGAGCATTAGGACAAATACCTAATGCATGTGGGGCTTAAAATGTAGATCACGGTTGATGGATGCAGCAAACCACCATGGCACATGTATACCTATGCAACAAACCTGCATGTTCTGCACATGTATCCCAAAACTTAAAGTACAATTTTTTAAAGAAGTAAGATGGTAGCTATGATCCCAAATGAATTAGTAATTATATTAAATGCAAATGAGCATATTTATTAGCAGAATAATATTATCAGAAGAGATATAAGTGATTCTGTGCTGTTATCCGTTTATTACTTTTGGGCTCCAAATCCAGGTTTGTAGCCTGGTTTTTGAAAAAGGATCTGGGCCTTTTAAAGATTTTTTTACCTTGCCGTCTGGCATGAAGTCAGGTTTTGCAAATAGATGGCTGCAGAGACACTGCAGGAGAAAAGAGTTTTGCTTCCTGGTTCTGGTGTGCTCGCTTGGCAGACCCCTCCAGAGGTGCAGGTTCCCTGGCAGCAGGTCCCTCTAGATGTGTGGCATCTCTGACACCAGGCTCCTGCAGATGTGTAGCCTCTCTGGCACTAGGTTCATTGAGATGGGAGCTCCTCGGACACCAGGTTTTTCCAGATGTGCAGTTCCTCTGGCAGTTAGCTCCTGCAGATGTGTGGCTTCTCTGACATGAGATCCTTCCAGCTGTGCAGTTCCTCTTGGACTCGGCTCCTGCAGATTTGTGGCTTCTCTGGCACCAGGGTCCTGCAGATGTCAGCTTCCCCAGCCCCAGGCTCCATGGTGGTTCATGCACCAGCCAGTGGTCCCACAGAGCACCCTATCTCAGATGGTTTCATAGAAGAAGGCCTTTGGGGAGACACCTGTCATCCAACAGCTTTCCCCAGCACCCCAGGATTTCTGGCAAGACCCAGGAGGCAGATTTCCACTGCAGCACTGCAGTCACCCCTCCAACATCCAGTGAGTCCCATTGGCATCCGTAGGCTCTGGATCTCACCCTGGGGCAGGTGAGAGGCAGGGACCTTTCTGGGGCACTCAGCCCTCAAGATAATGGCTGCTTTATTTCTACATTCCTTAGCATTCTCGTTAGTTGTTACCACCATCCTCTGTTGTAGTTAATCATAATTTATATTAAACTTCCTTCTTCAACTTACTACATGGTTTCTCTTTCTAGATTGACTGAGGGCTGAGGCTGATAAAGATCCCACATGAATGATTAATTACATTATGCACAAGTGGGTTACATACTCTTAACTTACAGAGTAAGACTACAAAAAATGGGTAAATAATTTCTATGCTGCTTAGAAAAAATACATCTTAAATCCTACGGTATTATAATGACTAAGAGCAACTTTATGCCAATAAATGTAAATGGTATAAAAATGGAAAAATTTCTACCAAAACACTACTTACCAACATTGACACTAGAGAAAACAGCTAATCTAAATTGTCGTATGTCTATAACAAAATTAAATCTGCAATGTAGAACTTTTACACAAAGAAGTCTCTAGCCTCAAATAATTTTGGTAATTATTTTTTGTAACAATTTAAGGGAAAATATGCCAGTTTTGCACAAGATCTTCCAAAGAATACAAAAAAAGGGAGGACATCCAAATTTATTGTATGAGACCAGCAAAACCTTCATACCAAACATCACAACTAATAACATCACAACTAAGGAAAATTATAGATCACTCTTTCTCATGAGCATTTTTGTAAAGTGTGTAACAAAAATATTAGAATGTTGAATCTAGTGATGTATAAAAACAATGCGATGTCATGACCAAGTTGGGGTTATTCAAGGAATGCAAGGCTGGGTACCAGGCCGGCTTCTCCAGACCTAAGGAGAAATACACCATGTTCTTTGACTTGAAGACTCAATGTTATAATAGTGTCAGTTCCCCGTCAATTTGTCAATGGATTCAATGCAATTCTCATCAAAACCTCAACAATTTTTTGTGGAAACCAACAACCTGATACTTAAATATCTATGGAAATGCCAAGGGTAATAAATAGCTGAAACAATTTCAAAAAGAAAAAAACATTTGGTGACTTAGATTTCAGGACTTATTATAAAGCTACAGTAATATAAACAGTGTGATAGTGACAGACGCATATAAAAATAAATTTTGAAAAAGCAGTATAGAGAGTCCAGAGACAAACTGACATAGTATGATCAACGAATTCACAGCAAAATTACCATTCTTCTGCATGGGTAAAATGGGCTTTAAAAAAATTGGACCAGATCAATTGAACATTTATATGGAAATGAAGTTAACCTTGATTCCCATTTCATAGCATACACAAGAAAATCCATTTCAAATGGGCCATAAACTTAAAAGTAAATCATAAAGCACCGAAACTTCTACTAGACACAGTGGAAAAAGATCTTTATGAAGTTGTAGTATTAGAAATAGTCCTTAAACAAAGCCAAGCAACATTAACTTTAAAGCTAACAAAAAATATTTTACTAAGTGTAAGAAATTCTGCTCATCAAAACATACCATTAGGAGAGTTAAAATGCAAGCCACAGAGTAGGATAAGGTTTTACGATACATATATCCACTCACAAACCAGAATATTTAAATAACTTTTACAATAATAACGGGTAAATGCTTGATAAGTCACTTCACAGAAGATGGTATCCAATGGCCTATAAACTTATAAAGTGTATGCTCAGCATCATTACTCGCATGTGTGCACTAGAATGGGCTAAAAATTTGACAGTACTAAGTGCTCACAAGGATGTGGAGCCACAAGTGCTCTCATGTATGGGAGGTGGAATTGAAGTTGGGACAACTCCTTTGGAACATGGATTGGCAGCACCTACTATAGTGGAATACACACTTACCTTTTGACCTAGTAATTCCACTTCTAAGTATCTATTCCAAAATATGTGCACCAAAAGATCTGTGCAAGAATAGTCGCGGCAATGCCATTCCTAATAGCCCCAAATTAAAAACAGCCTATCCAGTGTCCATCAAGGGTAGCATAGATGAGAGCTGGTTAAATATTTATGTAATGAAATGCATGAAATGAAAATAAATGTTGGGACCCCCAGATCACTAAGTCAAACTGGGAACTATGTCAGGCAAACCTGCTTTCCATTTCATTTCTAAATATGATAACTGCAAAGATTTAAAAAGCTACATACCTCCCTCATAATTTGCCAACAAGGAAATTCCCTGTGGGCCTCCAGATCTTTACCTAAAACAGTTCTGTTGAATTTCACCCTGGCAATGTAACCTGATAGCTTATCTTCACAGGTGCAGGACAGACAGGCATCCTCCACTCACCTGAGACTAATGCATATCTGATGGCTTCCTCTGCCCTATTATTTATGTAAAAATTCAGATTTACCGAGCCAGACCGAATTGTGTTTTTAGTGAAAGGCTGATCAAGGACTCAAATGAACACGATCTTTTGTCTCTTATCTACTTAGGACCTGGAAGCCCCTGACTCTATGTCTGCCTTTCTGGACCGAATCAATGTACATCATATACATATTGATTGATGTCTTATGTCTCCCTAAAATGTATAAATGAAAGCTGTACCCCGACTACCTTGGGCACATGTCGTCAGGACCTCCTGAGGCTGTGTCACGGGCATGTCTTTAACCTTGGCAAAATAAACTTTCAAATTAATTGAGATCTGTCTCAGATATTTTGGGTTCAGAAATGCTACAGAGCAGTGAGCAATACCGAACTGAGGCTGCATGCAGTAACATCAACGAATGTCACAAACACTTGATTGTGTGAAAGAAACCAGGCACAACAGAGCACACAGCAAATCTACAGTGATGAATGGCAGGATAGTGCCTCCGTTGACACGCAAGTGACTTGGAAGGGGCACAGTGGAGGTTTCCCGGATGTTGGTATTTTCCTGTATCTTGAGTGGCTAGTGGTTGCACGGGTGTGCTCAATGTTGTAAGAGCTTATGAAGCTGTGCACTTGTCATTTGTGCCTGTTTTTGTCTATGTTATCCTTCATTAAACAGTAATAAAAGGTTATTTTTACAGCAGTGGATCTCTTACTCTCATTGTGTAGCTTAGTGACCGTAAGCGCTGCCTCACTTCCCACGGGTGAGGCTCACATCTGCCTCAGGAAATTTCTACAAGCTAGATTTTTTACTTTCATATGCCCACTGCGTTTCTTTTATACTAGAATTCATTTCAAACTGTGAGCCTGAACAATTTTTTGGATATTTTGGTTCTCAGTCTCTAAAAGATTTCTGACGCTGATTTTCAGATACATCTTGATTTCAGATTCCATAGACCGTGGAGGAACCCAGCTGAATCCCATATACTGCCCTGGCTATAAGAATCCCAACTTAAATATGACTCCTACATTTTCACTTGTGCAGCAAAGCATCCAGACTGTTTTCTCTATGTGACCTCTTTCGTTCAGTGGGGCCATGACATCAGCATAGAATCACTAAGGAAGGGCACAGCCTTGGGATGATCTGTACATCCCACTACTCAATTCAATAGGAAACTGCTGTTAGTTAGCTAGTAGCAGAGATGAGCAATTCTCTTTTCCTGTCCTTGAGGATAGTATAGTCAACTTTGGAATCTGCTAAATAAAATACAACATGGTAAGTGTTATGTTCAGGAACTCAGAGAGTAAAGAAAAGAGAAATCTGACCAGTGATAACTTCCCGAAGAATTTGGTGACTGGGCTGAGTCTTAAGTAAGGAAATATTGTACAGGGAAGGAGCAAGCGGCAGAGCATTCCAGGGAGTGAGAAATGCATGAGCAAATGCATGGTTGGCATGAAACAGGTCAATGTCTTGTGGGGACTTTCTGCTCCTTTACTGCTGGAGGTGGACAGTGGTGACATGTGTTACAACTTTGCTAAAACCAACCAGCCATCCAACCAACCAACCAGCCAACCAACCATCACCACCACCAACAAACCCAGAAAAGCCAGGTCTTCCTAGGACTCAAAGGATGATTCAAAGTATTGCCATATGCTTGTAGAGATTTCCACTGGTCTCAACTTTACCGTAAGATCAATTACTGCTTGGATGCCTTTGGTTTCACTTCCAGGCCTGGAGAACTGGCTCAGAGTAGCCTAGGACCTTCTGCTCTCCCACTCCTGGAGGTGCCGTCAGATAGGACGGTGTGCTGGAGATTGCTGAACAACTGGATGTCCACAAAAACATTAATGTATTAATGCATTAATGCACATGTGCTAATGTACATGAACATAGCTTATTAGTTTTAATGATAATAAGGATGTGATACATAATATTTACAAATAATAATACCTAGTACTCTTTTTTATAAATTTTATACAAAAATGATTTTCATTAAATGTTTTAATTTTTTTTTTCAAAACTCCTCATCAGTTGTAACAAATGTACTACTTTGGTGGAGAATGTTAATAATGCTGGAGGCTTTGTGGGTATAGGGGCGAGGATAGTATAAGGAAAATTTTCGTATCTACTCAATTTTGCTGTAAACTTAAAACTACTCTAAAACAACAGAGTCTACTGAAAAAACAACTCTTGAACTATAGCCAAATGATGGTTTCTCATTTGTAAATTGATGTAGTTAAAACATCAATGCTGGTTAACATTCTCCTTGATGTAATGCGTACCCAGTCAGATGGAGGGGGTTGGTGGAGATGCATGCTGGAACTTCACACATTCGTCAGTGGTATGTGTGGCTTCTTTGCTAAATCAGATAATAGTTTTTGGACACTGGAAGAATACTTCCTCAGTTTTTGTGCTGTTCACAATGTGATGGCTGCGGATATCCCACAGGTTTAAATGTAATCTGCATTACTAATATTTTTCTCCATCATGAATCTGGGCAATCAACAAAGCACCATATCAAGCCCTGATTCGTGAGCATGCCAATGTCTATGGTGAAATTTCTCTCACTGTGTCCAGTTCCAAGTTGCCAACGTGGCGTCACTGAATGAGCACTGGAGAGGCCTGCAGCAGCTCACTGTGCGGCAGGGTCCCACTGCGCAGATGCAGCAGCTGCAAGCGACCTCAAGGGGATGGGGCACAGTACAGCACAGTGCAATAATCAGGAAGCGAAAGCCCAAGTAGTTCTCATTTTTACTATTTTTGCTTTAACTAATTTATCTGATTGTAAGTTTCTGTAATTTAATTTTTAGTAATGACTACATTAAAAGAACAGCTCAAGGCTGGGCACAGTGGCTCATGCTTGTAATTCCAGCACTTTGGGAGGCTGAGGTGTGTGGATCACCTGAGGTGAGGAGTTCAAGACCAGCCTGACCAACATGGTGAAACCCCCGTCTCTACTAAAAATACAAAAATTAGCTGGGCATGGTGGCGTGTGCCAGTAAACCCAGCTACTCGGGAGGCTGAGGCAGGAGAATCATTTGAGCCCAGGAGGCAGAGATTACAGTGAGCCAAGATTGTGCCATTTTACTCCAGCCTGGGCAACATGAGCGAGACTCTCTCTAAAAAAAGAAAGAACAGCTCACAAAAATGTCTGAAAATTTAACAATCAGTTCTCATGCGCTGGTACAAACCATCTTCAGCATGTTGTACCATTATTGAAAATCTTGGCCCAAATGCTCCATATGTATCTCACTAAACCCTCTGAGCTACGGCTTCTTATTTTCATTTTACAGAAAAAAGAGGGCTCATAGCTATAAAGATAGTTGCAAAAAACCCACATAGCATTTAATAGATAGTGCCCCCATGACACCTAGACAATTTCTTTTTTTTTTTTAACATTATTTTACAGTCAAAAAATAAAAATAAAAAAAGATGAGGACTATATATACTGGCCCAAAGAAGTTTACAACTCTGGTAATATCCATACAAACTATATGTGAATAGCTATTAAAAATTATTATGCATTGTTTATGTGTTTGTTTAGAGGTATGTTGTTATGCTACTTTTGTTCTGTGAAAGATCCTTTTAAAAACTGATTTCAGTGTGTTTAAATTCCTGAGCATAATGACTTCCAAACATTTCTACTTCAATGTGTAATTTCCTTGGCAACAAAGCAAACACACACACCAGAGTGCAGAAGTACAGAACAACACACAGGTGAACCCACAAAAGGAGCCTGTTTCGGGTGCCTTGTGGTTGAGTCTACTTGCATTGGAAGAACTTGTATAGACAGCAAGGATGTTCGCAGAAAGTTCTGTGAGCAGGACCTGTCCCTGGGGACAGAGATTTGGAACCAGGAATGTCCCCGTCAACTGGACACCCATTTGTCATCCTTGCTTTCCCTCAAAGGAAATCAGCTCCTCAAGCACAAGATTCTCAGAGCCGATGGTCCAAGTACTCCAGGCAATCTCAGGATGTCCGCGTGCCCTCTTCCCTGGTAATGGTGATGTAGTCCGGGTAGGAAAGAGATGTATCTTGAAATACAATTGTTTAGAATTTAGGGTCCTTCACATCTGTTGAAAAGCGACAACAGACCAAAAACAAACAAACAAACAAACAAAACCCAAAAACAAAAACAAATCCAAGATGATGACCTATAATGTTGCCAGGCATTATTCTGCCTTTGAAGCAGGGAAATCCCAGGGGCAGCAGGGGAGGCAGAGTGCTGTGCTGGAAGGAGGAGAGAGGACAGAGGGGCATTGGTGTTATGGAAACCTCAGCCTCTCCTCCTCCACCTCCTCCGGTTGGACACTGGACATGTCCCACAGCCCTGTTTATCCCCATGAACTTGCCTGCTGTGCCCTTGTGGACCTGTATGGTTGACAAAGGCGATGCAGGTACGGTGTCTGGCTGCGGTAGACGTTCAGTCCACAGTAGCTTCTCATATCCTCAGGGATGGTCAAAGGGCTCTCATCCTATCTGCACGGTGGCACTTGCCATAACACACTTCATCTCCCTGTGACTGCCCTTTCACCACATGAGTTTTCCAAGCACACATCACAAACACCTCCTCTTATTCACAAGCACTTCTGGCACTTGGCTTACTGCTTGGCACAGAGGACTTCCTCAACAAACCGAGTCACGGATTTTCAAAAAATATATTGCATATGTATATTTGATTGTATGAAATTATGTTCATGGCCAGGTGTGGTGGCTCACACCTGTAATCCTAGCACTTTGGGAGGCTAAAGCAGGCGGATTGCTTGAGCTCAGGAGTTTGAGACCAGCCTGGGCAACATGGCGAAACCCAGTATCTACAAAACAAACAAACAAACAAAAAATTAGCCAGCCATGGTGGTGTACTCCTGTAGTACTAGCTACTGGGGAGGCTGATATGGGAGGATAATTTGAGCCCAGGAGGTCAAGGCTGCAGTGAGCTGTGATTGAGCCACTGCACCCTAGCCTGGCAAATAGAGTGAGATGCTATCTCAAAATAAATAAATAAATAAATAAATAAATAAATAAATAAATAAAATTATGTTCATGGTTTATACATGATAAATACAAAAACCCTATACTCGACACTCCATTGTACCAGAATTATTCAAACAGCTCCCCACCGTAGGATACTTATGTTGTTCCCATTTTTCACAATTATGAACATAAAGTTCATAGCTTTCTTACATGGGCAGATTGAATCATTTCACATTTCTACATGGGTAAATTTCTAGAAGTAGAGTTTATGAGCCATAGCATATATACATTTGAAGGCTCCTGATACCTGTTGTATAACTGGCCTCTGAAAGTTTTTGAGATAATTACTCTTACACGTGGCTATTCATTAATTTTAACATATTAAGCCATTGTTCCCTGCTGATTTTTAAGGTTAGGACCACTCTACCCATGTGCTACATTGTAACATAAATCAGCTCTATTCTTGTACTTTCCACTCTTTTCCATTATGAGGCAGTTTTCTAGCTCCAGTAAAATGCTTCTTTAATTATTGTAGCTTTATACATTTTTATAATGTTAAGAAAAATATTTTCTATAATATAGTCATTTATTTTTTTTCTAATGAACTTTAGACATAGTTTGAATTTTTAACCCAGTTGTAATCTTTCACTAAAGATATTTAAATTTATAAATTAATCTGGAGAGAAATAATAATCTTATAGTGCTTTGTATTACTGTTAGAGAACATAGAACATTGTTCAATTTAGTTGTGTTCTTTCATCTTCCTTAGTTTAGTGGTTTTCTTCATATAGGTTCTTCTCATCTTGTTAATTTTATTCTTATGTATTTTATATCTCTCTGTCCAGTTTTCCAACTGATATCATTTTCTCCCACACCAAACACCTCCTTTATAATTTCTTGTAGTACAGGCCTGCTTGCAATGAATTCTTTTACTTTCTCTTCAGCTGATAAAATTCTTTTTCTCATGTTCATTTTAAAAAGGATACTTTCATACTTGATACACAATTTTACGTGGAATTTATTTTCTTAGTATGTTAAAGATGCTGTCCAGCTGTTTTCTGGCTTTCTTGGTTTCTGAGCAGCCTGTTATCTTTTCTGTTGTTCCTCTCTAAGTAACGTGGCTTTTGTTCTGGCTATTTTAAAGGTTTTCAGTTTATTAGGGGTTTTCAAACGTCTCGTTGTGATGCTCTTTGGTTTGCCTCTGTTTGTGTTTTCCAACTTCATGGTCCAGTGAGCTTCTTGCATCACATTTATAAAATTTCTGGGCACAATTTTTTGAAATAATTTATCTATGCTGCCTCTTACCCCTCCCTTTTTTTTCCCCAGGTTTTCTTTCTCTGTCTCTCTCAGCTTTATTTTGTTGTTTCTATTGTTACGTCCTAAATGCACTACTGTTTTCTTCTGCATTGTCTAATTGGCTGTTAATCCCAGGTTGTTATTGTTGTTGTTTTTAATCAGACATTGTCATTTTCATCCCTAGAAGTTCCATTTGATTTTTTTCCTGTAGTTGTTTTATTATGGTAAAATATAGATAATGTAAAATATACCATTTTAACCATTTTTAAGCATATAGTACATCAACATCCATTTCCAGGACCTTTTTTGTCTTGCCTAACTATAACTCTGTACTCATTAAGCAATAATTCCCCCTTCCTGCTGCCCTCAGCTTCTGGTAACCACTATTTCACTTTCTGTCTCTATGAATTTGATTACTCTAGATAATTCATATGACTGAATTACACAGTATCTGTCCATTTTGTCTGACCTATTTCACTTAGCGTAATGTCTTCATTATTCATGTATATTGTGGCAGGTGTCAGAATTTCCTTCCTTCAGGCTAAATAATCCTATTGTCATGTACAGATAGCATTCTGTTTATTCTCTCATTTGTTGATGGACACTTTTGTTGATTTCACCTTTGGCTATTGTGAATAATGTTGCCATTAATATGAGTGTACAAATATCTGTTTGTGTCTCTTCTTTCAATTCTTTTGGGTGCATTGCTAAGAGTGGAATTGCTGGATCACATGATTCTATGTTTAATTTTTTGAGAAACCACCATACTGTTTTTCACAGTGGCTGCACAACTTTATAGTCCCAGCAGAAATTCACAAGTGATTCAATTTCTCCATATCTTTGCTGACACTTAAAAAATTGTAACCATCCTAATTAGTGTCAAGTGGTATCTCATTGTAGTTTTAATTTGCATTTCTCTAATAATTAGTGACATGGAGCATCTTTTTATGTGATTATTGGCCATTTATATATCTTCTTTGGAGAAATGTCTATTAAAGTTCTCCTCATTTTTTAAATGGGTTGTGTCTTTTGTTGTTGTTGTTGAGTTGTAAAGTTCTTTATATATTATGGATATTAATCCTAAATCAGATATATGATTTGCACCTAGCTGTCTATTCCATGGGTTGTGTTTTCACTGTGTTCGTAGCATCCTTTGATGTACAGATGGTCATTTTTAGGACTTACATTTCTTTGCTCATCATGTTTGTTTGTTTGTTTTTAATACCAGAGCAAAATTTATGGTTTATAATAGCTATTTCAATGTCTGTGTCTGCTAATTCCACTATATCTGTTATTTCTTGGTCTGTTTTTATTGATTCACTTTCCTCCTGGATCTGCTTAACAGTTATAGCTTCTCTACCTGCCTAGTACTATTCAATTGACTGCCAGATGCTGTGAATGCCACAGTGTTGAGAGTTGGCTTTGGTCTTCTTCCTTTAAAGAATGTTGAAGTTTGGTCTAATAGACGGTTAAGTTCCTTTTAGATGTGGTTGGTCAATTCTAAGGTTGTTTTTTCATCTTTATTATGGTGGGAAGATAGTAGTCCTTACTCTAGATCTAATGTAGACAAACTGGAGGAAATATTTGACATTCTTGTGTCTTCACTGATAATCCTGATGGTCCCGTGAGCATGAGGTCCATGTCCTGGGACTGAATAAAATTCAAATGCCTCCTTTCCCTATGAGCTTGGGGAATCTCTCACCTCACAGCTACCAGGCAGTTGTTTCTGCTTTGTGTCCTGGAATTTCACCCTAGACATGTTCAAATAAGTGTTTGCTCAAAGACTTAACGAGCCCTTGTGAGTATTTCTAGAACTTTCTCTTTCTGCATTGTTCCCACCTTTGTGGACTGTGCCCGGGCATTCACAGCTGCCTCTATCTCCCTGACCATGATCTCTGTGTCCAAAGCAAGACCACTGCCCTCGCTGGGTTCCTCATTCCTGCACCATCGTCTAAAATGTGCCCCCAGGCAGAAGGTCATGGTACCATTATGTATGTGTGTGTTGTGTGTTTTTTACTTTGATTTCTTTCTATGTGCCTCTCTGTGTGTAACTACTTTAAGAAGTGTGATGCCGGGCACAGTGGCTCACGCCTGTAATCCCAGCACTTTGGGAGGCTGAGGCGGGAAGATCACGAGGTCAGGAGATCGAGACCATTCTGGTTAACATGGTGAAACCCCGTCTCTACTAAAAATACAAAAAATTAGCCAGGCGTGGTGGCAGGCGCCTGTAGTCCCAGCTACTCGGGAGGCTGAGGCAGGAGAATGGCATGAACCTGGGAGGCGGAGCTTGCAGTGAGCCGAGATCATGCCACTGCACTCCAGCCTGGGTGACAGAGTGAGACTTCATCTCCAAAAAAAAAAAAACAAAAAAAAAAAGAAGTGGGATGCAGCTAAACATACAAATAATAATATGCATGAAAATATAAGTAGTTAACCTGTGTTGTGTTCACTTTTGCTTCTCATTAATAACCATCCTCCGAGGTAGTGCTACTACTATCACCATTTCACAGATGAGGAGGGCATAGGAGGAATAGGGATTCCGCCAGATAAATGCCAAGCATTGGAATCACCTTCCCTTTGACCTACAGGGCAACAAAACAATCACCTACAGATAATTAGGACGGTAGATTCCCCAGACAACCCCTATCCCACCTCCAGAGACCCAGAGACACACTGCAGAAAGAGCAAGAAAGGTGAAGAAAAAGAAGCAGCACCATAAGGACAAAGAAAAGAAAGGATTTGAAATATTACCCTATCACATGGGTTATGTCTCAAGTTCTAAATATATTCTTTTTTGACAAAAAAGTTTTGCAGCAAAAATATCTTTGAAAACTTTTTATTCCAATCTTCCCATCTTGCAAAGAAGAACACTGAGGCCCACAGGAGGAAGTTTATGTCAGGACAGCTGGTAGCTACAAAATTTGTGAGGATCAGTGCAAAATAAAAATGTGTGGCCCCTTGTTCAAAAATGTGAGGGGCTGGGCACAGTGGTTCACACCTGTAATCTCAGCACTTTGGGAAGTGAAGGCTAGCGGATCACCTGAGGTCAGGAGTTCAAGACCAGCCTGGCCAACATGGTGAAACCCCGTCTCTACTACAAATACAAAAAATTAGCCAGGCATGGTGGTGCACACCTGTAATCCCAGCTACTCAGGAGGCTGAGGCAGGAGAATCACTTGAACCTGGGAGGCAGAGGTTGCAATGAGCTGAGATCACGCCACTGCACTCCAACCTGGGTGACAAGAGTGAAGCTCCGTGTCAAAAAAGAAAAAGAGGATTTCAAGACGGTGACAGCAGAGACTGAAGCCAAGCATAGGACCCTCCTGGCTGGGGCCCAGGTCAGTGACCAGGAGGTGGCTGTGGTGCACGACAAGGGCTATAAGCCTAGTTCTGATCATGGTTAATTGGGGCTGCTTTCCGTCATTGAATAGAATTGTTGACCATCTGCTCCCCTTGTCTCCTTGCAGTTATGCTTTACTTAGAGCTCATATCAGATTTGATAGTTTCGTAGGTTTGCTGCACTCCATCTTCTGTCCTTGCACACAAACTGAAATCAACGACAAAAACATAACCCCCGAGGAGGCGCCCACAGGAACACAGCTTAGGAAGCATGCCGTGGCCCTGCTGAACCCTGGGGAGCAAGAAGGAAGAAGAGGTCGACCTTGTCCCTTGCTCCTCCAAGCAACTCCCAGCTGTGCAGAGCCTCAGCCTGTCTTAGAGAAGCAGCTGGAGGCTGTCTCTCTTTGGGGTACAGCAGTTCCCTAAAGCCCAAGCCTTCCTGACTAGCACAGGCTCCGTGTTCTGGGTGGTCTCAGGAGTCTTCTGCCGGGCTTGGAGAGACTTAACAGAGACAGCACTGAGCCCCAGCTCGAACGACTGCCTGTGGGCTGAGGAAATCCTCAGAAGGCAGGAGCCAGGCTGAGGATACTGATTAGTAGTTCAGACATTCAGGCCTGGGGATGGATGTAGTCACAGCCTCTCAGCTAGCTAGTGTAAAAACCTTCTCTGTAAACAATGTCACCACCGGGAGGAGATTCTCTCCCGGAGAAGGGGATATGCATACATGCACATGTTTGAGCACTGGTACTCACACACTTGCATTTACAAGGACTTGTAGCCCTTGTCGTGCACCACAGCCACCTCCTGGTCACTGACCTGGGCCCCAGCCAGGAGGGTCCTATGCTTGGCTTCAGTCTCTGCTGTCACCATCTTGAAATCCCTCTTTATTTATTTTATTATTATTTTTTTAATGCAAGTGCTCACTCACACACTTGGATTTACATGCACAAGAGTACAGATGCATATGCGCACATCCCAAATTAAAGGCGTCCAGAGATTGAAATGACACTGGCTAGCTGTTCTAGATGCAAAGTGAACACAATCTGTGACGCCCCCTAAAACAAAAACTGACTGTCCATACATTGCCACATTATATAAGAATTCCGCTTGCCATAAGGCTGGTGGAGCCATGTCTTAAAATGCGTGCTGTGCTCTCTTTAAAACTGTCAGAGGATTTGCATGCCTGCAGCAGCACAGTCAGCTTCAGAGCATCGTCATTACCCTCCAGAGAAGCAGGCATCTTTTCTGTTGCAGCGGTGCTGCCGTTTTGGTGGCCAGAATAGTCTTCTCCCACCGCCCCTCCCACCCCCGCCCCTCAGAGCACCCTCTGCACCCTCATAGACCCTTGTTTATGCACAGAACAAGCAGAGCACAGGTGAGGGCTAGAGGCCGCGCGCGGCACGTAGGGGGTTGTTGATGACGCCCGCTACTCCGGTGCATGCTGGGGATTGTAATTCACGCCCGTGACGCCAGGCAGGCGCAGCCCTGGTGCAGTGCATCCTGGGGATTGTAGTTTACGCTTGCTACTAAGGGCGGTCGCAGTGCATGCTGGGGATTTAGTGCGCCCTGGCACCATCTTGCTTGCATTCTGGGTAGAGTCATGGGGTTTGGGGCGGTGTCCTCAGTGCGCAGAGCGGCTTAAATCAGAGGCTGAGCCCGGCGCTTCCATATCACGCTGTACTCTAGCTAAGGACTGGGAAGCAAGTCTATCCAAGGCTCCTTCATGTAACCACGCGGCAGTTGGCAGGCACTAGTCCTAGACAACTGAGTTCTCCCTGAAGAAGAGTTAAAGCAAAATAAAAACTCACAAAAAGGAAAACAACACGAATAAAAAGAACTAGCATGGGACCTAAAGGACGTTGCTGAACAAGGAAAAGAGCCCATCAGGTAGAAGACCCAGAGGAACACCAGGCCTCTGAAAACTATTTCTGAACCTAAAATAAAGATATTTAGAAAACTGTTTAGGATCTTTCTTTAAAAAAATAATAATAATAATTTTAGTTTTAATGATTGACAAATGAAAATGAAATACGTGTATGGTGTGCAAAATGACGTTTTAATATATGTATACATTGTGGAATGAATAAATCAGGCTAATCAATATCCACTACCTCACATACTTTGTGTGTGTACCTTGCGAACATTGAAAATGTAGTCTTAGCAATTTTCAAGTATGCAATACATGTTAATATATTAATAATATAATTAATATAGTTAATGATTAACTATAATCACCGTGTTATACAATAGATCTCCTCAGCTTATTCCTCCTAATGACAATTTTGTATGCTTTGATCAGCCTCTCCCCATGCCTCCCTGCATTTCCCTCTGCCAGGATAACCACCATTCTACTCTCTTCTATGAGTTTGATTTTTTTGGATTCTCTATAAAACTGAGGTCATGCAGGATCTGTCTCTCTGTTTCTGGCTTATTTTACTGAGCTTAATGTCCTCCTAGGTCATCCACATTGTCACAAATGATAGGATTTCCCCATTGTGTTAAGGCTGAATAGTATTCCATTGTGTATATATGCTACCTATTCTTTATCCATTTACCTGTTGATAGGTACTTGGGTGGATTCCATATCTTGGCTGTTGTAAATAATACTGCAGGGAGCATGGGAGTTCGGTCTGTCTTTGACATACTGATTCCATTTCCTTTGTATATAGCCAGAAGGTGAAATGCTGAATCATATGGCAGCTCTACTTAACTTCTTGAGGAGCTTCCATACTGCATTCCATAATGGCTGCACTAATTTACGTATCCATCAACAACGCAAGATTCTCTTTCCCCACATCCTCCCATATCCTTGTTACCTCTTGCCCTTTTGATAACAGGCATCGTAACAACAGGTATGAGGTGATATTTTATTGTGGTTTTAATTTGCATTTCCCTGATGATTAGTAATGTTGAGCATTTTCTCATACACCTGTTGGCCATTTGTAGCCTTATTTTGAGAAATGTCTTTTCAGGTTCTTTGCCCATTTTTTAATCAGGTTTGTTGTTTCCTTAGTATGGAGTTTTTTTGAGTTTCTTGTGTATTTTAAATATTAACTGTTTATCAGAGGTATGGTTCCACAAATATTTTCTTCCATTCTCCAGGCTGTCTCTTCACTCTGTTGTTTCCTTTGCTGTGCAGAAGCTTTTAATTTAATATAAACATATTTGTCTATTTTTGCTTTTGTTGTCTCTGCTTTTGGGATCAAACTCAAAAGATCTTTACCCAGACCAATGCCAGAAAGCTTTTCTCTATTTTTTTTTTCTAGTAGTTTTTCAGTTTTTGGTCTTAGAGTTTAGTCTTTAATCCATTTAGAATTAATTTTTGTCTATAAGGTGAAATCGGAGTCCAGTTTCATTCTTCTGCCTATGGGTGTCTAGTTTTCCTAACATCATTTATTGAAGAGAGTGTCCTTTCCCCAGTGGGGGTTCTGGTCACCTTTGTCAAATATTATTTGACCATAAATGCACAGATTTATTTATGGGCTCTCTATTCTGTTCCATTGGTTGATGTGTCTGTTTTTGTGCCAATATCATATTCTTTTAATTATTACAGCCTTGGAGTAGGTTTTGAGATCAGGTAGCATAATGCTTCCAGCTTTGTTCTTTTTGCTCAGAATGTTTTGGTGATTAGAGGTCTTTTGTGATTCCATGTGAATGCTAGGAATTTTTTTCTAGTTCTATAAAATTGTCATTGAGATTTTGCTAAGGATTGCATGGAACCTACAGATTGCTTTGAGTACTGTAGGCATCTTAACATTATTAATTTTCCCAATCCAAGAACACAAGACATCTTTCCTTCCATCTGTGTCTTTTTTGATTTCTTTCATCAATCTTTTGTAGTGTTCAATGTGCAGGTCTTTTACTGCCCTGGTTAAATTTATTCATAAGTGTTTTATTCTATTTTTATGCTATTATAAATGGGATTGTTTTCTTGATTTCTTTTTTGAATAGTTTGTTATTAGTTTATAGAAGCACTACTGATTTTTGCATGTTTATTTTGTATCATATAGCTTTACTAATTTTGCTTTTGATTTCTTACAGTTTTGTGGTGGAATCTTTTTACTTTTGTTGTTTTCTCTTTTTCAACACTTTGAATAGTCATTGTGGTGAAATGTCTGTGGTTTTCTATTTATAAGATTGTGTCATCTGAAATCAAAGATAATTTAACTACCCAATTTCTGATGTGAATTCCTTTGAATGGAAGTGGTGAGAATGGGCATCCTTGTCTTGTTCTTGATCTTATAGGAAAAGCTTTCAACTTTTCATTGTTCATTGTTGAGTATAATATGTTAGATGTGGGCTTGTCATATATGGCCTTTACTGTGTTGAGGTACATTCCTTCTATATCTAATTTGTTAAGAGTTTTTATCATAAAAGAATGTTGAGCTTTGTCAAATACTTTTTTGTGCATCTGTTGGGATGATCATATTTTTTTGTTCTTCATTCTGTTAATCCAGTGTATCACATTTATTGACTTGCATATGTTGAACCATTCCTGCATCCCACAGATAAATCCCACTTGATTAAGGTGACTGGTCCTTTTAACGTGCTGTTGAGTTCAATTTGCTAGTATTTTTTTTTTTTTGGTAATTTTTGCATTTATGCTCACCAGGGATATTGGCCAGTAATTAATTTTCTTGTATTTTATTTATCTGGCTTTGCTATAAGAGTTATGCTGGTCTTCTAAAATTAGTTTGTAAGCATGTCATTGTCTTAATTTTTTTCAGAGATCGAGAATGCTTGTTATTAGTAACTTAAATCTTTGATAGAATTCATCCATAAACTCATCAGGTACTGAGATTTTCTTTGATGGAGATTTATGATTATTGATTCAGTATCTTTGTGCATGATTGGTCTGTTCAGATTTTTCACTTTTTCATGATTCAGTCTTGGTAGAGAGTATGTGTAAATAAATGTGATACACTGCATGGTGGGAATGTATCCATTTATTCTAGGTTATGCAATTTATTGGTATATAATTATTTATAGTAGTCTCTTATGATTTGTTTATTCTTATGATCTGTATTTCTGTTTATTGCCCTTAAAAAAATTAATTAATGGGGGAGAATTTCATTCTGCATATATTAGTAATAGAAATAATAATGCTTTTTGGTTTGGTTGTGCAGCTATAACAAAACGTCTGAGACTGGGTAATGTAAAAAGAATATAAATTTATTGCTTACAGCTCTGGAGGCTGGAAAATCCAAGATCAAGACCCTGGGAGATTTTTTGTCTGGTGACGGCTGCTTTCTGCTTCCAAGATGGTGTTTTCTTGTGGTGCCCTCACAGGGTGGAAGCAACAGAAGTGCCAGGCAGCTCTCTGAAGCCTCTGTAATAAAGGCTTTAATCCCATTAACGAAGGTGAAGCCCTCATGATCTAATCACTGCCCCAAAGGCCTCATCTCTTCATACCATCACCGGGAGTTCCTATTTCAACACATGAATTTTGCAGGTCCACACACATTCAAACCACAGCAAATACCTCACATGTATTGAGTGATTACTCTATGGCAAATAGTTTCTAGGTATTAGACATATTAACATATTAACCCACTCAGTTCTCACAAACAGCTCTCTGAGGCAAGTACCGTTATCTTCCCTGTGGCGCAGACAAGGAAGCTGAAGAACAGTGAGGGGAAGTGATTTTCCCCAGGGTTTGTGGCCAGTGAGAACCACCGATCTGAATCCAAGTCATTACCAGGGCTCAGGCTCCTAACACTAGACTGATGTGTTGCAAAGTCAATAAGCAAAGATAACAATAGAGCTGATTAGAGCAAAGAAGATGGTTTTAACGTGAAAATTAAAACAGCAAAATTAAAATCTGCATCGCAAGTGGTGAAGAGAAAAATATATTTCCAGATGATAAATAAAATAACTTCCTAAGAAGTTGAAAACAAATTCCTTTCAGTGAATACAATAAGTCTTTCTAGAAAAGCCTTTCCAAAAATCAGAATTTACCACCAGTTTCAGAAGTCCAGTTTAGTATCACTAAAATGTATCTATCCTTGGGAAAACTCCTAGAGGGAAAACATACAAAAATATACAAGTGATTTTCTTTGGTGTGAGACCAAGATTGATACTTTTATTTTTGTGTATCTTAATTGGTAACATTTTGTAGGATACCTGTTTCTTTCAAAAATAAAGAAAAACCCCTTGAAAAGACCACCAGTTTAGAAAGAACTGAACAGAAGTGCCTGGTGTTCACTTTGTGTCCAGACCCTCCGCCATTCTCCTGGGTCCCCAGAGAGGCCCCGGGCTTGGACCTGCATCGCTCCCTTCTCGGGCGATTGTGATTCTCATTCTGGTCAAGGCACAGTTAGACATAGAGTCTCCTCCAATTCCCAATTTATGTCTTGTCTGTGATTCTATCTAATGCTTTTGGGGCCCTCTGTCTGAGACAGGCCTGGGAAGCTGTGGCCACAGGGTGTTGGTGGCTGAGGCTGAGACAGGAACCATGTGCTCTGGGGTCCAGGGGAGGAAGGTATGTCTTACGGCAGGGGCAGGATATGGGCAGAGAAGGCTTCACAGGAGGCAGGAGCAGGATATGGGCGGGGAAGGCTTCACAGGAGGGGCGGTTGGCAGGGTTTGCATGTTCAGTGGGCTCAGAAGTATACAAGGTTCTGTGAAGGATGCAAGGGCGCATAAGGCGTCTATTTCCAGATAGCTTAACAAGCAAGGCTCACGGGAAGAGACAACTAGAAGAAACAGTCAAATCACAGAGGTCGTCTGTGTGCAATGGTTTGCTAGGCCTGTGGCTGTCGGTGGGTGTTTGCCAGTGGCTGGGGAGAACTTTGAGGGTTCTCTCAGGACTGGATTGGTGCATGGTGTCCTATCCCTCTTATCCAATAAAGCAGCCCCAGCATGATGAGTGCTCAGCAAATGATGAATGACTGCTTGCTTGAGAGACAGAGTATCAGACACATCCTTCCCCTGATGTGCTTCTGGGAGAAATTCCAGGCTCGAGTTCAATGAGCTATACATAGTTTCATCTTTGCATCACTGCGATTTTGATGGTTGTTTAAGTTGCCCACCTAGAATTCACTCATTTCTCCTGAGGACCTCCTCTGGATCTGCATAACCTGTGCATTCCTATTGTAGAGACCAATTCATTGGTTGATTCTCCAAGCGGCACTGTCTCCCTGAGGACATGAGCTGCTTCGTGTTTGGATTCTGGGTCTGCCATTTGCAAGCTTTGGGACCTTGGAAAAATACTTGCTTCTCTAAACCATTGTTCATGCATAAAATACAGTCGTGCTGGGCACGGTGGCTCACGCCTGTAATCCCAGCACTTTGGGAGGCCGAGGCATGCAGATCACCTGAGGTCAGGAGTTCGAGACCAGCCTGACAAACATGGGGAAACCCTATCTCTACTAAAAATACAAAATTAGCAGGGCGTGGTGGCACATGTCTGTAATCCCAGCTACTTGGGAGGCTGAGGCAGGAGAATAACTTGAACCGGGGAGGTGGAGGTTGCGGTGAGCTGAGATTGTGCCATTGCACTCCAGCCTGGGCAACAAGAGCGAAACTCCATCTCAAAAAAAAAAGAAAAAGTGCAGCCGTTTGTGTCTGCCTTGTGAGGTTACTGTGAGAATTTCAATAATGCATGACAAGTGCCTGGCAGGTGCCTGACACACAGTGGGACCTCAGCTGAGGGCAGCAATGGTGGCTGTGGTGATAGGGTCTGTGGATTAACACACAGCAGTACCTATCTCATCCAGCAAACACTCATGGCTGGGCTCTGCTTTACAGAAGCAGCTTCTGGCCACATATCACAGTTGTTGACACCGTTTTCCAAACTCACCCTGCAGGGATGGCTGCAGTTTCCTCAGCATTCCGAGGAGTGTATTTAAGGCTGCAGGCAAAGAGGGGCCCCTTGACACCCACCTCTGAGGAGCAGGAGAACATTAATGAGCTCATTCCCATGGAGCCCCACGACACTGAGCACACTTGGTGGGCTTTTGTTTCATTCAAATGGAAGAGGCAGAGGCAACATCTCTTCAGAAGCAGCATGGAAAGCAGATCAGAAAAGGGAAGCTGCAGCTTCAAACCATAACAAGAGTGATGTCCAAACAGCTGGAGTCTGCTCCAGATGGGCCCTTGGGCATGTGAATCGGGAGATTTCTAGAGGGGATTCTGGGAGTGAGGGTGGGGAGAGGAGCAAATGAGCTGGGGGTCAGCTTCGCCCCTGGTGGGACGACAGAAAGGTGAAGACAGGAAAAGCCAGGGTCAGTAAAATCGGCACGCTCAGCTGAAAGGATGAAGATGGGCATCACGCCATGGGGGATGAGAGGAGTTAGGAAGCCGTGGGTCAGAAAAGCTGGAAGGGGAGCAGATTCAGGTCATGTGGGTCACGAGTAGGTGGGACGTTGTTAGTCCATTCTTGCACTGGTGTAAAGAAATACCTGTGACTGAGTAACTTATAAAGAAAAGAGGTTTAATTGGCTCATGGTTCTGCTGTGCAGGAAGCATAGGGGCTTAGGCTTCTGGGGAGGCCTCAGAAAGTCTCCACTCATGGCGGAAGGCAAAGGGGAAGCAGGTGTCTTACATGGCAGGGGCAGGAGCAAGAGAGAGAGAGAGGGAGGGAGGTGCCACACACTTTTAAATGACCAAGTCTCTTCAGGAGAACTCACTCACTATCACGAGAACAGCACCGAGGGGTTAGTGTAAAACCATTCGTGAGAAACCCACCCCCATGATCCAATGGCCTTTCACCTGGCCCCACTGTCCACACTGGGGACTGCAATTTAACATGGGACTTGAGCAGGGAACTGATCCAAAGCATATCAGACGTGTTTCTGTGCTGGGCCAGGCATGTAGGGTCTCCAGTGACTTAGAACTGCAGGGCTGGATGCTGCAAGCAGCGGCACAGACCCAGGAATGAAAGCAAGGAGGCTCCCACCTCCGTCCTGGGAGCTCACCGGCTCTGCTTCCAAGTAAGCACAGGAGAGCACTCAGTGACGCGCTTTCTGCTTCTGGGGGACTGTCCCTGTTGCATACCTATGTCTCCAAGGACTGAGTCTGACCCTGTTTCCCCAGGGAGTCAGTCCTGGAATGCCTCACTCTAAGCTAAGCTCTGAACTCAAAGATGAGCTTTGGTGTTTGGTGTGTTTCTTGCTTTTTTAAAGATCTCATTCATTTTAGAGATGCTATGGTCACAAAATAACTTTTAAAATGCAAGTTCAAGATCTATAATAGGAGTAGTTCCAAAAGCACTCAGCCTGACCTAAAGTGGGTTCATTTAAAGTGTATCTCTGTCCCATGTGCACTTCACAGCTCACCCATTACACAGGTCCACCCCAGATAAATGAATCCCCTCACTATGCAAATAACCTTTTTTATTTTTTTTCTCCCCCACAGTTTGCCTTAGTGGCTGCCTTCAGCTGGAGACAGCTCCTTATTATTATTTTTATCCATATTCTGTAATCCTGCCAGTTCTAACTCAGACACGGGAAATCTAGTGTCAACGCCAGTGACTTCCCTCTCGTCTGAGATTGATGCATGGTCACTTGTGTCAGGTTCTTTGCTGTTGATTCTGTAAAAGACTGGGGCAGCCCTTGACTGCAGCACTGTTCTGTGCGAATCTCCTGTTTCTCTCCAAGTCTTTATCCACAGTGCCTGAGCAGGACCCTCCCCACAGGAGCCAGGCAGCCGACGGTCCTCCTCCACTGCTAACCTATCTTGTTTGACCTGCAAGATGAAACCTGTTTCCCAATTTTGTCTTGGAATATCTCTTGGGTTATGTACCTCTTGTACTTTTAGTTACTTATTTATCTTTTGTATATTATGTTTTGCCATTTGAGTGGACAGATGGCCTGCAATGGAATGGCAAATTTTCAGACTGTGCCTCCAACAGCTTGACCACAATGGCTGAGTCCTGCACTTAGGAACTCATTTTTTACTCAGGGGAACCTGTCTCCAGGAGACTGCTGTTAAAAGGCAAACGTGTTTTGCAGGAGCAGCCCATTTGTTCATTATTAACTTGACTTAGAAATCGGCATGCACCTCGAAAGGAAGGCAGAAGGACCTACATACAGTGCACAGGATTTTTATTCCTAATAATTGCATAGGATAAGTTTTATCATCCCTATCTATGGGAAACAGAGCTCCAGAGGGGTGACATCGATTATGGTAACCCAGAAAGTTACCATAGGGCAGGGGCAGCGCCCAGGGTAGAAGGATGGATGTGGTGAATGATTTGGGTAAGGGTTCAGAGACGGTCCCAAGGCTTGGCTGGAAGGCTCCTTGCAGCTCCATGTTCAGAGGGAGATCCACCCTATCCTTGCTGGGCCCCTGCCAGCTGTGAGCTCTCTCTCCTATGGCCCATGGGTAGAGCTGCTAAGCCCTCCCCTCATGGGATCCAGAGTTGCTGGAACTTCCATGACATCTGCTGGGAGCTATGTCCTGGCAGTGCCTCATGGTTAAGGGATCTCTCAAAAATGATGTCAATGTATTGACAGATATAGGGGTGGCAAGAAACATGTCCGGGAAAGTGAACACCAAGCAGCCAGAACACCTCTACATACAGGCAGGCATCACACAGGGATGGGAATACATCCTGAGAAATGTGTCTTAGGTGATTTTGCTCCTGTGCAAACATCCTGGAGTGTGTACACCTAGGTGGTAGAGCCTCCAACACATCTAGACTATGCAGTGTAGCCTATTGCTCCTAGGTTACAAACCCATACAGCAAGTTATCATACTGAATATTGAAGGCAATTATAACACAAAGGTAGAGATTTGTATATCTAAACACATCACACACCCCAACACAGAAATGGTACAGTGGAAATACGGTATTATAATCATATGAGAAAACTGTCACATATGTGCTCCAGCATTGACCAAAATGTCATTATGCAGTCCATGACTCTGTGTGTGTGTGTGTGTGTGTGTGTGTGTGTGTGTGTGTGTGATGTCATTATGGGGTGCATGATTCTGTGTGCGTATGTGTGTGTGATGTCATTATGTGGTGGACTCTTCTGTGTGTGTGTGATGTCATTATACAGTGCATGATTCTGTGTGTGTGTATGTGTGTGGATGTCATTATGCAGTGGATGATTCTGTGTGTGTGTGCCCTCCCTGTCTGTATGGTCAACATCTGTGAATGCAACCAACCACGGATTAAAGACATTTGGAAAAAAATAGATGATTGATTGTATCTGCACTGAGCATGTACAGATTGTTTTGCCTGTTATTATTCCCTAAACAATACAGGATAACATATATTTACATAGCATTTACATTGTATTAGATATTATAAATTATCTAGAAATGATTTAAAGTATACAAGAGGTGGCCGGGTGCAGTGGCTCACACTTGCAATCCTAGCACTTTGGGAGGCCGGGGCCGGCAGACTGCTTGAGCTCAGAATTTCGAGACCAGCCTTGGCAACATGGTGAGACTCCATCTCTACAAACGATACAAAACATGAGCCTAGCCACGCATGGTTCTGCATGCCTGTAGTCCCAGCTAGTCAGGAGGCTGAAATGGGAGAATCACCGGAGCCCAGTAGGCCGAGGCTGTGATCGCACCACTGCACTTCAGCATGAGTGCTACAGTGAGACTCTGTCTCAACAACAATAAAAGTACATTGGAGGGTGTGTGTAGGTTATATGAAAATACCATACCATTTTAGATCAGGGACTTGTGCATCTGTGGATTTTGGTTTTCTAGAGGGTTTCCTGGAACCAATACCCCGTGGATACTGAGGGTGGACTAGATCTGCAGATGGTTTCTGGCTTACAGTGGCTTCACCTGACGGCTTTTTGACTTTAGGATGGGGTGAAGGCGCTGCCCTTTCAGTAGAAACCGTGCTATAAGTGCCCACATACCCACCCAACCATCGTGTTTTTCAGTTTCAGTGCAGTGTTCAATAAATACATGAGATATTCAACACGTATTATAAAACAGGTTTTGTGTTACTTGATTTTTCCCATCTCTAGGCGAATGTGAATGTTCTGAGAACTAAGGCAGGCTAGGCTAAGCTATGATGTGCAGTAAGTTCCGTGCATAAAACGTATTTTCCACTTATGATATTTTCAACTTATAGTGAGTTTATCAGGATACCACTTTTCCATAAGTTGAGGAGCATCTGTACATGTAATATATTAGAAAAATTGTCCTTCAAACATCTAGAATGTGATGGGATGATACGGCCGATAGTGCATGCATTGGTGGTCCCTGACGATGCTCTTGATTTGGTGTCTTTTAGCAGTATTCCAGAATGAATGAAATAACAGAAGTAGAAGGCACATTTAATCCAATTGAAATTTTATGTTTAAAATTACAGCTGATGGCTTTGATGTAAACAGGAAATGAAAGCTGTTTGGACTATTATATAAAACAAATCTTGCTTAAGCAGCCAGTCCCTAGACCAAGAAATAAACGTTTGGCCAGATTTGGCATTTACATTGACCTACAATCATATTGCTTGCATATAGATATCTTTGAAGACAGAACACATAACTCATTTACAATATTCTTAAATGTAAAAGCTTTATTGAATGTGAAGATATTCAATAAAGCTTCACAAGCTTAGGTCTAAGCTGTGGGGCCAGATTTCAGAAATTGCTTAGGACTTCTCAGTTTTTCATGATGTTCAGATATCTTCCTATCAGAGTACTTGACCCAGGTCCAGATGCACAGATTCTGAATGGACATATTCTTACAGAGAAAATTCAGAGAACATGACAAATAAAAATGTAAATTAGCTGTCAATCAGATATTAAAATGGAATTTTAAGGAGAATTTTTCTCCTTCAAAAGAGAGTAAAGTTGATCCTTCTACTAAATGATTTGAGAGTGTAATTGGCTGATGAGGGTGTCGAGAAACAGTAATAAAGAGAAAGTACATTTAATTTTAGCTTGTCACTTCCAGCTTTATAAATTGGCTTATTCCAAATGAAAACTCAGTTTTCAAGATTAAATTACCTTTTTGTTTATTTATTTATATATTTATGTATTTATTTTTCTTCTCCTACCTATTTATGTGGCTCCTTAAATCTACCAGCCAGTAGGCAAAAGCATAAAAGATGAGTTTCCTGTGCACGTGTGTATGCTTAAAGGCTTACTAAAGTGGCGTACTGTGCTCAATGAAATTGCTTTACCTGGTCATCACCTCACAAGCCCCGCAGAGCACGTGGTGCTGGGCGCACCTTCCTCAGATGAGTACTTGTTTAGGTGAAATTGTGTTGAGACGGCCGTATCTTATTTCCAACATGGCCCTTTTAACCACATGTAACGCTCCCTTTTCTCCCTTGAGGAAACCTTAACAAGTTTCTCCCCATCACGGAGAGCAATTAGGTGTCTTCAGTCGGCTGTGCCCTGAGTGCACCTGCGACTCACAGTGATCTTGTCCTCATGCAGATCCCCCGAGCCAAGTACCGAGAAAGCCCAATTAGGCATTCCCTGACAAGAAACAGATTGAGAAAGACTACCGTGTCGCTGCTTGGAAAGGGAAGAGAAGAGAGGAGCGTGTTGATTTAGGGAAGTTAGGTCAGTGTCATGAATGCAGTGTTTCTCCACGCAGGGCCTTCAGACCAGTGGCCACATTTGGCCTCACCTGGAAAGGAGTTAGAAACGTAAATTATCAGGCCCCACCCCATACCTGAATCAGAAGCTCTTGGGGTGCGGCTCAGCATTCCCCAGGCCCTCCAGGTGATTACGGTACATGTTCAAGCTGAGAAATCACAGGTCTCGTGCAAAGGGCTCCTGGCGTCCGGCGGAATCTCAGCTCTGCCTCTTGTTGCCTATGTGCGCCCCCAGATTACTCCACTTCGTCAAGTCTGACTTTCTTTCTATGTAAATGGAGACAATTAAGCCTACCTTGGCAGGGTGCTATTAAATATGTTATATATTATGTTAAATACGTTTCATAGGAAATTATGTCTTGTATGTGAAGTAGGATGTCAAATGGTAATTTTCCTGCCTCGATGTCAATGGAAGCATCCATCTGGCAGCTATCAGACATCCAGGAGAGGGGGAAACCCTCTAAGCAGACTCAACAAAGGAAATCACTCAGAATAACTCCTCCACTCCCGAACTTCCTCACCCACTCTGAATACACAATTGCTGGGCTGGGGGGAAAGGAAAAGGTGTGAAGAAATGTTTTAGCATTATTTTGTGTCTCCAGTCCTGGTGAGAGGGAACTTCAAAGTCTATGTCCCCTGCAGCTGACAAGAGAGTCTCCTGGTGTCTGCCTCTGCTGGAGGACGCCATTCAGCCTCTTGCTGCTGTGTTGAGAGGGGTCTGCACACTCCTGGAGTTTATTGAAGTAAGGATTGGATAAGAGTTTAACATGCTGTGTGGGGAAGAGAGACCTGAGAGCAGGTTGCCGACAGATCTCTCCAGAAGTTCTGCCAAGGGGGGCAGAGGGACCCAGCGCCAAGAAGTTGGTGGAGGACACACACTCACTGGGAACCGTGGGAGGAGTCATACAGCCTCCCACAAGAGAGATTCATCTACCGGGTCAGAGGCACGGCAGGAGAGAAGCCACAGCAAAGCTAATTTTCAAAAAACACTCAGAAGTGTCCGTGAGAGAAAGAATCTGTTTCAAAAATCTGCCACAGAGAGTGGAAGGCCAGCTTATAACAGCATGAGCGTAACAAGAATGCTTCTGTCCTTCATCTTGCTTCTCCGGGCTCCAACATGGGAGAGGGCCCAGCAAACTAAAAGCTGGGTGTAGGAGGAGGGAGAAGGGCTGGAAGAGAAACAGGGAAGCTAAATGCAGGCTTCTTTTCCACTCCAGGCCAAGCCACAGCAGCACAGGAGACTGTGCTGTGAAATCAGATTCACAGCTTTGATTCATATTTGCTCTCAACGATCTAACTTTTGAATTGAGACTCTGTGATTTAAGTTACCCTAACATTGTCTAGTACCTAAAAATGAATAAAATAGACAAAGAGAGGTTTTTTTTGGGAAAAATATTTTCACTGAAAAACTCTTAAAGGACCAAATGCTAACCATTGAGCTGCGTTCTAGTTGATTATGACATGAGTTATGCTTGCTCAGTACACACAAGGGCATACCCACATACATACATTAGATGCTAGTGCCTCAGTGATATTATCTGTTAACTTTCATTAGAAAGAAGAGCACTGGACTCCTTTTAGAATCAGTAAGATTTTATTATCAGATTTTACTGGTCTAAGTTTAAAGACAGGTTTAACACAACACAATATTTTAAAAAACACTAAGATGAAGCAACACAAATTTCTGGCAGCAGTGGTGTTTTCATAGATTCACAGAACGAGAGGGCTCTGAAGTGGCTGAGAGATCTGCAGGTGATGCCATGATTAGCTCAGAGATGCTCAAGGCTGGAAAAGGCCTAATGGCCAGGGCCTTTACACAACTTCTGTGTTCCATGTTCCGTGTTCCTCCTTCCACAGCTTCTGGGGGCACCATCACGGGGCTGACTTCGGGGGTGGTCCCCCTGCCTTTTGAGTGCACAGTCAGTGTGGCCATGGACAGTGTCCCTGTAAATGTCTCTCAAAGCCCAGACCCGCTGAATTTAAATCCCTTCGAAATGGTAATGCAATATGTTTGAACGCTCCTTGTAACAGAGAACCCTCTGCTTCTCATGGAGATCATCCTGCTTATGATTAGGATCACGAAGACATTTTCACTTACACAATTGGAAAATTGGAGTTTCTTGCTGCTTATCTTAGCTGCAATCTACAAGGCCACACGGAGCAAATCTGTCCTCTTTTTATGGCAGTCTTTCAGTAATTTGGGGAAAGCTACTGAGATCTTCTTGAGTCTAGTTTCTTCAACACTTTCCCATCTGAATGATTTCTTCCATCCTTCCCACTCTGATCTAAACACGTGCTGGTGTATATTAGAACTAGAAGACCATTCTTAGAGTAAAGTCAATGCTCCAAAAAACCCAATTGCCGCTGCTTTGCTTTAGATAAACCAAAAAAAATTAAGATCCAGTGAGGATGTCGACATGTCTAAAACCATGCACTTTGTTAGCTGCAGTAAGATGTCCATCTCCAGGGTTTTCCCACTGTGCCATCCTTCCTCCAAGGTGCAAGACTATGGCTTCAACATCTCTGCTATTTTTGTTGACAGGGAATGCCTTTTCCCAGTGTGTATATTTCTGCTTCTTGCTGTGTTTGGGGTGGTTGCTGCTGAGGTTGTTACTGAGTCCAAACAGACCACAGCATGAGCCAAGCATCCAAGGGCCAACTTTCCCTAGAAAGACTCACAACGGAGTGCAGGTAACACTGACTGTCAAGGCAGTTGGTGTGGACTGATGGGTGAAGGGGCATTCCCTCTACATGGAACAATCACGTGCGTCTAAGGCAGCTCAAGCTCAACGCGCTGAATTTAGTAACTCGGTGAAAGCAGTGAGCATCACTCAAAGCTATAGAGTACTAAGGAGTTTTGAAATGCATCATTCCATTTAAGTATTTTAATTACACCATAAATCAATGTATAAGGATGGGTTGAGAGATAGCTGTTGATTTGTTGAGTATTTACAAATTGCCTACTGTGTGCTGGTACCACCAGGCAAATTCACATTTAGTCCTTACAGTAAAACTCAGATGTCAGTAATCATTTTCATTTTAAAAATGATGTAACTGAGGCTCACAGAGAATCAGTGACTTCTCAGTGTCACCACGCTGGTCAGCCGTACAGTGGGTGTAGCTCAGTTCCAATCGAACTTGCAGTCCAGGCCCCTTCCATCACACACAGCTGTTAGAGCGATCTATTGCTGCATAACAATGTAATCCAAACTTGAGCAACTTAACACAAGACTGGCCGGGTGCGGTGGCTCATACCTGTAATCCCAGCACTTTGGGAGGCCAAGGCGGGTGGATCACGAGGTCAGGAGTTCGAGATCAGCCTGACCAACATGGTGAAACCCCGTCTCTACTAAAAATACAAAAATTAGCTGGGTGTGGTGGCACATGCCTGCAATCCCAGCTACTCAGGAGGCTGAGGCAGGAGAATTGCTTGAACCCAGGTGGTGGAGGTTGCAGTGAGCTGAGATTGCACCATTGCACTCCAGCCTGGGTGACAGAGCAAGATTCTGTCTCAAAACAACAACAACAACAACAACAACAACGCAAGTCTTCGATCACTTCACACAGTTTGTGAGGCTCAGGAAACCAGGTGTGGTTCAGGGTAGTTCTGAGTCAAGGTTTCTTTCCCACAGGGCTGTAGTCAAGCTGTGAGTCACAAAAGCATTGTCTCAGGGTTGTACTCATTTACATTCCTTTTTTTTCTCCACATCCTCACCAGCATTTGTTATTGTCTGACTTTTGGATAAAAAACATTTTAATTGGGATGAGATGATATCTCCTTGTAATTTTGATATGCATTTCTCTAATGATCATTGATGTCAAATACCTTTGCATATGCCTGTTTACCATTTTGGGAAATGTCTATTCAAATCTTTTGCCCATTTTTAAATCGGATTATTATATTTTTTCCTATAGAGTTGTTTGAGCTCTTTATATATTCTGGTTATTAAGCCCTTGCCAGATGAGTAGTTTGCACATATTTTCTTTCATTTGGTAGGTTGTCTCTTCAGTATTGGTTGACGCTTTTTTGGGAAAGGAAGCTTTTCAACTCAATATTATTCCATTTGTCCATTTTTGCTTTGGTTGCCTGTGCTCATGGGGTATTACTCAAGAAACTTTTGCAAAGATTAATGTCCTGGAGAGTGTTCCCAATGTTTTCTTGTAGGAGTTTCATATTTTGAAGTCTTAGATTTAAATATTTAATCCATTTTGAATTGCATTTTGTATAAAGTGAGACATAGAGATGGCATTTCATTCTTCTGCATATGGATATTCAGTTTTCCCAGTATTATTTATTTAAAAAAGAAGAGACTGTCTTTCCCATTGTATGTTCTCCCCAACTTTGTTGAAAATGAGTTTGCTGTAAATGTGTGGATTTTTTTCTTGGTTTTCTATTCTTTTCCATTGGTTTATCAGTCTGTTTTTATGCCAGTACCATGCTGTTTTTGTTCCTATAGCTCTGTAGCATAATTTTAAGTCAGATAATGTGATTCCTCCAGTTTTGTTCTTTTTGTTCAGGTTGACTTCAGCTATGCTAGGTCTTTTGTGGTTCCACACGAATTTTAGAATTATTTTTCTTATTTCTGTGAAGAATGTCATTGCTATTTTGATAGGGATTGCATTCAATCTGTAGATTGCTTGAGTAGTAAGGACATTTTAACAATATTTATTCTTCCAATCTGTGAATATAAAATATCTTTCAATTTTTAATGTACTCTTCAATTTCTTTTATCAGTGTTTTATAGTTTTTATTATAGAGATCTTTCACTTCTTTGGTTAATTCCTAGGTATTTAATTCTATTTGTGTCTGTTGTAAATGGGATTGCTTTTTGTTATCTTTTTCACATTGTTCACTGTTGGCATATAGAAATGCTACTGATTTTTGTATGTTGGTTTTGTATCTTGCAGCTTTGTTGAATTTATCAATTTTAATAGTTTTTTTGGTGGAGTCTTTAGGTTTTTCCAAATACAAGACCATATCATCTACAAACAAGGATAAACTGACTTCTTTCTTTTCAATTAGGATGCCTATTATTTCTTTCTCTTGTCTGACTGACCTAGCTATGGCTTTCAGTACTATGTCAAATAACAGTGCTGAAAGTGGGCATCCTTGTCACATTCCAGATACAAGAAGAAAGGCTTTCCGTTTTTCCTCATTCAGTATGATACTAGCTGTGGGTCTGTCATATATGGCTTTTATTATTTTGAGGTATGTTCCTTATCCCCAGTTTTTAAAGGGTTTTATCATAAAGGGATGTTGAATATTATCAAATACTTTTTCAGCATCAATTGATTTGATTATATTGCTTTTGTCCTTCATTCTGTTGATATGATGTATCATATTGACGGATTGATGTTGAACCATCCTTGCATCCCTGAGATAAATCTCACTTAGTCATGATAAATGATCTTTCTAATGTATTATTGAATTTGGTTTGTTAGTATTTTGTTGAAGATTTTTGCATCAATGTTCATCAGAGATATTGGCCTGCAGTTTCCTTTTTTTGATAGACCTTTGTCTGGTTTTGAAGTCGGGGTAATACTGGCCTCATAGAGTGAGTTTGGAAGTATTTATTTCTCCTCTATTTTTTGGAACACATGAGTCAGATTGGTATTAGGTTTTTTTTTTTTTTTTTTTTTTTTGAGATGGAGTTTCACTCCTGTTGCCCAAGATGGAGTGCAATGGCACGATCTCCACTCATTACAATCTCCACCTCCAGGTTCAAGTGATTCTCCAGCCTCAGCCTCCTGAGTAGCTGGGATTACAGGCACCTGCCACCATGCCCAGCTAATTTTTGTATTTTTAGTAGAGATGAGGTTTCACCATGTTGGCCAGGCTGCTCTTGAGCTGCTGACCTCAGGTGATCCACCTGCCTCAGTCTCCCAAAGTGCTGGGATTACAGGCATGAGCCACCATGCCTGACTGGTATTAATTATTCTTTTAAGCTTTGGTAGAAATCAGCAGTGAAGTCATCAGGTCCTGGGCTTTCCTTTACTGGGAGACTTTTTTTTTTATTATGGCTTCAATTTTATTACTTGTTATGGGTCTGTTCAGGTTTTGGATTTCTTCATGGTTCAGTCTTGGTAGGTTGTATATATCTAGGAATTTATCAATTTCTTCTAGATTTTCTAATTTATTGGTATATAGTTGCTCATAATAGTCACTAATGATCTTTTGAATTTCTGTGGTGTCAGTTGTAATGTCTCTCTTTTCATCTCTGATTTTATTTATTTGGGTCTTCCTTTTTTTTCTTACAGTCTGGCTAAAAGTTTGTCCATTTTGTTTACATTTTCAAAATAACAATTTTTTTGTTTTATTGATCTTTTTAGTTGTTTTCTTCATTTCAAATTTATTTCTTCTCTGATTTTTATTATTTCTTTTATTCTACTAATTTTTGTTTGGTTTGTGCCTAATTTTCTAGTTCTTTAAGATGCATCATTAGCTTATTTATTTGAATTTTTCTTCTTTTTTTTGTAGGCACTTACAGCTATAAATTCCCTTTTTAGTACTGCTTTCACTGTACCCCTAGGTTTTGGTATGTTCTGTTTTCATTATAATTTGTTTCAAAAAATGTTCAATTTCTTTTTTAATTCCTTCATTTATCCACTTTTTATTCAGGAGTATATTGTTTAATTTCCATGTGTTTATATAGTTTACAAAATTCATCTTGTTATTACTTTCTAGTTTTATTTCATTGTGGTCAGAGAAGATGATTGATATTACTTCAGGATTTTTTAATGTTTCAAGACTTGTTTTGTGACCTAACATATGGTCTGTCCTTGAGAATGATCTATGTGCTCAGGAGAAGAATGCATATTTTGCAGCCATTGGATAAAATTTTCTGTAAATATAGGAGAAATACCTAATGTAAATGATGAGTTGATGGGTGCAGCAAACCATCATGGCACATGTATACCTATGTAACAAACCTGCACGTTGGTGCACATATACCCTAGAACTTAAAGTATAATTTTTAAAAAATCCCTTTAAAAATCTATTAAGTCCATTTGGTCTATAGTGCAAATTAATTCCAATGTTTCTTGATACTCTGACTGGGAGATCTGTTCAGTGTTGAAAATGGGATGTTGAAGTCTCCAGCTATTATTCTATTGGGGTCTATCTCTTTTTTATGCTTTACATATCTGGGTGCTCCAGTGTTGGGGTACATATATATTTACAATCATTATATCCTGTTGCTGAACTGATTATTTTATCATTGTAAAATGGCTTTGTCTCTTCTTACAGTTTTTGTCTTGAAATCTATTTTGTCTGATATAAGTGTAGCTACTCCTGCTCTTTTTTGGTTTTATTGGCATGGAATATCTTTTTCCATCCCTTTATTTTCAGTCTATGTATATCTCTATAGGTGAAGTGTGTTTCTTGCAGGCAACAGAATATTGGGTCTTGTTTTTTCATTCATTCAGCCACTCTATGGCTTTTGATAAGAGAGTTTAGTCCATTTACATTCAATGGTCCATTTCTTCCTTCCAGTCGTCCTTTTTGTGATGGTGATTTTCTCTGATGGAATGCTTTAATTTCTTGCTTTGTACTTTTTGTGTATCTGTTAAATGTTTTTTTTGATTTGAGGTTTGCAAATACTATCATAACCCATTATTTTATACTGACAACTTAACACTGATTGCACAAACTCACAAAAATAAAACTAACAGAGTCTACACTTTAACTTCATCCCCCTACTTTTAAACTTTTAGTTGTTTATCTTTATGTTTTACTGTATTGTGTAAGTCTTGAAAAGTTGTTGTAGTTTTTTTATTGGTTTATTATTTAGTTCTACTTAAGATAAGACTAGGTTATATACCACAATTACAGTATTATATTTTTCTGTGGTTTTCTGTGTAATTACAATGACCACTGAGTTTCGTACCTTCAGATGATTTATCATTGCTCATTAACATCCTTTTCTTTCAGATTGAAAACTTCCCTTTAGCATGTCTTGTAGGACAGGTCTGGTGTTGATGAAATCTCCCAGCTTTTGTTTGGGAAGATATTTATTTCTCCTTCATGCTTAAATGATATTTTCCCTGGCTATACTATTCTTGGGTAAAAGTTTGATTTTTTTTCCTTCAGCACTTTAAATATTTCAAGCCGCTCTCTCCTGGCCTGTAAGGTGTCCACTGAAAAGTCTGCTGCCAGATGGATTGGAGCTCCATTTTATGTTATTCAATCCTTTTCTCTTGCTGTTTTTAGGATTCTTTCTTTGTTCTTTACCTTTGGGAGTTTGATTTTTAAATACTTTGAGGTAGGCTTCTTTGGATTAAATCTGCTTGGCATTCTAAAACCTTGTACTTGAATGTCAATATCATTCTCTAGGTTTGGGAAGTCCTCTGTTACTATTTATTTGAATAAATTTTCTACCTCTATGTTTTTCTCTACCTCCTCTTTAAGGCCAATAACTCTAAGATTTGCCCTTTTGAGGCAATTTTCTAAATCTTGTAGGTGTGCTTCATTGTTTCTCATTATTTTGTCCCCTCTGACTGTGCACTTTCAAATAGCCTGTCTTCAAGTCACTAATTCTTTCCTGTGCTTGATCAATTCTGCTAATTAAGAGACTCTGATGCATTCTTCAGCATGTCAATTGCATTTTTAGCTCTAGAATTTTGACTTGATTCTTCCTAATTGTTTCAATCTCTTTGTTAAATTTATCTTATAGAATCCTGAATTCCATCTCTGTGTTACCTTGAATTTTTTGAGTTTCCTCAAAACAGCTATGTTGACTTCTCTGTCTAATTGGTCACATATCTCTGTTTCTCATGATTAGTCTCTGGTGCCTTATTTACTTCATTTGGTGAGGTCCTGTTTTCCTGCATGGTGTTGAAGCTTGCAGGTGTTTGTTGATTTCTGGGCATTGAAGAGTTAGAAATTTATGGTGGTATTTGCAGTCTGGACTTATTTGTGGCTGTCCTTGGGAATGCTTTCCAGGTATTGGAAGGGATTGGGCCCCAAGACCAATAACACTATGCTTTTTGAAGACTCATAGGGATCCCACCTTGGTGGTCTTGGATAAGATCCAGAAGAATTCTCTGGATTACCAGGCAGAGGATCTTGTTCTTTTCCCTTTCTTTCTCCCAAAGTGTCTCTCTCTGTGTTGAGCCACCTGGAACTGGGGCTGTGGTTATGCAAGAACCCCTGTGGCCACCACCACTGGAACTGCACTGGGTCAGACCTAAAGCCAGCACAGCCCTGGGCCTTGACCAAGGCCCTTCTCTTCGGGGTGGTGAGTTTCCCCAGGCTGCATGCATGTCCAAAGATGCTGTCTGTGAGCCAGGGATTAGAGTAAAAAACCTTAGGAATTTATCTCATGTTCTATTCTACTTCTGCAAAGCTGGCACTAAAAGCACAATATGAAGTCCTTCTGGCTCTTCTCTCCCCTTTCTGTAGGCAGAGGAGCCTATCCTTGTGGCCACCACTACCACTTGTCCCCAGGGGTTTTTGCCTAGCCACTACCAATGTTGACTGATGGTGATGCCTCTTCTGTCAGCTTGTGGTGTGATTGCTGCCAGGCCTGGAACTCACCCTTCAGAACATAAGGCTTCTCTCTGGCTTAGGGGAGGTCCAGAAATGCTGTCCAAGATCCTAGACCTGGACTCAGTCACCCCAAGAGCCAAGTCCTGGAATGGTGACCCCCAAAAGCCCGCTTGGTGTTCTATGCCACTGTGGCTGAGCTGGTTCCTAAAGTGCAAGACAAAATCCCGTTTACTTTTCCCTCTGCTCTTCTCAAACAGAAGGGGTCTTTCACCACATGCACCACAGCTGAGAATGTGCAGGGTCGCCCCTGAAGCAAGCACGTCTCAGAGACCAAGGCCCCTGGAGTACTCCCTGGGTATTGCTGCTGGCTATTCGGGGCCCAAGGGCTCTTTAGTCAGCAGGTGATGAATGCTGCCAGGACTTGGTTCTCACCTTCAAGGCAGTGGGCTTTCATTTGGTCCAGGGCGTGTCTAGAAATGTCATCTGGGAGCTAGAGCCTGGACTTGGGGCTCATGACTGCCTGCTGCTCTTTCCTACTGCGGCTGAGCTGGCATCCACGATGCAAGGCAAAATCGTCCTTACTTTTTACTCTACTCTCCTTAAGCAGAGGGAAGGAGACACTTTCATTGCTTTGAGCTGTGCTGCCAGGGGCTGGGGGAGGAATGGGACAAGCCTTTCCTAGCCACCCCAGCTGGTGTTTTTCTAGAACACATGCCATCCTAGTCCTCTGGCTCTGAGCCCAGCTTACCACTAGGAGTTGCCTAGGGATTGCAGTCCTTTTTTCCTAGACTCCCTTTCAAGTTTACCTAGGACCCCAGAGCACTTCAGCCTGCAGTTGCAAGGCTTGCCTAGAAACTCAAGTTCTGACCACTGGGATGGGTGATTCCCTTCTGGCTAGGGATGGTCCAAATGCCCCCTCCATGTGCTGGTGGGGTCTGAGCCCAGCATGGTTTCATTCTCTGCTGTGACAGGGCAGTACTGAGTTCAATGTAACATCCCCCAGTGCTCTCCCTCTCAAAAGTGTGCAGACTTTCTGAGCTGCAAGGCCACTGCCAGGAGATGGGGGAGGGGTGGCACTGGTGATTCAAGACTCTCTCTCCTGCCCTCTTCAATGCTTATTTCAGTGACATGAAGACAAAACCAGGTACTGTCATTGCTCACATGATTTTTGGTTCGGCTGATGGTGCTTTTCTACATGCAGATAGTTGTTAAAATTTGGTGTTCCAGTGAGGGGGACAAACAGTGTTGGCTTCTATTCTGCCATCTGGCCCCACCAAGCCCCTACTGTAGTCTTGAAAGGCAAAATAGATTCTGCTCATAGAAAAATATTTTGAAAATATGACACAGGGCGGGGGACGGGGAGACAGAGAGAGAGAGATCTCCCCAGGACCCTCTTTCCCAGGTATCGGCTCAGGCTCTCTCAGGAAGGGCAATCTCTGGCTTTTCCAGCTCTGCTTCACTCATTTCCCAAACCAACACCACAAAGACCCAAGAGCCCCATGAAAGGTGGGAGGGGGCTGTGCCTTCTCAGTTTTTTTGTTTTTCAACAAAAATTATTTTGACAAATATTTCACAGATACTTATAATTTGACAGACATTGTGCTAGCACTTCACATAACCACCTCTAATCCCTGGAGCCAACCTGCAGGTCAGTAGTCACTAGCACTGCTGTGCAGACAAGGCTGATGAGGGGGACACCTGGGAGCAAGGCCATGCAGGAGGAAGCACATGGCTGGATGTAAGCCGAGGCAGGGCAATCACTCTCTGTAGACATCACTGTAGTCCAGGGGGCAGGGCTAATGGGGCTAAGAGAGGGGCAGATTCAGGAGTTTGGAGGGAGGCAAGGCCACAGCCAGTGGGAGGATCCTGGGCTGCTCCAGGAATGAGGGCATTTGAGTGTCACTTTGAAGGAGCCCTAGGTGTTGGCAAAAATGGGGCAGGGGTGGGGTTGGGGGCAGGGAAAGGGGCTGAGATGAGATGGAATTGTTACTATTTGAAGTATTTATTTATTTTTTCCACTAAATTTCCACTGTCTTTTTAATAATTGCAAATCCCTCTCCACCTATGGAACTAGGCGGGGTGGTAAGGCTTCCTTGGCAACCTATGTGTGATTTGTTACTTTTTTTCTCTATTTTCATAGCATTTTGGAGGGAAATTGGGGATGGCTCTGTCAAGGCTTATTAGCAAGATACGATTTTTAGACGGAAGCTTGACATTCTGTACATTCAATGAAATCAAAGGGGCTTTGAGGAATGTTTGGGTTAATCCTCACTGTTTGGAACCAGCTTCTGTTATACAAATAGGCAGAACTGAGCACAAGTGATAAATGAAAACAATAGGGTAACGGTTCCTTCTCTGCTGATCCATATCCAAATATACTGTAAAAATGGTAATGTATGTATTCGTAATTAACATGCCGGCCATAAATCATTTCAGAACTAAATTATTAAAATGATGAAATGCACACATCTCTATTAGAGATGAAGATATGTTTGTGGGAAAGTTAGGAAAGTTAAAACCAGGCCTGCTGAGGTAAACTTGCTATGGCCCACCCTGGTTCTCACTGAAAGATGAAACAAGGTGGGCCCATGGAGACCAGCCCCAAAGTCCAAGAAAGCTGAGAGCTCAAAGAAAGAGGCTGCCAAATCCAGTTTCTTAGAAAGAAACATTTAATGGAGACTTACAAACAGAAGCTATGTCTGTGTCCTGGACAGGACAAGACAAGATGGTGGATCCTCACGCCATCATCACCCAGACCCTAAGATTATATACCTCAGAGGAGGGACACAGACACAGTGTTCTTTAGCAGGAATGGGTAAGAATTTGCCTCAAGGGCAGGATTTAAGTATCTGCCCTTCCACAAGGGACCACAGATTAACTGGAAATCTCAAAGGCCTTCCCAGAACTGAGGTTAATCAGAAGTCAACATGGCAGATTAGCTTCCAAGATGGAGTTGCTTTAGCCTCCCATTCAAGATGGAGTTGCTTTGGCCTCCTGTCCAAGATGGAGTTGCTTGGCCTCTCATCTGAGAGGGAGTCACTTTGGCCTCATGTCCAAGATGGAGTCGCTTTGGCCTTCACAGCATGTCACGATGAGGGTTTACCACCACAGGTGAATCTCAGGCTGGAAACTGCGGTCCAAGGTACTGTGGAAACTCCAGATGGATGCAAGAAATGTTACAGGCTTGAGCCATGAACACATAACGTCCAGACAGAATGACAGTAATGCAATGCTGTGACCTTCAGGCTAGTACCCACAGGCTGCATTTTATCCACAAAGTTACAACAAAATTCCTGGGTGACCCTGGACAGCACTCACCCATTGCTGAGTCCCTCTTTAAGAATCATGGGACTGCAGATTGGCCAGGCCCTGTGCATCTCAGCCCTTCTTTGGCAGATGTGAGATCACACAGCTAGCAAGTAGCTTTTCAGACCGAAATCTTGGGACAAGATTCAAATCTTCAAGGGGACAAGAAGAGCTGGACCCCAGTTTCCCCCTGGACATCTTCCTATTAATGGGTTGGCAGCCTCAGCTGTGGTGAGCTGGGGTAAGAGAGACCCTGAGAAAGGGGGCAGTAGCCTGGGGACTCCCAGTAGCTAAAAGACCACACTTGGGTGAATCCTGAGGCCCAAGAGTCTCTTTCTGATGTGGATACCAATGGGATGGGCCCAGTACCCACCGAAAGCTGTAGCCAAGAGTTCTTATCTGACCTGGGGCCCATGGCAGACCCCAATAGCCAAGAACCTCAGGTGCTTTGGCGGAAGATTCTCTTCCTTCTGCCTTTAAAAAATTAAAATCTGTGTATCAAACGTGATGCTTAGGCTATAAAGAGACCCTCCATGGGCTGACTTTTTTTGTTGTTAATTTTTGAGACAGAGTCTTGCTTTGTCACCCAGGCCGGAGTGCAGTGGCACAATCACAGCTCACTGCAGCCTCAACTTCCTGGGCTCAAGAGAGCCTCCCACCTCAGTCTCTGAAGTAGCTGGGACTACAGGCATGTGCCACCATGCCTGGCTAATTATTTTGCATTTTTTTTGTAGCTAGAGTTTTGCCATGTTCCCCAGGCTGGTCTTGAATTCCTGGGTTCAAGCACTCTGCCCATCTCAACCTCCCAAAATGCTGGGATTACAGGCATGAGCCACCGCACCCGGTCCTTTAATTTTTAATGAAGTAAAATTAAATGTGCCGAGCTCATGTAGGCCTGGTTTGTGAGAGGCACTCTCCTACTCATTATCTTAGCTAATCCTATCTAGCTGGAGCCCAGGCAGGTGTGCTGTCTGCTCTATTTCACGCTGCTAGTGAGAGGTCGGGTCAGGGTTTGAATTCAAGTGTTATAAAGCTGAAGCTCATGCTTCTTGTGCAAACATATTCAAGAACACACACACACACAGACACACACACACACTATGCAACAAAAGATTGTGCAGCCTTTTTAAAATACCAGCCATTGTTCTGCACTTTCTCAGCCACGCACTCCTCCTGCCCCTCATCGGATTATGATCATCTCCTTTTAAGCCTCTGTTGTAAATGATCCAAAGATCAAGCAGGGATTTTGTGGGCAGCTTTGAGCAAAGAATAAAAAGGATTGAGCGTAGAGTCTGCATTCTAAATTTCTCTTCTCTCACCTTCTGAAAATATCCCAAATAAAATCAGGTTATTGTGATTTAAGTAGCCAGCAAAAGGCAGGAACATCTGCCCTCAGAGATGAGGGAAAGAGTCAGTACTAGAAAAATAATCACTAAAAATACTGAGCATTCACTGTGGCCAGATGCATCTCATGCATTATTACCAGTCCTCATCTCGCTCTGAAAGCAGGCTTCGTCACCCTTGTTCTCCAGTGAAGACACAGAGAGCCAGAAAGTCTCAAGTGCCCAGCCTAGTCCACATTGCCAGGAGGTGGACAGGCCGGCCAGATTCATCATCTGGGTTCTTTTGTCCCTTCCTGCTCTGCCATTGTCTTTCCCTGCTGAGAAAACACCCTCTCTGACGATTTGGAATAAAATGTGGAGCTGTGCAGGAGTCTCGGACGTATCTCAGACTGACTCAACCGGAAGCTCTAGAGATGGGCTCCTGCATCTGCATTTGATAGTGATTCTGATCCGCAGCCACGTTTGCAGCTGTGCGAAGGGGATACGCTGAAAGAGAACTGATCACCAGATCCACGTGACCCAAGCAGTTCGACAGCGGAGTGGTCAATGGCAGAAAAGGTGTGACTATAACTTTCACAAGTTGAATTGTAGATAATTTTATATAATCAAAATTTTAGACCAAAAGCTTTTTTCTAAATTCAATCCAAATCCTTGCTCGCAGTGAAATAAAAAACACAACAAAACAAAAAAACAAAACAATAACAACAAAAACCTGAGAATCAAAGATGCGAAGGACCTTGCCTGGAGGTGAGAAGGGGCAGCTGGTGCCACACGGGGGCCCCCGGCTCCGTGTTCTCCCGGCTCCTCCAGCTCCTCCTGCTGTGCGTGTATATTCCATGACAAAGGCATGGGCACCATGTGACCAATTCCGTCCTCTGCTCGTGATTAAGTTGCTTTAGTTTTCAAAGTGGAAAAGGAGTTTAGTGTGAAAACCTGTGTTTTCCTGGAAACCATGTAACTTTGGCTCCAGCTGCAAGTACGGCCACTGTGATGAGTCCCATCAATTCGCTCTGTAACTCAGACCTTCAGAATCCACCTTGATCCACACCCCCCTTCCGGGAGCTTGTGTCCAAGCCACACCCTGGTTTCATCAGCGTGAACACTGCTGCTTTGCCCTCCACCTGCGACTCTCCCCACTAATCCTCCAGATCGCTTCTCAAGTGGGTTTCCTCCATGTGGCCCATGGACATGGCAGGTCTGGAATGGACTCCTGCTCCTTTCTACTCAGGCTCCTGCTTCCTCTAGCAAGAAACACCTCCCTCTCCCGAGCTCCCATTATCGCCGTGAAACTAGACTTTTCTATGTGAGAATGCAATTTCAGACCATGGGGACTGAGCAGTGCAGATGGCTTAAAAGTGAATGTCTACATCACTTAGCAAGACAAAGGCTGATTGTGGTTATTAATTTTATGATTATTAAATGAACTGCAACTGATGCTTAGAAAAAAAGGGAAAGTAGATCACATTCTTCATCACGCACACATGATGTGCATAGACCAATATCACAAGGCCCAAGCACAGACCATCAGGCAAGTTGTTGCCAGATGCCAACTGGAAATAAGTTTATACATATGTATAGGTACAGACATAACCACACACATGGATATATGAGTATACGGATGTCTGTGGATGCATGTATACTTAGTAACGCCAGATGCTGACTTATCACCAGATGTTGAAGCCCAATATACCTGATTTTATTGGGCTGAAAATATAGCATAAATTATAAAGACACTGAATAAGAAGTGTCATTTTGCAGGTGTCTGATACAATAGCTACCTAAATATTGAGGAATGCACTCACCAGGGTTATTAGCTTCCCAGCTATAGTAATGCTTGTCCTTCTCACATATCTATTACATTCAGTGTCGTATTAGAGAGAATTCTGAACCAGTTTCCCCTAGTGGATGAATCTTGTGGAAGCTTGTTAACAGTAAATCCAAATTCTGTAAACAATTTTAAAGAGGTTTATTCTGAGCCAACATGTGTGACCATAGCTCAACAGAAGCACAGTTTCAAGAGGTCCATAGAAAGTACGACTGGAGCAGTCACAGTTTACAGTTTAGTTTTAAACAGTTTAGGGAAGCAAGAGTTACAGGCAAATACATAAATCAACACATGGAAGGTATACATTGGTTCAGCCAGAAAAGGCAGGATATCTTGAAGTAGGGCTTATAGGTTACAGGTGGATTCAATAATTTGCAACTGGTTAAAGCATTAAAGCTCTGCCTAAAAATCTGGAGTCAGCAGAAAGAAATATATATTTTTAAATTTTATTTTATTTTAAGTTCCAGGATACATGTGCAGAATGTGTAGGTTTGTTACATAGGTAAACGTGTGCCATGGTGGTTTGCTGCACCTATCAACCTATCACCTAGGTATTAAGCCCAGCATGCATTAGCTATTTATCCTGATGCTCTCCTTTCCCCTGCCTGCCTGACAATCCCTGGCATGTGATGCTTCCTTCTCTGTGTCCAAGTATCCTCATTGTTCAGCTCCCAATTATGAGTGAGAACATGCAGTGTTTGGTTTTCTGCTCCTGTATTAGTTTGCTGAGGATAATGGCTTCCAGCTCCATCCATTTCCCTGCAGAGAACATGATCTCATTCTTTTTTATGGCTGCATAGTATTCCATGGTATATATGTACCACATTTTCTTTATCCAGTCTATTATTGATGAGCATTTGGGTTGATTCCACGTCTTTGCCATTGTGAGTAGTGCTGCAGTAAATACACATATGCATGTATCTTTATAATAGAATGATTTATATTCCTTTGGGTATACACCCAGTAATTGGATTGCTGGGTCAAATGGCATTTCTGGTTCTAGATTCTTGAGGAATTGCCACACTGTCTTCCACAATGGTTGAACTAATTTACACTCCCACCAACAGTGTAAAAGGATTCCTATTTCTCCACAGCCTCACCAGCATCTGTTGTTTCTTGACTTTTTAATAGTCACCATTCTGACTGGCATGAAATGGTATTTCATTGTGGTTTTGATTTGCATTTCTCTAATGATCAGTGATGTTGAGATTTTTTTCATAAGTTTGTTGGCTGCATAAATGTCTTCTTTTGGAAAATATCTGTTCATGTCCTTTGCCCACTTTTTGATGGTTTTTTTTTTTTTCTCGTAAATTTGCTTAAGTTCCTTGTACATTCTGGATATTAGACCCTTGTCAGATGGGTAGATTGCAAAGATTTTCTCCCATTCTGTAGGTTGCCTGTTCACTCTGATGATAGTTACTTTTGCTGTGTAGAGGGCTCTTTAGTTTAATTAGGTCCCATTTGTCAATTCTGGCTTTTGTTGCGATTGCTTTTGGCAATTTCATCATAGAATCTTTGCCCATGCCTATGTCCTGAATGGTATTGCCTAGATTTAGAAAGAAATGATTTAAGTTAAGGAAGTCTGTCAACCAATATGCTGGGTCAGACTGACCTGTAGGGGTGGGTGACTTAACCCTTGCCCCATATGGCCTTAGGTCCTGTTTGTAATTTGGTATCGTATGGTCACAAGGAGTCCCTTCTGTCAGTCCTACCATCTCTACTTCAGCATCAGTGCTGGTCAGTTGTGTCTAAACTCCAAAAGGGAGGGGATATAAGGAGGCGTGTCTGACTTCCCATACCTTCATGGTCCAGAATTCAGTTTTTAAGGTTTTCCTGGGATCTCCTTGGCTAAGAGGGGGTACCTTCAGTGGGGTAAGAGGGCCTAGGATTTTGTTTCTAATTCACAAGCTTTGGGAAATTTCTCATTTAGTGGGTGCTCCCCTGCTGTGCCCCCAGCTGAGTCCTTGGTACGAACAAGATGACCGAGGTTTGTTTTTGGTTCCCAGGTTGCATGCCTGCCTTTAAGCAGCAGCACTGCCCTGTACACCTGGTGATTATTTTCTTTGTAACTGATTTTACCGTAAGCACCTCTCATCCTGCTTTCCAGTCTCTCCCTGTCACTCCTGCCGAGGAAGTTCATTCATTCTCCTCCAAGGCGTCCTCATCTCTCCCTGGGAGGGGCACAGGCCCAGAGGTGGCAGAAGTGCTGGCCCCCAGCCCTGCTGTATGAGTGACACAGTGCAGACCTCCTGAGCTCAGTGCCCTGAGAACAGCCTGTGTCCCCCATAAAGCTGCAACCTGGCCTCTTCACACCAATCTTCTGCAGCTGCCTTCCTCAGATGAGATGGCTCTGTCTGGAGAATCCAAAGGAATGCCACCTTCCTTTCCTCCAGAACATGTGCCCAGGGCTTTCGGGAGACCCCAGCACCGTGAGGACATTGCTCTGTGTCCACTCTGCTGCCACTGAAGGACTTACACCAGCTGCGATGCTGCCTGCCGTGCTTCTTAGCTGTCATTTCTCTCAATCATAGGCAACTCCTCTTTCCTTTTTTCTTCCTTCCTCTTTCTGGCAAAATGATTTTAGGTATAAATGATTCCAAAATCACACCAGGGAATTAAACACGAAGGCAAGATTCTCATTGTTTGACCAACCAGAATAGTCAGGAGTTAAATGGCAAAGGACCAGTTAATTCAAACTGGGAAAGAGCTGAGGTTTGGCAAACACAGCCAGAGCTAATTGTAATAAAACATCAGCATTTACTCTGGCTTTACCAACACCAGGTCATGGGGCTGAACCCCTTTCTGCCTCTATCCTGTTTTCATTGATCAGCACACTGATGCTCTGCCTGAGAAGTCAGCTGGGGTCTCCGCTTTTGGAGGCGTTATGGCCAAGGGCACATGCTTAGGTATCAGAAACCCTGGATTGAATCCCGTCTCTCCAACTTAACTGTGTTAGGTACAAGGACGTCCCTGTGTGTTAGTCACATTCCGTTTTCTCATTTCTAACATGGATGTAATCAAACTGGTGATGAAAACTTTTGTGATTCCCAGTTGTTCCACTCTTTAGAGCTAGCTGAGGAGCTTTTAAAAATCTGGAGTCCAGGAAGAACCACATTTTGGCCATGTGAAAATATGGGGAAAGTCATCGCACTTATTAAAGATCCTGAGTGAGTCCAGTGTGCAGCATGTGGGAGCCATGGGATTGCTGTGAGGACTCAAGGGCACCCTGAAGCTACCTTGTCCAGCTGGCCGTAAATCCGAGTCATTCCAGTGATAGCCAGGCACTGCCCTGGCTGCCAGTGTTCCCCCTGGGGGCTGCTTCTCTTTCACTTTTCAATTCTTTAGTCATTTAAGTTGATAATTAACTTTGAAAGGTGGACGTTTCCCCAAATATGTTCTTATAATCACATTTAATATTAGAATGACATCAGTCTTTCCTAAATAATTTTATAGTGAAATAGGATTTTAATCAAAATGCTCTAGATATTTAAGCTTTTTAATGATTCTCAAATAAGCAGGTGATGACAGCAAGAGAAGAAAGAAACCATGAGAGGGATGTGGGACTCACTCAGCCAGATACTGGGAGCTGCTCCCCAGCGGGGACGGTTTAAAGGGCAGGTCTCCCAGCTCTGCTCCTGGAGATGGCTGCAGGCAGCTGTGCTGTGCCGGTGAGGCAGGTGGTCCCCTTCCCCTGGCACCTTGAGCTCGTGTTTGTGTCACAGCCAGAGTTTACTGTTCTATGGGGTGATTGTCTCCTTAAGCGTGCTTGCTGGATTCTCAGTGTCTTAGTTTCACATCTATTCTAGGGCATTAGTGGGACGTGGCAGGGAGCGGACACTCGAAACATATTTTTTGAAAGGTAAATAAAATAAGGCAGAGGGATGGAAGCAGAGGAAGACGGGATCTTTGGGGGTCTCTTTGAGGACTCTCGGCCCCGCGTCTGTCGCCCTCTTGAGGGATGAGCCCCGAGGCAGCGCAGGCTGCTCCGTAGAGAGTATCTATGGAAGCCGAGCGTGTCTGTGCGCCTGCGTCAGCGTCCTGCTTTGTACTGTTGATCTGTTCATTCGACAGACATGCACAGTGCACACTTGGACATACGCCCTCGACAGACACCCATAGTGCACCTCCCGGACATACACCCTCCACAGACACCCACAGTGTACCCCCTGGACATACGCCCTCGACAGACATGCACAGTGCACCCCCAGACATACAACCTCGACAGACATGACATGCACAGTACACCCCCGGACATACACCCTCGAAAGACATGCACAGTGCACCCCCAGACATACAACCTCGACAGACATGACATGCACAGTGCACCCCCGGTCATACACCCTCGACAGACATGCACAGTGCACCCCCCGGAAATACACCCTCGAGAGACATGCACAGTGCACCCCCGGACATACGCCCTCGACAGACATGCACAGTGCACCTCCTGGACATACATCCTCGACAGACATGCACAGTGCATCCCTGGACATACGCCCTCGACAGACATGCACAATGCACCCCCCGGACATCCGCCCTCTACAGACATGCACAGTGCACCCCTGGACATAACACCCTCGAGAGACACGCACCGTGCACCCCCAGACATACAACCTCGACAGACATGACATGCACAGTGCACCCCTGGACATACACCCTCGACAGACATGCACAGTGCACCCCCCGGAAATACACCCTCGAGAGACATGCACAGTGCACCCCCGGACATACACCCTCGACAGACATGCACAGTGCACCTCCTGGACATACATCCTCGACAGACATGCACAGTGCATCCCCCAGACATATGCCCTCGACAGACATGCACAGTGCACCCCCCGCACATACACCCTCGACAGACATGCACAGTGCACCCCCCGGAAATACACCCTCGACAGACATGCACAGTGCATCCCCCACACATACGCCCTCCAGAGACATGCACGGTACACCCCCCGGACATACACCCTTGACAGACATGCATAGTGCGCACCCATACATACATCCTCGACAGACATGCACAGTGCACAACCCAGACATACGCCCTCGAGAGACATGCACAGTGCACCCCCCGCACATACGCCCTCGACAGACATGCACAGTGCATTCCTGGACATACGCCCTCAACAGACACGCACAGTGCACCTCCCGGACATACATCCTTGACAGACATGCACAGTGCACCCCCCGGACATACACCCTCGACAGACATGCACAGTGCACCTCCTGGACATACACCCTCGACAGACATGCACAGTGCACCTCCTGGACATACACCCTCGACAGACATGCACAGTGCACACCCCATGCATACATCCTCAACAGACATGGACAATGCATCCCCCAGACATACGCCCTCCACAGACATGCACAGTGCACCCCCCGCACATACACCCTCGACAGACATCCTCAGTGTACCTCCCAGACATACGCCCTCCTTGTATGTTGCTTAGGAAGCCACATTGTGCCAGTTATTGCAGAGATGAAACCCATGGTCCTTTCTCTGCTTGTGCCCAGGTGGACTAAGACTCAGACAAGTGCATCAGCTGTTGCCAGACGGTGCCTGGTGTCCCAGCGGAGAGAGGACGCCTGATTCAGCCTGGACCCTGGGGGGTCAGCGACATCTTCAGTCAATAGTTGGGGAAGTCTGTTGGCATCAGCAAGGCCACAAGAGGCAGAGAAAACAGACCTCAGGGCTTTGCTGAAGCCTGAGAGATTGGAGAGCAGGTGGAAGCGAGAAGGAGGGGAGACAGTGACAGGATCCCACAGGTCTTTCTGTGCCTTGGGAAGGCACTTGGTCTTTAGACTGAGAATGCTGTGACATTTATGGGACGTTTTAATCACAGTGGTAATCTACTAAGAACTTTCAGAAATCTTTATTTTAAATAAATTTAGGGTCACATAGAGGTTCTAAAAATAGTGCAGAGTCCTTAAATATCCCTCACCAAGCTTCCCGAGATGACATTTTACATAATAAAAAAAGCGTCAGCACCAGGAAATTGACATGGGTACAAAGATATCAGGAAAGCTGCAGACTTGTTCAGATTTACCAGGTTTTAGACGTGCTCTGTTTCCCGCTCCCCCGGGAAAGGAGAAGGGTTCAGTTCTCTGACATTTTGTCACACATAAACATTCATGTAGGAACCGCGCAGAATGATCCCTGCCCCTCATCCTGCCCCCACACAGTCACAGCCACAACGCAGCATGCACCCCTGACGACCGTGGACCCGTTTTCCATCAGAAAAGCGTCAGCCAGGCATGATGGCTCATGTCTGTAATCCCAGCACTTTGGGAGGCCGAGGCAGGCGGATCACCTGAGGTCAGCAGTTTGAGACCAGCCTGGCCAACATGATGAAACCCTGTCTCTACCAAAAATACAAAAATTAGCTGGGCGTGGTGGCGTGTGCCTGTAGTCCCAGCTACTCAGGGAGGCTGAGGCAGGAGAATCGCTTGAACCTGGGAGGCAGAGGTTGCAGTGAGCCAAGATTGTGCCATTGCACTCCAGCCTGGGCAACAGAGCGAGACTCTGTCTCAAAAAAAAAAAGAAAGAAAAAGAAAAAAGAAAGGGAGAAACGTCATTTTTAGAATATCATGCAAACTGAATCGTCTGGCTTGTAGCCTTTTGAGACTGGCTCCAAAAAGTCCTGGAGATCTGCTCAAGTTGCCTTGGGCATCAATGTTCCCTTCCCTTTCACTGCTGAGTTGGGCTCCATTGCACGAATGTGCCGCATTTTATCCACTCACCTGTCAAAGGATGATGGGCCCTCATCTTCTCCTCTGGGCCTTGGTGATTATGACCACCACTTCTATAAACTTTCATTTCCAGATTTTTTTCTTGTTAACATTAATTTTTTATTTCTCTGGGCTCTATACTCAAGTACAGGGTTGCTAGACCATATGGTAAATTCGTATTTATTTCTGTAAAGAACTGCCAAACTGTTACCCAGTGCAGCTGAGAGTTCTTGGATGTTCTGGATACAAGTCCTTTGTTGGATTTGTGATTTGAAACTGTTTTTTTTTCAAGTCTGTAGCTTGTCTTTTCATCTGCTTAACAGAGACTTTCATAGACAAAAAACGTTTTTGATTTCTATAAAGTCCAGATAACCAAATTTTCCCTTGTGGCTCCTGCCTTTGGATGCTGTGTCGAACTGATCCTTGACCACATAGATTTCTGTCATGTTTTCTTTTGGAAAGGTTTTCTAGTTTTATGTGTAAATCTACCATACTGTTTCCGTTAATTTTTGTGTGAAGAGTATGAGGATTTTCATTTCACAAAGGTCACTCCAGTGTGCAGGGATGGATTGGAAGAGGCTGTGCCTGGAGGTGGACGAACCAGTAAGTGGGTGACAGAGGGAGCAGGCTCAGTGGCTGAGATGAAGAATTCAGGTTCACAGGGCACCCAGCAGCAGGCTGACCCTGTGCAATGTGACATATTTGTGTGCATGTGTGTGCACATATGTGCACATATGCGTGCATGAATATATATGTATAATTGTATATATTGTAGTCACATATTTAAACTTATTAAAATTATTAAAACCCCCTTCACCCCAACTGCTGAGATTGTTTTAAATCTTTAAAGGGAAATACTTTAGTGTTCAGAAACACTTAACTTGAATTAACACACACATTATTTTTAAAAAGACAAATTACTAATTATTTTGAATGCACGTACACACAATTTAGGGACTTCTGGTATAATATATGGTTATTTCGTAATTGTTGTTAAATCAAGTTACCCATCAATAAATATCCCGGAAGAAAAGCGTTGCCCACGCCGGGTCCAGGTCCGTCTGTGTTGGATGCGATGTTAATTACATGCAGCGGTGCCTCTGGCTTCTTGCCTCGGGCAATGAAGAAAAAACGGTGCCTTTAGATCTGATAAATTAAGCTTTGAATCTTGTGTCACAGAAGAATATGAAGTGGCTTCCAAATGATCTCAGTGAAATACCACAGCCTCCACTCTGGATTTGCAAATCCCAGGGTAGAGCAAACGAAAGCCACAGAGACCAAGGCCCAGGCCCCGTTCCCGGCTTCCAAGTACACATTCTGGGCCGTGCATCGCCAGCTGCCAGAACACCCACGTGGTGTGTGGCAGAGCTGTTTGCCCGCATTGATTTAAAGGCTTCCCCATGTACACTCGGGGCTGCTATGCTGTGTTCCTGCAAACAATGGTGATATTTCAGCGCTTTGTGATGTACGTGACCTAATGCCAGGGACAAAGCAGTTTAAGACATGTGGACGCTGATTTTTTAAAATAGTATAATGGTCTCTGTAATTCACATCTTGAAGATCTCCACTTTGTTTTCTTTTTCTGAACATAGCTTTACTGTTAATAATTTCGTTAATTCTAGCCTAGGGATATTTCAAACAGTTTTCCAGAGTAAGTTCAGTTTAAGCAGGTGTGTATTTTGCCATGTGACTGTCCTGCCCTTTCTAGCTGATGGAAAAGGCAAATGGGCTTTAATGCCCATACTGTAAATCAGCAACAGCTTTCATCGTCTCTATGACCCCAGGAATCCTCTGTTCCCAGTACATTCTAAAATAAAAGATGGCTGGATCTAAGCCCCATCGTTTCTGTGTTTTTATGGTTGGTGACTTGGGATGCTGAGGGCACCTTCCTGGGTGTCTTGGCCAAGATCTAAAGACGTTTGTTGGACATTTGCTGGATATTTGAATCTACCACATGGTTAATGAGTAGGGGAATAAGGAAGTCAGCTGTGCTTGTGTGTGTGTGTGTGTGTGTGTGTGTGTCAGAGAGACTGAGAGAGAGAGATAATCTCTACTTTCTGTAAAAAGTTCAATATTTTACTGTCTTTAGCCTCAAATAAATTACTTGTTTCCAGATGATAATTTTTCAGAAATTTTTCTCAAATATTGTTCTAACTTCTGTACTATTTAAGAGACCATTTTCCATAATGTTCTTTAAAAACAACCTTTAGAGAAAGAAATTTATTACTAGTCCCTATCTTAAATCTTTCTTGTCTCAACTAAAATAAATTTCTCCCCTCCCCTCCCATCCCCACTTCTCCCCTTCCCTCCCCTACCCTTCCTCCTTTTCCCCACCTCCTCTCTGTTCTTCATTCTCCCATGCTTAGGTGGAACATAGCACGTCTGATGAGTATTTTCCATAGGATAGGTCATTCTTACATGAATGCAGCTGCCAACTGGACCTATTATAACTGGATCTTTCTGTTATTCATTCATTGTTTAACAAGAAATTATTGACTTCTATTTGTTTTCACTCTGTCCTTGTTTCCAGGGAGACAAGGATGAAAAACTGCACAGGCAACCCTCATGGAGGTTCAGGCCTGTAAGCAAGTCAGACAGGCAGGTGAGACACCCCTAAAGCCAGGTGCTGCCCCTGCATGCTCGTCCCATTCTGCACTTGTCAGGGAGCTCCCCAAGGACTGGGAACTGCAGGTTTGGAAGAGAGAGAATTAGGCAGATCTCCGGCTGTGAGCCCCACACTGCATGGAGTGCACACTGTCACTCTCTGGGGCTGCGCCTCTGGTCCGAGATCCCTGGCGGTGTCATAACTCCCACCAGTCACTCCAGTGTTAGGGTCACTGATGTCAACTCCTCTGGTGTTTGAAGCCTGAGAAGCAAACCAGAAACTCTAATACAGCATCCCCTCCCCATAAAGCATTATCAATACATGTTCTAGCATGGCCTGTACTGGGGCAGTGGTAGAGGGCAAGTAGGGCTCACAGAGAGACACCTGCCATCTCCATTAGGTAGAGGACATTGGCACACCCAGCACTCAGGCAGTTCCCTAGGCACATAGTTCAATTTTTAGGGCTCCAAAGCTAAAGGGGAATTACTTAGGAAAAACCTATTTTCTCCTGTTTATCTTATGCATATCTGAGTGTCATGCTCATAATTATTACTTGATAAACAATTACTGTTAAATAATCAAATTAATAGATGGGTTTAATAAGTGGTATGTTAGTAGATGCTTAATAACTGGCTCTAAAAAAATTATAGCATTTGCCCATTTCTGTGATGTAAATTCTCCTGCTTGGCTGATTTCAAGCTACTTATGTGACATCAACTGGCTCACAAAATTCCTGAAAATTTAACAGTTGGTTCTCACTAAGCAGTACCATCAGCCCGAGGAAGCCATTGGACATCCATCCATCATCCCCTGCACTGAGACGGTCAGGCGCATATGCTACGGATACAGGGTCATTCATACTCAGGAAAGCGTAGCTCATCAGCTGGCTACGGATACAGAGTCATACTCAGGAAAGCGTAGCTTGAACACCTGTCTGGTGGACTCCTTCCGGTTACTCTGCTAGACGGGAAGCCCCTCACGAGTAGAACTCAGCTCTTACCCTTTGATTCTGCTACCACTCACTGTATTGCAGACCATCCCTGCTGCAGTTGTGTTTAGAATGGAATCAGTTTCACTGATCCTTAAAGCTGTTATCTCATGCAAGGAGTCTCGTCTTTCAAAACTACAATATCCTGAGGACAAATAGCCAGCACTTTGTGCCAGGTAGGGTCTGGAGCTGCGGGGGCCCAGGGAGAGTGGGCCTGCCTGGCCCCCGAGTCTGATAAACATGCAATGAGGGCCAGCGGACGCGGTGGCCTGTGGGGGTCCGGGGGAACAGCAGGATTGGAGGCCAGCAGGAGGGGCAGGGCAGCCCAGCAGAGCCTCCAGGGTGGGTGCAGGGATGCAGACAGGATGGCTGGACCCTGCTCCAGAGACAGGGGCTTCCCTGCGGGTATCTCCATGCCAGACCTGCATCATCTCTAACACTTTGAGAGGTTAGGCAATAGCCAGCACGGAGGAAAACGGGACAGAAGAGCTTCTGGAAGAATCTTCCACCCCAGCTGTTTACCTGGGTTAACATCCTGTTCCCTGTGTTGGTTGTGGGCTCTGGACCTCAAATTTTCCTGAGCCTCATTCTGATAGCCAGGCTCACGGGCTGCGGCCTCAGCTCCCAGCCAGGGGTCCTAAGCATGGGCTGAAGGCTGAGCTACTCTTTATTCCCTGCTCCAGGATGGCTCCCCGACAGCTCACAGTCCTGCTCCAGGATGGCTCCCCGACAGCTCATGGTCCTGCTCCAGGATGACTCCCCGACAGCTCCTGGTCCTGCTGGAGGATGGCTCCCCAACAGCTCGCTGTCCCAGGCAGGATGTGGTGCTCCTTATGCCTGGGTCCACCCAGCCAGTGCCATGCAGGGGGAGGTCCAGCCCCAAGGTCAGCACCTACAGTCCACCTGCCTTGGGCAGGTGATCATCACAGTGAGGCTCACAACACCCTAGGGTGTTCAGTCCCATGCAGAACTCCTCACCCTCCCATTGAACCTGCTCTCCATGACATCACCATGACATCACCACAACCCCACCGTGACATCACCACATCACCACGACGTCACCACATCACCACGACGTCACCATGACATCACCACTATACCACCACATCACGTCACTATGACATCACTACCTCACCATAACAACACCACATCACCACGACGTCACCACATCACCACGATGTCACCATGACATCACTACTATACCACTTCACGTCACTATGACATCACCACCTCACCATAACAACAACACATCACCACGACGTCACCACATCACAACACAACCACTTCACCATGACATCACATCACCATAACATTACCACGGCATCACCACGATCATATCACCAGGACAGCACCACACATCACCACATCACCATGACACCACTGTCCCACCACTACATCACATCGCTATGACATCACCACCTCCCCATAACATTACAACTGCATCACACAACATCACCATGACATCACCATATCACATCACTATGACATCACCACCTCACCATAACATTACTACCCCATCACCTTGACATCACCATGACATCACCACACCACTATGACACAACCACATTACTATGCCATCACCACTTCACCATGACATCACCACATCACCATGACATCACCAGGCATGTGTGTAGTGTGTGTGCCTGTCTGCATGTTTTCTTCATGTGTGCATGTGCCTATGTGTGTGGCATGTGTGTGGTGTGTGTGCCTGTCTGTGTGTTTTCTGTGTGTGGTGTGTGTGTGGCATGTGTGTTGTGTGTGTGCCTGTCTGCGAGTGTTCTGTGTGTGGTGTGTGTGTGGCATGTGTGGTGTGTGTGCCTGGCTGTGTTTTCTCCATGTGTGTGCCTGTGCCTGTGTGTGCAAGGCACGTGTGTGGTATGTGTGGTATGTGTGTCTGTGTGTTTTCTCTAGGTGCGGTGTGTGTGTGGCACGTGTGGTGTGTGTGCTTGTCTGTGTGTTTTCTCTGTGTGTGGTGTGTGTGTAGCATGTGTGGTGTGTGTGCCTGTCTGTGTGTTTTCTGTGTGTGGTGTGTGTGTGGCATGTGTGGTGTGTGTGCCTGTCTGTGTGTTTTCTCCTCATGTGTGCCTGTGCATGTGTGTGTGAGGCATGTGTGTGGTGTATGTGGTGTGTGTGCCTGTCTGTGTGTTTTCTCTGTATGTGGTGTGTGTGAGGTATGTGTGTGGTGTGTGTGCCTGTCTGTGTGTTTTCTCCGTGTGTGCATGTGCCTGTGTGTGATGCATGTGTGAGGTGTGTGCCTGTCTGCATGCTTTCTCTATGTGTATACCTCTGCCTGTGTGTGCAAGGCACGTGTGTGGTGTGTGTGCCTGTGTGTTTTCTCTGGCTGTGGTGTGTTTGTGGCACGTGTGCTGTGTGTGTCTGTGTGTTTTCTCCTCATGTGTGCCTGTGCCTGTGTGTGTGAGGCATGTGTGTGGTGTGTGGTGTGTGATGTGTGTGATGTGTGTGGTGTGTAGTGTGATGTGTGTGGCGTGTGTGGTGTGTGTGACGTGTGTGGCGTGTGTGGCGTGTGTGGCATGTGTGGCGCGTGATGTGTGTGTTGTGTGGTGTGTGTGGTGTGTGGAGTGTGGCGTGTGTGGCGTGTGTGGTGTGTGGCGTGTGTGGCGTGTATGGCGTGTGTGGCGTGTGTAGCGTGTGTGGTGTGTGGAGTGTGATGTGTGTGGTGTGTAGTGTGATGTGTGTGATGTGTGTGGTGTGTGTGGCGTGTGTGGTGTGTGGCGTGTGTGGCATGTGTGGCGCGTGATGTGTGTGTTGTGTGGTGTGTGGTGTGTGGAGTGTGGCGTGTGTGGCGTGTGATGTGTGTGTTGCGTGGTGTGTGTGGCGTGTGTGGCGTGTGTGGAGTGTGGCGTGTGTGGCGTGTGTGGCGTGTGTGGCCTGTGTTTGTGTGACGCCTGTTTTCTTTTCTCCATCGGTGGGAAAAGCCTGGCAATCCAATTACTTAGAAGCCTTTTAAACCGACTTTCCTCTGTGTCTCTTAGAGAAATGTGCCATTTAAGGTTCTTTGAAGCCATTGCTGAATCTTTCTGTCATTTTGGAAGAAGGACAGGGCAAATCAGAAGGAGCCTCCCTGCTCGGAGTCAAGGTGTTCATCTGATTTGCTGTGGACACTTGTCGGGACCCCTGTTTCTCCGTCCCCATCCGGGAGGCAGTGGAGGGGGAGAAGGTGGGGACAGAGCCCCTCCGCCGGGCCCGCTGCTGCGCAGATGCGGAGGTGACTCCTGGTTCGACACCTGCGAAGGGAGACGGGGCCAGCGCGGGCCTTGCAGCGGCCGCCCACAACTCCTGCTGTCGCGCAGGACAAAGCAACCCCGCCAGGAAGAAAGCTCGAAAATCCGGCGCTTTCTAGGAAACCACTGAAGTCTTTACAATAAAAGGACACTTCTGAAGTCTGAAGACCCAGCTACAGAAACTGTGGCCTGGAGGCGAGGAGGCAGCGAGGAGCGGGAGGGAGGAGGCAGGCGTGGGGGGAGAGGCGGGCATGGGGAGGAAGAGGGGCAGCAGGAAGGGGAAGCCGGGAGCCGCCTTCGCCTGGAAGGGCCTCCCAGATCAGGGCCGGGGGCAGTGTGAAGCCCCCCACTTCATACCATGGCCCTCTCCAGCATAGCAGGGGAACGGGATATCTCAGGTGCTGGCCCCGCCATCTGCCGGACTCTAGATACCCTCCACGGGGGCCCGGCAGGGGTGACAAGGCCCCTCTCCAGCCGCGTTTCCTGCCATAGGAGAGGCTGCTGTCACCACAAGCCACCCCTTTTCTCCCCTTTGCAGACATGGTGGGTGCTCACGGCCCCTGAGGCCACTTCACCTGAGGGCCAAGGTCAGCTCTGCTTTTGGGAGGGGCCCTTCCTGTCACCAGGTCCCTGCCAGCCCTGGAAGCTATGGCCCTGGACCGCTGGGCTGGAAAGTCTGAACCTGGGAAAGGGGTACGAGAGGCCGGGTATAGTCCAGCAGGGCCTTCCTTCCTGAGGGTACCTGGGTCAAGCCCAGGTTTCGGGTGGCCATGGGCACCCTTGCCTGCACCCCACAAGCAGAGCCCAGGAAGTCTGCATGGACCTCTGAGCTTGGTGGGAATTTCTGCCACAGGCTCTGAACCCTGTGGCCAGTGCCCAGTCACCCTCCCTCCTGTCGGTCAGCGGACAGGGACGAGGCTTCCCTGGGGCCTGCATCTGCTTTGCTGGGAACAGAGGAGAGCCTGAAGCCCGCTTAGGGGTCTGAGTCAAGGGGGGCCAGTGTGGCACCTGTCAGGGGTCTTCAAGCTAGCCCCTCACACCCCTGCTAAGTGCACCTGGATGGGCTGTGTGCCTTCCCTCCTAGAGACTTGGACAGTCACTGGCATGTGCCAAATCTGTCCCAGGTAGACTGGACACTGGATTGCTGAGTGAGGGGCTGTGAGGATACCCAGGTGACCGCAGAAACCTTGACCAGAAACAAAGCTGCACACTAAGAGCCAGGTTGGCCTCTTTGGCCATGGCTCTAGCTCCTCGAGAGATCCATCTGACCAAACCAGAGCAGCCACCCATGGCCTGGAGCCATGCCCACGGCATCTGCCTCAGGGACTCAGCCATGTCTGCCTCATTCCGCCGTCCCCCAGTGTCTGCCCCACTACCCCACCGCAACTCTTGGTCAGTTCCAGGTTCCTTAGGTCAGCCAATGCTGCCTTCTCTTCAAATTTCAACCCGAACTTTACCACCAGCACCACTTGGCCACGGGGGAGGGACTCCCTCCTGAAGGGTGCCCATGGTGCCATCCTGGGGGTCTCTGGTTCTGCCTGCCCCGCCGAGCCTCACTGCCTGAACTGAGTGGTCTGTGTGAGGCTGCCGGAGCCTCCCGGTTCTCACCACATGTGTGAGGCCCTTCTCCTTTTTGTGATGTGAGGTTAGAATCTCGACATTCAAATCCCAGCATCTGTGCGAGCTGCAGGAAACCCATGAGCCTGCCCTCAGCTGTCCTGTCACAGAGGTGACGACACTCGAGGTTTTGAGACCACGTCTGAATCCTAATGCTATTGCCTGTAAAATTTCCATTAATTACAATTGCTTCTCCATCTACTGGTCCCTAGAACATTCTGGTAATAATGTCATGACCACAATTCAAAGCCTTCCTCTTTAATTACTTGTGTTGTCTGGGAAGGCAGGGCTGGACTAGCTGTCCCCAGGCCTGCCGGATGGAGCCCTCCCACAGCAGCAGCCAAACCTCCTGGGTCCTCGTCTCCCACAGCAAAGCAAAGCAGCATGGTTCTGAATCCAGCCCACGCTTGTCTGCCCCAGACCACCTTCCTCCTTCCAGGAAAATAGCCAGCTTCCTAATATGCGTGTGCTGGTGGAAGCCAGAGAGGACTTCCAGCCTGCTCCTTCCCTAGAGAGCTTTCTGAATTGTTCCATCTAATAAGCTCACATAAGGTTTTGCTTTCAGATTGAAACTTTCCATTTCAGACCATGGAATGACCCAGAAGACTCCAATGATGGTGTCAGAAAGTGACAATTATCCCTGTGACCTCTGTTGGCCTTCACGGGTCACAATGCCTCAGTGTCCCCTGCCCAGCCCACTGTTCCACAGCCGGGCAGTCAACGGGGATCTCTAAAGGTTGAGCTCAGATCTAGGGAGAAGACTTGACATGATGCCTGCCGGTACAACACCATAATTTGCAGATATGGCTGTGCCTGGCCAGGAATGACAGCTGCTTCCGCAGCCTGGGACACGCACGTCCTGCCCCCACTGCCCACGGATCCACGCCGCCTTCTTCCTCATCCCCTGTGTCCCTGCACTACCTGGTTCTTCCCCATGCTACCTCCCAGGAAACCTCTGGACACAATTGCTCACCCCTCACTGCAGCTGAGGATGTGCAGCTGTCGCGGGGATCCTGTCTCAGGACATGCAGTGCAGGGCCCCTGCTGGGCATTCCCCTGACATGCTTTAGGTTTCCAACACAAGGTTCCCCATTTCCAGTGGGCACCTGTCATAGGTGAACTCCTGAAAAATAGAGTCAATCCAGCCCCTTGTATTGTATCATGACATCCACCGAAGGCTTATGGTTTTTATGCCTTGAGGGCTCTGTTTTCACCCATGATGCAACCTGTAGGTGGTACAAAAATAAATGCCTCAAAGGCATGCTCTTACAACAGACAGCGAGGAGGAAAATGCAGCCCTCTTCCGTCCAGCCCCAGCCAGCATTATGCTGTATCTAGTAGGAGGTCAGCCACCAGTCTGGAAAGGTTCTTCAATCTCCCCCGTCTTGGCCTAGAGTTACCTGAAATACTCCGCTTAGATGCTCATTCTGTAGGTGCGATGTGGACCTTGCCCTGGTGTTCTCCTTCCCGGACATTTAAATTCCTAGGCCTGGGCCAGCCCATCAAGAGAGGATGGCACCATCCCATTGCTCTGCTCCGATGGCTGGAGAAGCTCAGGTTCTAGCCAAGGGGTCCCTGAGAGACTGAGGAAAGGAAGATGGAAACAGTTCTCCACCTTCAGCAGGTCCTGTTCATTCTCCCATCAGAGTACGCTTGGAACGGGATTGTCTCCTCACCACAGCCACCCCAGGTGTGGCCTTCTCCATCGCCCACCCGGACAGCTGCACGCTGAGTGCTGAGTGTGGCCTTCTCCATCGCCCACCCGGACAGCTGCACACTGACAGGTGCTCATTCCACCTGCCTGATCCCATCACCTGCCTCTTAGCTCCAGCTGCATGGGCCTCCACTCGGAACTGACCTGGTTTGTTTCTAGCATGGAAGACTTTGCCCATCAGCTCTCCCCACCCAGGTAGCTTTGTCCAGGTCTTCTCCTTCAAGGCAGTCTGCTGCCAGATCAAGGAACGCACCCTGAGAGGGACAACTTTGCCTCCCGATCTAAACAAAGTACTTCCCTTTTTTAGTCTATTATTTTCATCATAGCACTTATTAGAAGTAGGCATTATATTTTCAGTCGATGTGTATTCCATCTGTAACCCCTATTAGGAAGTGAACCTTACGGAATCTTGTCTAGTTCAGCACTGAATCGTGAGTGTCTAGAACACAGCAGGCACGTGGTGGACACTTTCAGGGGTATTTGTAGGGTCCATGTGCAGAGGACGGGAGAAGGCGCTTCCATTCCAGTTTTGTTGGAATCGACTCCATTGCCACGCAGCTGCCTCACGTGCTGGGGCACTAAATATTCGGAGAGGACTGTGGCAGCAGAGTACTGAGCTCCATGCAGGGGGCTCCTGTGAGTGTCACTGAACAGGCGACCTGGGCTGAGGACGGGGCAGGTAAGGGCTACGCTCCACCCAGCAGCGCGAGGTCATCCTATCACTTTTCTAAGGGAGTGACAGAGTCCAGACTCCACTGAACTTCTGCCTTTTACGATCGAGGCTCTGCATGCTTTGACATTCTGTGTTGGTCCTGGCCCCAGAGCCTGCTTGCTGGTGTCGGATGCTCTCATATTCCTCACCCAGTATTGTGCTCCCTTCACCCCGGGCCATTTCCTCTGCCAGGAGCTCATTGTTTGGGAACAAGACTCTCCCCATTAGCTGCCCCATTTCCTAGGTGTTCAGCAAGACACAGGCAGAGAGACAGCTCCTTATCACAGGTCAAGATGGAAATGTGATTCCTGAATAGCAAGAGTTCAGCTGAAAGGCACTAAGTTGTCTTCTTGCACATAGCAGACATTTGAAAAATTTCCACTGTGAAAAGGGCTGAACTTCCTCATCACAGCTCATAGTAATATGGTGCCTTGTACCCACCTTAATGACATTTAGTTAACTTCTGTAAGGGAGTCATTTGGAATAAGCTTCAACAATACAAAGTAGGTGAGACAAAATTCATTAAACAAATGTTTATTAAATCAGTGACACTGTAACAGATTCATAAGAGTGAAAACGTATCCAACTTACAGGAAGACAACAGGAAAATTAAAAAACCAGATGCCATTTTCCCACATTATGTATTTAGGCAAGAAACAGGACTAGAACATATAGAGGATTTCAGCATATCCCATGAAAGCAGTTTGAAAGAGCCTCTGAGGTCACTGCAGAATCAGCCCGTGTACCTGGACCCGTAATCTCTAAAGGCTAGAGTGGCCTTCCAGCTCTGTCAGGCCCAGTTTCTCGGTGACCATCTGGAGGAGCTGAGGCTTCGAGGACTTGTGCCCACTGCTGAGGGTCATTGAGTCAATGGTGGTGGCGCCAGGTGTCCAGCATTCGTGGGACGTTGCACCTAATTCTCTCCTGGTACCCCTGTGACTTCCTCCATACCTGAGTATTGGCTTGAATGGCCCAGTTTACACCCATAAAGGTGGCTCTGAAGATGGGCAAAGAATGGCCAGCTCACTGAAAACATTAAATGATGTTGTGGACAGCTTAGTGCCAGGTGCCTACGACAATATTCTACCTCTCCTGAGAAGATCTGGCCCTTCCCATCTAGGCCCAGGCCGGTGTCCGTGCACCTTCAGGCCGGACGTGCTCTGGACGTCCCCCAGCCCGGGTTTCCCACCTTCGGTGTGGCTGTCTCTCACTGGGAATGCGGGGGATGTCACTGGGTCTATGGGGCTGGGCCTGAGAGTTTGAACTTCTGAAGCCTCTGCAGGTTCCCAGGGAAGCCTGGTGCTGGACCCCGTGACGTTTTACAGCCCAGGGTACTGAAGCTCACAGTGGGAAGGGACTGGCTCCAGGTCGCTTGGGTGGCTTCTGTGCCTCTGAACTCCCCTCACTCTCAGCCCCACACGTCTCCACCGCCCTGACGTCAACCCCACAGGCTGCGGATCACTCACAGAGTGCGGTCAGTGACAAACATGAAGCCGCGTATGAAGCATACTCAGGCCAGCTGATTTTCTAGCTGCAAATTGGCAGGAGAGAAGGCCTGATGCACACTCCTGGCTGATAGCTGTGTGTAAACAAAACAACCCGCCCCCCGCTTCAATCTGTCCATAATATGACAGTTCAGGGGTTCAAGAAACGTTATTCAAATAAACTTAATGTTGAAATAGTGACTTCAAACCACAAAATTAATCTGAATGAAAACACAGTTGTGTTAAGAATAGACAGTTTCGTTATCTTAATTCTGTGAGAGCTGAATTTTTCCAACTAATTTTTCCCTACCGTAAATTATAAGCATTTAAAAATTCTCAGGAAAAGCCGTGAGTGGGTGTCCTTCCTTCTTCACGGAGTTTCCTTTGGCGCAGTGGCGGCGTGGGGTGCTCACAGGTCACGGTAGACCCTTCGCCCCAACCCAAGGCGGGAACAAGTCCCGTGTGGCCCCTGCTCCTTCCAGCCAAACTCTGCAGTTCACCCACTACCAGGAGACTGGAGTATGCCCTGGAAGATATCAGGGGCTTCCTCGGCCCACGAGATGGGTACATATGGCTGCCTGCCAGCAGCAAGGCCATGTCCGGTGTCGCCCCTGAGCTGCAACCTGAGTTGATTGCTCTCCAGGGTCAGCGCTGTCCAGACCTCCACCTTAGCAAACGCTGTCCTCCAGTGAGGAACGGCCTTTCTGTCAGACTCCTTTCCTCCCGGAAAGTGGTCAGCTCCACCCACCTCTCAAGTCCCCCGGTAAGACGGTGACTCCAGGTAAGACAGTGACCCCCGGTAAGACGGTGACCCCCAGTACGGTGGCACCTGTCTCTGCCTCCACAGCAGAGTGTGCAGACCCCCTGTCTCAGTCAGCTGGGGCTGCCTTAATGGAGACCACGGGCCAGGCACATAGGCCAGAGCTTTATTCCTCAAGGCCCTGGAGGTGGAAGTCCAAGATGAAGGTACCGACTGACTTGCTTCTCTGGGCTTGCAAGCGACGCCTTCTCACTGTGTCCTCACGTGGGGTTTCCTCTGTGCACACACACCCCCTGTGTCCCTTCCTCCTCTTATGGGGACACCAGCCCTGTCGGGTCAGGGCCCACCCTGACGACCTCATCTAACCTTAGTTACCTCCATGAGGGCTGTCTCCAACACAGCCACACTGGAGCGAGGGCTTCAGCATATGAATTTAAGGGCACACAATTCAATCCATGACACCCATCATCTGACAACACAGGAACCGCTGGGGTGTGTGTGTCTGGTGTGTGAGAGTGTGTGTGTGTATCGAGTGTGCAACAATGTTTGTGTATGTGTTTGTGTCTGCTTGTCTCTATGAGTGTGTGTGTTGTGTGTCGATGTATTTTTGTGTCTGTGTGTGTGTGTGTGTGTGTGTGTGTGTGTGAGCCCACACGCATTTGCTTAATGTCTACCTCCTCCTCTCGTAGGTGGGGAACATTCCCAGGCAGGAAAGGTATCTTATTAGGGATGCGAGAGTTCTAAATACTTGCACCCTGGCTTGGGGAGTGAACTGGGAGAGGGCGAACAAGGGGCGCCAATTAGCACCAATTCCTAAGTGGAGCTGCCCTAACTGCGCCGGCCCCTGGGGACCTGATTAAGTTCCAGGTGCCTGCCGCAGCTCAGCAGCTCCGCGGTGCCTAATCAGCTCTCGAAACGTGGAGGGCTGCCTGCCGCTGTGTTTTGACTGCGCCACGGAATCATCTGGGTCTGCTTTTTCTTCTCTCCCCTTGCCCTAGTGAAGGAAGAGATGGCAGGGCATACGCACAAATAAGCACCCTATTTGGCTAGATAATTCCTGCTTGTTCCATGTGGGAGACATTTCTGCTATGGCAAGGCAGGCAGTAAAGGCAGCAAGAGGAAGGAAGAACTGAATCCACAAAAGTCGTAATAGGTGCTGCTAAAGAGGAGGAATTATTCCTAAGCAAATAAGAGGGCGTCTGTCTTCTTGGATTACGGGAGCTCTTATGCTCAGGATGGAGCCTCAGGGAACTCAGAGGCCTCCGTGGCCTTGGGGAGTCGCTCCCCTCTTTGAACCCATTGTCTCCAGCCCCGAAGAGGGGGAGGGAAGAACAGTGCCCCCCCGCCCCCGCCTGTCTGCAAAGGCTCTCCTGAGGGTGCAAAAGATAATGTGCATGACACTGTGTGGCACTGCCTTTGAGACCTGGGGCTCTGTGTTTCTCCTAAATAATAATAAAAATGCTAACAGTAATAGCTGCTATTTCTAGGTCTCCTGGTGTCCCAGACATTATGGTAACTGTTTTAATGCGAACTTTACAGGTAACCCTGATAACCAGGTGAGAGCATTGCCCTGGGTTTACATACACCGGCTGAGGCTTAGCCGCTTTTCTTTAAAGGTCCAAGGCCACATCACAAGGGAGTGGTGGAGGAAGGGCTCCAATGGGTGCTGTCGTCTTTGTATTCTCAGGGTGACTGATCTGAAGCCTATGGATTTGGAAACATATCACCTGCCCACTACCAACTGGGGTCTTACTTGGTAGGCAGCAGTCACGGTGCCCGACAGTGTGGGGATGAAGCTGCCCTGCTTAGCCCTGCTGTGTGACTCCCCCAGCCCTTGTACCGAATCACCTTACAGAGATCCAGAAACAGCGTTCCTGCCCCCAAGAGCCTCTGCAGCCGCCTGCAGCCCACTGGAAAGACCACATCTCTGAAGATTCTGCCAAAACAACATTTCTCATTCCCGCTGTCTCCACAAATCCTTCTCTCTGTGGGTATCTTGGCTCCTGAGCCCAGGCTGGTGCCACCTTTGGGGAGGAGGCCTGAGTGGTGTCACGTACGGTCTCACCCACCCACCTGCCCACCTGTCTCACCTGCCTCACTTGCCCACCTGCCTCACTTGCTTCACCTCCCCATCTGCCTCGTCTGCCCACCTGCATCACCAGCCCACCTGCCCTCCTATCTCACCTGCCTCACTTGCTTCACCTGCTCACCTGTTTCACCTGCCTCATCTGCTCACCTATCTCTCCAGCCTCACTTGCTTCACCTCCCCATCTGCCTCGTCTGCCCACCTGTATCACCTGCCCCACCTGCCCACCTATGTCACCTGCCTCATCTACCCACCTGCCCACCTGCCTCACCTGCCAAGGGTGGCATTTTCACACCCCCCACACCAGGAGAACTCTTCATAAGCGAGATCTCCTGGAAGGGCAAAGCTGTGCGCATATTCCTTTCAGGGCCCAAACGAAGGGAACCTGCCTCTCGTAGGTGGGGGTGGGGATCTCCCAAACTGTCTCCGAGTGACAGAGAGGGGCTTCAAGGGATGGGTGGGTGGGAGGAGCTGGGCTGCTCAGATGTGTGAGGAGAAGGCACACTCTAGGTGTTGCAGGGAGGATGCACACAGGGTGTGATGAGCTCTAGAGCCCAAGGGCCCAGGACTTCCACCTGGTAGCCTGGCAGCCTTTTGAGGAGCCCACCCCAGAGGCCCGTGGAGGCTCCCCAAGAGCTCAGGGGCAGATGCCATTAGCATCCCATCTGCAGGTGAGGGCTGAGAGAGTCGTTCATGTGTTCCAGGTCCCACCACCACAAATGGCATGGGCTGTAGCAGAACTGAGACCTTCCAACTGCACATGCTACTTCACAACAGCTCCTAACTGAGCCTCTGCCCCCTCCCAAGGCCCTTTCCATCATCTCAAGAGTTGAGGAAGTCATAGACCCATGCTGATCGAGCTGAAGCAAAACCCACCTCAAGCTGGGCGCAGTGGCTCATGCCTGTAATCCCAACACTTGGGGAGGCTGAGGCAGGTGAATCACCTGAGGTCAGGAGTTCAAGACCAGCCTGACCAACATGGTGAAACTCTGTCTCTACTAAATACAAAAAATTTAGCTAGGCATGGTGGTGCATGCCTGTAATCCCAGCTACTTGGGAGGCTGAGGCAGGAGAATCACTTGAATCCAGGAGGCAGAGGTTTCGGTGAGCCGAGATTGCACCATTGCACTCCAGCCTGGGCAACAAGAGCAAAAACTCCATCCAGAAAAACAAAAAAAAAAAAGCAAAAACCCCACCTCAGCTGTGTTTCTTGACTCTGTGCCATGCTAAGACATCACATACTCTCCCTCATGTGGACATCCCTGCTTAATTTGGAGCAAAATGGAAAAAGGACAACCACTCAGCCATTCCATAAGAAATGGGTTTAATCAATGTGGGCTTTGGGGAACAGAAAGATGACTTTTTTTCCTCACCACCATTCTGACCATGGCAATATCAAACACGGTGCATACAGTGAGCGTCCACCATTCACCTGGGAATGTGCTGGACACTCAGAGGGACAGACGAAGGTAGGCAGTGTTGCCTGCTGGACACAGGTGGGCTCTGGGTTCCGAGGGCTCTGGGTGGAATTATGCTGCCGCCACCACTGGCTCTGGAACATGGGGTAAGTTAGGTCACGTCCCTGGTGTCCATTTTCTCAAAGAGAGATGAATGTTTCCCTCCCAGGTAGCTGGTGTTTATGAAGAAGCTGTGATGGGATGATGGACAGGGGCAGCTCGCTCTGTGCTGGGGCACAGGATTGATGGCGCCCACTGACAGCATCCGCCGAGCGTTTCCTGCGTGCCCGGCCCTGCCCCCAGAGCTTCCTGCGCATTTCCTCACAAATCCGCATGAACACCATCTGGGTAGTTACTGTTATTCATATTTCATAGATGAAGAAATCTAGGAGTTGGTGTTCCTGCCTTTAAATATATCACTTCTGTGTATTTAGGGAGTCAAAGTGGATACACTCAAAAGAGGACCCTGCAAGGGGTTTGCTGCAACACGAAAGGGAAGGACACCACCCTGGAGGTGCAGGGAGCTCGGACTCAGCTCCAGCTCTCCCCCTGCCTGCTGTGTGCATCTTGGCATGGCTGGAGGTTGCTGCATCTCCCTTGCCCATCAGGACTAGCTTCCCTGGGCTGCCGTAATAGGCCACCACAGACTGAGGGGTGAGAAGTTCAAGATCAAGACATCTAAGGGCCATGTCCCTCCCAAGGCCCCAGGAGAGGACCCTTTCTGCCTCTCCAGCTTCTGGAGGCCCCAGGTGCTCCTTGGCTTGTGGCCACATCGCTCCCATCTCTGCCTCCCTCCTCACACACTCCTTCCCTGTGTGGCTGTGTCTTCATGTGGCATATTCCGTGTGTCTGTGTCCACAGTTCTCTATTCCTGTAAAGACGCTTGGCATTAGAGTGGGGCCCATCAATCCAGTGCAAGCTCATCTTAACTTGATTGTTCCTGCAAAGAACCTGCTTCCGAATTAGCAAATTCGGTTCCAGCAGTCAGGATGTGAACACATCACTGGGAGGACAGAATCTGACCTGCCACAACATGCATTGCATCAGAAAGTCATTGATGCCTCCCATGGCTCTTACGAGATTAAATGAGATCATAGAGAGGAGGCTGAAGTTGTCTTGCTCTTGCAGTTCTGTGTAAGAAGAATCTACTGAATGTTGAGAAGTGTGTTGGGATAAGCATGTGCTGTGATGAAGCGCATCATAACTGCTTGGCTAGTGAGAGCTCCCGGAAAAAAAACTGGCACAGAAGTCGCCTAGGAGAAAGGGGATCTTCCTCACCTGAACATCGGGCCACTGCTTCTGCTTATTCCCCGTCCTCAGCGAGGGGCTCCTCCCACAACTCAGTCAGCGCCGGCCTCCTGAGTCAAGTGGGGCCAGATTCCTCCAGGGCGTCCGCTGGACATGCTCAATGCGTTATGAAAATGCCCCTTTCTTAAGGAGAGCACTGAGCAGGCTGGCTGAGGCTCCACATAGACAGTGGTTTGCAAGTGCTGCCCAGAGTCAAGAGCAACATCTAAGCCCTTAGACACAGAGGTCTCATCATCCCTGGGAGGAGCCTGGGCTGGCGTCCATCTGTCCCCATGGGCTGGTGCCCACTCACAGATGGATGTAAAGCCAGCTCCGGTACCCAGATCCCCATGACTCATATGGGCGTCCACACCCCACAGCCGGTCTCCCTGTCAGGCCCTGCTGAGCTAGCAAGGAAGTCCAGCACTTTGGAGGGTCGCAGAGGACAAATCTTTGTCTTCAGAAAGTTTATCAGGGAAAACACTGCATTTGGGAATAGAGGTGGGACCCAGGGAGGGTAACAGAGGAGGAACCGGACCCTGCGCCAGCCCCGAAGTGGCAATGGGGAGGGCAGTAGGGAGCAGAGGAGCTCAGCTACATGCAGCACAAGCTGGGCACATGCTGTGTGTTCTGCCGCTGTGCACAGCACACACTCTGCCGTAAATACAGAGGCAAATCCTGCCACAGTAGCTTCCCCTCAGTGCTTTATTCACTCTGTACCCACAGTCCAGTTATCAGCTCAAAGCCAGGCTAACAGACTTTGTAAGACTTGGCAGCTTCTATTGCAGAGGGCTGCTTGTACTCCCTTTCCCTGGGCTTTGTTGAGTGTCTATTTTGTGCCAGCCAGCATGCCAGACGTCCAGAGCTTGCAAATGAACACCAGGTTCCCAATGCACCAAGGCTGTGTGTTTGAAGGTCAACAGAATCCAGCGTGACCTGCACCCCACCAGGTGTGCAGCAGTGCTCAGTTGGAGGGGCCAGTCCCCAGTTCTGTGACAGGGATGAGGGACCCGCTGGACAAGATGTGTCTTGGGTCACTGCTCTCCAGATATGTGTTGTCCTGTTAGAGAAATGGAATGAAATCCTGGTGTCTGGGGATGGGGTGAGGAATTTTATAATGTTATGAAACTAGAAAGGATCTCAGGAATCACTGAAGGCTCCTCGCTCATTACAGAGTTCACAAACCTGGCAGCCAAAGGGATGAAAATAAATTCAAAGGCTCAGGTTTAGAACAAAACCCAGGCTTCCCTAAATCAAATAGAGTGAATTTATGTCACCCCATGCGCTGCTGGAGAACAGATGCTCCTGGAAGAGGTACTTGGACAGAAGGAGCCACAGCCAAAGACTGAGGGCAGCAATCCGCACCCAGAAGGCTCTCGGTGAATTTCCTGCACACACACAGATGAGCAAACAGGCTCGTGAGTGGATTCCACCAAAGTGGGCCTGTGTCCTCACTCCTGAAACCCACAAGCATGACCTTTTGGGAAAAGGGTCTCTGTGGATTAAGGATCTGTAGATGAGATCATTCCTGACAAACTGGGTGGGCCTTAAATATAATAAATGTTCTTAGAGACAGAAGAGGAGGCCACGTGAAGATGGAGGCAGAGATTGGAGCTGTAGGGCTACAGCCAAGGCATTCCTGGGGTCCCCAGGAGCTGGAAGAGGCAGGAGGTGGATTAGGCAGCTCAGGCTGTTGTAACAAAATGCTGCCGACTGGGCAGCTTCAACAACAGACATATATTTCCCACCATCCAGGAGCCTGGGAAGTCCAAGGTCAAGGTGCTGTCAGGGATGTTTTCCAGTGAAGCCTACTTCCTGGCTTGGAGATGGTACCTTCCTTCTATGTGCTCACACGGTTTGTATGTGCCTGGAGACAGACAGCTCTAGTGTCCCTCCCTCTCCTTGTAAGGTCACAGTCCTATTGGATTAGGACCCCACCCTTATGACTTCACTTAACTTAATTACCTCCATGAAGGGCCCACCTCCAAATAGTGTCACGTGGGGGTGGGGCTTCGACCTAGAAATTTTGGGTAGACACAATTTAGTCCATTTCCGAAGGATCCTCCTCTAGGGCCTTCAGAGAGAGCATGGCCCTGCCAGCACCTTGATCCTAGACTTCTGGCCTCCAGAACTGGGAGAGGACACATTTTTCTTGTTTTGAGATTGGCAGTATGTGGTCCTGCGTTGCAGCAGCCCCAGAACATTAGTGCAGCCACAGTGGTGTCCGGATCCTCCTGCCGTTCTTTCATGGCTCGGCCCGGCCACTGCACATCTGCTTGTTGGGGAAAGAAAAGAAAGTGAATGGGATGATGTGAAGGGAAGATGGTTTCAACTTCGACCAGCATGGACATGATTTGCAATTAAACGATTGTCTCCCTTGTAAACTTACTAATTTTGTGCAGGGCGGCCATGGCCAACTGCAAAAAGTTCTGTTTTGCAAAAAGACAAGAGGAAAGAGAGAAGTTAAGGCTGCCAGTGAATGACCTGTTTTCCTACCTTTAAATGCTATACATTGTTCCTTATAGTAGGAATATATTGTGTTTTTTAAATTATATTGTGAACTACTCCTTTTTTATAATTATCATTTTAGGAAAGCAAGTAAAAGATGCCCATGGGTTCGTTAAACTAGAAAAATGTGACTTAATCTTCCTTCCCCTGCCGTAACTCCTAGAAGCCACCCCAGCCACATTTCCTCTCTCCATTACTCCAAATTTGATTTGAAGGGCAGTCTGTTCACCTTCCCCAGGTGATGCTCATCGGAGCTGAGTGGTCACCAGCTAAGAGGGGCTTGGTTCTTTTCCTCGTCTTTCCATCAAACTCTTCTTTTCCTCCCTCACCACACAAAGTGCGTGTGTTTCATCCTTCTAGTGCTGAAGCATTGCCCTTGCCTGCAATGTCTTGAGTCTAGGTGAGCAGCTCTCCCATCTGACTGCTCCCTTGTTGTCTCCCAGCCTGGAGCTCGATGGAGTCTCCATCTTTTCTATCACGTCTTCTTGCACCGGAGCTATAATGATCCCATGACAGCTTGGCTCGTGCATGGCTGTTTGTGATTCATAGGAAGCATGCGTGTATTCTTTCCCTGGATAACTCAGGAATACAGGATGATTCCAATGAAACAATAACTCATCACTCTGCTGCCGTCAGAGCTCCTAAAGAGCCACCTCCCCCCACCAACCCCTGTGAAACATATCACAATACTATGACCTAGACACAGAGCAGTCAGAAGGGGTAATCCCAGGGGTGGATGTTTACAGCAGAATAGTGACGAAGTACAAAACCACATTCCAGGTTGATGTGGTCTTAGGCAGGTCCCCCGCCTCCCCCTTGCTGCTAGAAGAAGCAAATCTTCAGAGGAAAAACAGTCCTAATTTAGGGCCACAGGACAATCCCAGCCAGAGTCACAACAATGTCCACCAAGAAAGTGACCACGCATAGAAGTCAGGGGAAACTACAAGGAAAATGTATATTCCCAAGGTTTGCAAACACCGGAATTTTCAGATGGCATACAGTAGAGGTGTACATAGATATTCAGAGAAATAGAAGATATAATTACAAAAATGAACAGGCAACAAGAGGCTTGTGGATAAATTTGAAAATAAATACAAAAATTTTAAACTAGAGCTACCACGTGATCCCACCTCTGGGTACACAACCAAAGGAAATGAAATCAGTGTCTGAAAGTGATAGCTGCACCCTCATGTTCATTGCAGCATTAACATTATTATGTAGAAGAGGTGTAAATTGCAGCATTAATATTATTACGTAGAAGAGGTGTAAACAACCTCCATGTCCATCAACAGATGAAAGGACAAAGAAAATACAGCAGACACATAGAATGGAATATCACTCAGCCATAAAAAAGGAAATCCTGCCATTTATGACAATACAGATGAACCTGGAGGATATTCTGCTAAGTGGAATAAGCCAGGCGCAGAAGGGCAAATACTACATGATCTCACTCACATGTGGAATCTAAACAGGTTGAACTCATAGAAGCAGAGAGGAGGACTGTGGTTGCTAGCGGCTGGGAGTGGGGAAATGTTGGTCAGGTGCTATAAAATTTCGGTTCTAAGATGAATAGGTTCTGGGGGTCTAATGCACAGTGTGGTGACTATGGTTAATAATACGCTATTGTGTAGGCCAGGCAGTGGCTCCTATGTGCAATACCAGTGCTTTGGGGGCTGAGGCAAGAGGATTGCTTGAGACCAAGTGTTGGAGGCTGTAGTGAGCTAAGATGGCCATTGCACTCCAGCCTCGGTGACAGAGCAAGATCTTGTCATCATCATCATAATCATACTATATTGTATACTTGAAATTTGCCAAGAGCATAGATCTTAAGTGTCCTCAATACACATACACACACACACACACACACACACACACAACTGGTAACTATGTGAGATGATGAATGTGTTAGTTAACTTTATTATCATAATCATTTCATAATGTATACTTACATCAATGTGTCATGTTGTAGATCTTTGATATATATTGTTTTTATTTATCAACTATACCTCAAGAAGCTGAAAAAATATAAAAGGAACTCCTAAAAATTAAAAAACTCTATTTTTTATTTATAATAAATATTTACATAATAAAATTGATTTATTTTATATATAATATATATTAAGTCTGTGTGATTTGTTAAACTAAAAATTATAAATAACTCAGTGGATGAATTAAATGTCCAGTGAGTCATGATTATAAAAAAAGAAAGAAATTAAAGATATGTCAAAAAAGTTTATAGAAAGGAGAAGATATGAATTGTAATTTGAGACATAAAGGGCAAAAAAGAAGAGAAGGCCTCACATACTGTCAAAGTCCAGAAAAGAGGAGAGAGAAAAATGGAAGAAAAGCAATCTGAAGAGCTAGTGCCTACAAATTTTCTAGAAATGATTAAAAGCATGACACATGCCTGTTTCAGGATGCACCATGTATTCTCTGCATGAAGACTTACTGAAATCTTTGCCTACTCTCATTTTAGCAAAACTGCAAAACATCAAAGGCAAGGAGAAGATGTTAAGGAGAAAGAAAGGAATGACAATTAGAAAGCTAGGAGAACCCTCAAGAGCAACCATGAAAGACAATGAAACAATATCTTCAAGACGTTGATGGAAGAGCATTTTTATTCAGCCAAACTGTCTTTTCAGTACAAGAAAAAGAAATGCTGTTAAATAAATAAGAGAGATATTTCACCAAGAGTTCTAAACGAAAGAACTTTCTGAAGGATATGCTTCTGAGAAAAGAAAAATAATCTCCAAAGAAGCTTCTAAAATAAAAACAAATGGTAAGTATATAAAATGGAAAACAAATGTGTAACTCAAAATGAACACCGCTTCTATAAATTAAGAATAAGAACAATGATTAACGTAGGTGTTAAAAAGAGGAGATACCTTGAAATTATTGAGAAAGATCATATGAGCAAAGTGATGGTAATTAACGATAATTTTTTTTCTGGAAGAATGTTAAGGTATTTTTTTTGTTTTATTTTCCTTTTTATTTTTTAACTTTTAAGTATAGGAGTATGTGTGCATGTTTGTTATATAGGTAAACTAGTGTTGTGAAAATTTGCTGTACAGATTATTTTGTCGCCCAGGTATTAAGTCTAGTATCCATTACTTATTTCTCCAGGTCCTCTCTTTTCTCCCACCCTCCACTCTCTGATAGGCCCCAGTGTCTGTTATTGCCCTCTATGTGTCCATGTGTTCAAATCATTTAGCTCCCACTTATAAGTAAGAACATGCAGTATCTGGTTTTCTGTTTCTGTGTTAGTTTGCTAAGGATAATAGCCTTTGGCTCCATCCATGTTCTTGCAAAGGACACGATCTTGTTCATTTTTATGGCTGCATAGTATTCCATGGTGTATCTGTACCACATTTTCTTTACCCAGTCTACTATTGATAGAATTTAGGTTGATTCCATGTCTTTGCTATTGTCAATAGTGCTGAAATGAACATACATAAGCGTATATCGTTATGATAGAATGATTTAGATTTCTTTAGGTATATACCCAATCACGACATTGCTGGGTTAAGTGGTAGTTCTGTTTCTAGGTCTTTAAGCAATTGCCAGACTGTTTTCCACAATGGTTCAATTAATTTACACTCCCACTAACAGTGTGTAAGTGTTCATTTTTCCCTGCAACCTCACCAGCACCTGTTACTTTTTGACTTTTCAATAATAGCCATTCTGACTGGTGTGTGATGGTATCTCTCTGAAGTTTTAAATTGCATTTCTCTAGTGATCAGTGATGTTGAGCTTTTTTTCATATGCTTGTTGGTAGCATATATGTCTTCTTTTGAAAAGTGTCTGTTTCTGTCCTTTGCCCACTTTTCAATGGGGTTATTTGTTTTGTTCTTATAAAGTTGTTTAAATTCCTTACAGATGCTGAATATTAGTCCTTTGTCAGATGCATAGTTTGCAATTCTTTTTCCCATTCTTGAGATTGTCTGTTTACTCTGTTGATAGTTTCTTTTGCTGTGCAGAAGCTCTTTAATTAGATTTCATTTGTCAATTTTTACTTTTGATGCAATAGCTTTTGGCATCTTTGTCATGAAACCTTTGCCTGTTCCTATGTCCAGAGTGGCATTGCCTAGGTTATTTTGCCAGGTTCTGTAGTTTCTTCAATTCTAGATATTATATTGAATTTGCATAGCAATTACCAAGGTTAGTTAAAATAAAAATAGATTGTACAAATTTTATATCAGTAGAGTGCAAAACAGAAAATAGGGCAGAGTAAAAATCTAGCCTAAATAAAGAAAAAGATAGAAAAAAAGGAGACAAAAAAAGTCCAGAGCAGACAGAATGCAAAATGGTAAGATGATAGAGACAGCTCCAAATGTGCTGGTGATCCAAATACCTCCAAATGAAGTAAGCTCACCAATTGAGACAGACCTTGTGGTATAATTGTATCTGTGTCATTGCCCAAACATCATGTCAAATTGTAATCCCCAATGTTGAAGGTGGGGTCTGGTGGGAGATGATGGGATCATGGGGTTATATTTCCCCCTTTGGTACTGTTCTTGTGATAGAGTTATCATAAGATAAGGTTGTTTAAAAGTGTGTGATACCTCCTTCCTCTCTGTCTTTCTTTCTGCTTCAGCCATGTGACATGCCTTCTCCCCCTTCACCTTCTACCATGACTGAAAGTTTCCTAAGGCCTCCCCAGAAGCAGAAGCTGATATGCTCTCTGTACAGCCTGCAGAATTGTGAGCCAATTAAACCTCTTCTTTTTAATAAATTACCCAGTCTCAGGTATTTCTTTATAGCAATGTGAGGATGGAATAATACAGAAAATTGGTGCTGAGTAGTGGGGCATTTCTGTAAAGACACCTGAAAATGTGGAAGCAGCTTTGGAACCGGGTAATAGGCAGAGGTTGGAAGAGTGTGAGGGACACAGAAGAAGACAGGAAGATGAGGGAACATTTGGAATTTCCCAGAGACTTGTTAAATTGTTGTGACCCAAATGTTGATAGTGATATGGATAATGAAGTCCAGGCTGAGGAGGTCTCAGATGGAAATCAGGAACTTACTGAAACTGGAGCAAAGATTGCTTTTGTTATGCATTAGCAAAAAAAGCTTGGAGTCATTGTGCCCATGCCCTAGGGATTGTAGAACTTTGAACTTGAGAGTAATGATTTAGGGTATCTGAGAGAAAGGAGAAATTTCTAAGCAATGTTCAAGAAGTGGCCTGGCTGCTTCTAAAAGTGTATGCTCATATGCATGAGCAAAGAATGGACTGAAATTGGAACTTATATTTAAAGGGGAAGCATAGTGCAAATGTTTGGGAAATTTGCAGCCAGGCCACGTAGTAGAAAAGAAAAGCGCATTTTCCAGGGGAGGATTTCAAGCAGGCTACATAAATTTGCATAAATAAAATGGAGCCAAGTACAGATAGCCAAGACAATGGGAAAAAGGCCTTGAAGGCATTTCAGAGACCTTCCAGAAAGCCCCTCCCATCACAGACCCAGAGATCTAGGATAATAGTAAGGCTTTGTGGGCCAGGCCCAGGGCTCTGCTGCACTGCACAGCCTTGGGACTCTGCTCCCTGCATCCCAGCCACTCCAGCTTCAACTTCAGCTCAAAAGGCCACAAGTATAGCTTGGGCCACTGCTTCAGCAGGTGCAAGATATAAGCCTTGGTGGCTTCCACATGGTGTTAAGCTTGTGGGTGCTCAAACTATAAGAGTTGAGGCTTGGGAGCTTCCACTTAGATTTCAGAGGATGTATGGAAAAGCCTAGATGTCCAGAGAGAAGCCTGCTACAAGGGCAGAGCCCTTGTGGAGAACCTCTGCTAGGACAGTGTGGAGGGGAAGTATGGTGTTAGAGCTCCAACAAAGAGTCCCCATAGTGGCACTGCCTAGTGGAGCTGTGAGAAAAGGGCCACTGTCCTCCAGACCCCAGAATGATAGGTCCACTGACAGCTTGCACTTTGTGCCTGGAAAAGCTGCAGATACTTAATGCCCAGCTTATGAGAGCAGCCACCAAGGCTGAACCCTGGAAAACTACAGGAGTGGAGTTGCCCAAGGCCTTGGGAGCCCACCCCTTACATCAGTGTGGCCTGGATATGAGACATGGAGTCAAAGGAGATTATTTTGGAGTTTTAAAATTTAGTGACTGTCCTGCTGAGTTTCGTTCGGATTTCATGGGGCCTGTAACCCCTGTCTTTTGGCTTATTCCTCCCATTTGGAATGGTTATATTTACCCAATGCCTGTACCCCAATTGTATCTTGGAAGTAACTAACTTTTTATTTTAGTTTCATAGGTGGAAATGACTGGCTTTGTCTCAGATGAGGCTTTAGACTTAATGCTGGAATGAAGACTTTGGGGTACTGTTGGGAAGGCATGGTTGTATTTTGAAATGTGAGGACATGAGATTTGAGAGGTGTCAGGTTTGGATTTGTGTCCCTGCCCAAATTTCATGTCGAATTGTAATCCCCATTGTTGGAGGTGGGGCCTGGTGGGAGGTGATTGGATTATTGTGGAGGATTTTGCCCTCCGGTGCTGTTCTTGTCATAGAGTTCTCATGAGACCTGGTTGTTTAAGAGTGTGTGGCCCCTCCCTGCCCTCTCTTTTCCTCCTGCTCTGGCCAAGTAAAGTGCTTCCTCCCCCTTTGTATGTTTCCTGAGGCCTCCCCAGAAGCAGAAACTGCTATGCTTCCTATACGGCCTGTAGAACTGTGAGCCAATTAAACCTCTTTTCTTCATAAATTACTCAGTCTCAGGTATTTCTTTATAGCAATGTGAGAACAGCCTAATACACGTTGTTAGTTTGGATTATTTTTTGTCATGTAAACAATTTTTATTTTTTTGGCTTTGATACTTTTATAGAGGGACCACTTATGAAACCCACTTAGGTGTCTGACCTCTGTTGCCTTAGGCTGTCTGCCGAAATGTCTACTTAACATTCTGTTACCATACTGTGACCAGTGGCAGCATCACTCACCACCATCATCACCATCACCACCGTCATCTACTCATGGGCTGGGTTCACGTCAGTAGCTCTCTCTGGTGGGAGTCAGAGAAACAATGTAGCCCTGGTGATGCTTCCTGAGCACTCATGTTCTAATTTTACAGCCAAGAGAACTGGGGAGGATTAGAACCTGCACCTCTCTGCCTCTGCCAGGCTTCTTCTGTCAAGGGATGTGGGATGAGTCAGCTTGGCTGTGTTATGCCGGGTAACAAGCAAACTCTGAAATCTCTGTGATGCTGCAAAACTAAAGCCTATGTTTCATTTATGCAAAGTCAGCTGCACCTCTCCAGGCTCTAGGGAATGCTCCCTTCCACCTGGCCCCTCAGGATCCAGGGGCTCTTGATGTGGTAGTCCATGTGGGCAGCTGCCCTGGGGAAGAAGTTTGCAGAGGGACTCAGCCTGGCTGGGACTGTCAGCTGCACCCTCAGCCCGTTGGCCAGAACCACACAACATGGCTGGGACCAGTGACAGGGGTTACCCTTTATTCACCTGCCTTCCATTCAGCACATCACGAACCAGTGCTCATCCCTCCCTAATTATTTGGAACAAAAATGCAGGACCACTCAGTTTATCTCCTGAAGATAGACCCTCATTGGCTCTGCCTGACTATAAATTAAAATCTGAATCATTTCTCCTATTTCTCCTGGGATTCTAGTTCTGTCATGCCCTCTCACCAATAACTTCATTTCAAAACCACTTATTGAGCACCTGCTGTTAGCTGACAGCTACCCCTATGCTCACTGAAGGGCCCCATGGGCCTGCAACCATTGGGGGAGGTCTCAGAACTTGTCAGGTGCCTGAGGACAAGCAGATACAGGTAGTTATTCTCCTTCTAGATGCTGTCCAGCCCACGAAGCTCAGCCCCTCCTATGCTGTCCATTCTCAGAGTGGGCCTGTTCCTGTCAATGCACCTACATCTCATCTGCTCCAGCAACACCTAATTAGGTGTTCATTTTGTCCTGGGAGATGGCTCTGTATTATCTCCTTGGCTCACTCTGAGGTCATACTGCAGCTTTTACGTTTTCCTTCAGTACTGTGAGCTCTTGCCAGGGAGGTTTTTAAGTAGATTTAGGTAGATATAACTTTGGGTCCTGGATTAAGTCACATTTTCCATTGTCTTTTCTGCATTGTATACCACTATTTCCTGGTAATAAGATCCAGACGTCAAAGAATCCCAGGGTAGTACTGCTGTACTAGCCTAAGCATTAATATTAAAGAGCTGTTATCTTTCCAGGGTCACATGGCATATATGAAAAACAGGCATATTATTTCATTTATCCTTTCAACAATTTTTCAAGGTTAGATTATTAATTTCTCCATTTTATGGATGGAAAAATTAAAGCTCAGGGATTTTTCAGTAAACTGCCTGAGACTGCACAAGACCAGGATTCAAATTTGTATCTCCATGACCTTCAATCTCTTCCCCTATTCTTCAGTATCCTCCAGCCAGCCAGCCAGCCAGCCACTCATCCATCCAGCCAGCAAATATAAATTAGGGGACAAAGGCACTTAGGGCAATGTCAGGAGCTAAGAGGAAACGAACAGGCTTAGTTGATGAACTGTACTCTCAGGGTGACTGGTCTAAGTGAGGAGATGAGACCTAAGTAGAGGAGAAAGCTGAATGATGGCCTCCAAGGAGTCAGAGGCTGGTTCTTCTTCAATGACATGTGAACACGTCCTGCTGATGGTTAGGGCTAAGATCTCCCAGGCAAGGCATACTCCACAGAGCAGACTGCCGAAGCAGGGGTGTCTAGAATGAAGGCTTGGATATAAGTGAGATCTGATCAGGTGCCGGGAGTACCCACTGCCATACTGCCACATTGAAAAAAAAATACATATGTATAGCATACATATATGTAACGTATATAGTTGTTGTGATGGTCAATATTGAGTGTCTACTTGATTGGACTGAAGGATGAGAAGTACTGTTCCTGGGTGTGTCTGTGAGGGTGTTGCCAAAGGAGATTAACATTTGAGTCAGTGGACTGGGAAAGGCAGATCCACCCTCAGTCTTGGTGGGCACCATCCAATCAGCTGCCAGCATGGCTAGGATAAAAGCAGGCAGAGGAACGTGGAAAGACTAGACTGGCTGAGTCTTCCGGCCTCCATCTTTCTCCCGTGCTGGATGGTTCCTGCCCTTGACCATCAGACTCCAAGTTCTTCAGCTTTTGGACTCTTGGACTTACACCAGTGATTTGCCAGGGGTGTTCAGGCCTTTCAGTACAGACTGAAGGCTGAACTGTTGGCTTCCCGACTTTTGAGGTTTTGGGACTCAGACTGGCTTCCTGGCTCCTCAGCTTGGGGACAGCCTATTGTGGGACTTCACCTTGTGATTGTGTGAGTCAATTCTCCTAATAAACTCCCCTTCATAGATTCATCTATCTTATTAATTCTGTCCCTCTAGAGATCCCAGACAAATACAGTTATTGTATGTAAACACACATACAACATATAATAGGATATTGTGTACACGATTGACCCTTGAACAACACAGGTTTGACTGGCATGGGGCCCTTTAAACATGGATATTCTCCCACATCTGCCACTCCAGACATAGCAAAACCAACTCATCTTTCTTCCTCCTCCTTCTCAGCCCACTCAATGTGGAGAAGACAAAGAGGAAAACCTTTATAATGATCCTCTTCTACTTATTAAATAGTAAATATATTTTCTCTTTCTTATGATCTTCTTAATAATGTTTTCTCTTCTCTAGCTTAATGTTATCATTAAGGCCTTTGGCCAACAGTGGGCTATTAGTAGTTAAGTTTTATGGGAGTGAAAAATTACAGGCAGAATTTTTACTGTGCAGGGGCTTTGATGTCCCTAATCCCTATGTTGTTCAAGGGCCAACTGTGCAAAATCATATAGTACATATTATATATAATCTATAATAACATAGTGCATAATATATGTATATTGTATTATAGATATATTTCCATGTGATGATTCATCTATAGAGAAATATATGGAGCATAACAAGGCATGAGTGTGTGTAGGGGCTGCAGTAGCTGCTCTGTGTCCAGATCAGCTGCCTTTGGTGTTCACTAAGCAGTTTATGGAGCACTTACTGTGTGACAAACACTTGCCCTAAACAAGCTCTTCCCTTCCTTTAAAGCATTAGGAAAAAATAAACACAGAATCAAACAATGACACACTCGCAGGAAGGCTGCTCTTGCACTGATGTGCAGAAGATGTGAAGGAATTCATCAGGAAAGCAAGTCCCATTGGCTGAGTGACAGGGAAGGGCCTCAGCTTAGGTCGGCCTGGGAGAGTGGGGGCCCTGGCAGTGGGCAGGGACAGAGACAGGCAGTGTGGATTGGGGATGGGGGAGCGCTGTGCTCAGTTAGTGAGCCTGGGAATAGAGTGCTGGATATGGGACAGGGGGACAGAGAGAAGATGGGGGCCAGGTCATGGGAGCCTGTTAGAAAACATTCACCAATCCAACTCCCCCATTTGGCCAATACGGAAGGATGCAGAGAGATGTATCAGAGTGGCCACCTCACCCAGCCCTTCTCCAGAGCCCTGCAGCCACCCCACAGCAGGTGCAGAAAGCAGGATAAAGATGGCAGGGCCCAGACACCACCATTGTCATATGTCTGAGTTTTGCAACAACCTGGAGTGGACATGGCCTCTCTCCTGGGAGAACTGAGAAAGCATCCCGTGTGGAAGCTGGTCCCTCAGCATGGGCAGGCCACACAGACACAGGCCAGTGCCCAGAGTGCTGAGGGTGCCAGGAGAGGGGCAGGGGCAAGCTCCACCTGGGCCTGAAGATGTCATCTGTCGGGTCTTGGCAGGCAGCCTCCCTGGGTACAATGGCCCTCTCTGTGTGAAAGGCAAGTGAGCAATTGTTATCTTCAGCCCAGGATCATGACTGCATCTCTTTAATGTTATTTAAAGGTTAAATAAAGTCATTTAAAAGTATTTAAAGTCCAGTTTCCCGGTTCCTAACTAAAGTGTCTGGCTCACCCATGGATCTTGGATTTCACCACGTAGGGTCTGGAAATGCTTGTTTTAATGCCTACAGAGAAAAAAAAAAAACCCAACATAAGTCCAGTGGGGTCTGGATGAGCAAGTTCTCCTTTAAATAGCTGCCCCTTGCCCACCCCTTATCTCAGTGCCACAAGCAATGCTGAGGCAAGAAGAACCTCTCCTTTAAAGCCTGATGCCTTGGAGCTTTCCTGAGAGGCAGTTCTCAGTCAGCCCTCATCAAAAGCATCTAAACATGACCTCTGTTCAAAACACACTCCCCAGACGAGAAAATCTGGGGAAAGCTCAGGAATGTGCATTTTCAACAAGCTCCTTGGTGATGCCAAGGCAGCCTAAGCCTGGAATTGTGATTTAGAGTCAAGGGTGAGCTGAAATGCCTGTGCAGAGCAATAGCATTTGGTCTTAAGGCATCTGTTCAGCCCTTTGTCCCATCCTCCTCATCCTCGGGCAGCCTGAGATCTGTCCACATGAGGTACCACAAAGGGACCACCAATGTCTGCAGGAGAGAGAAGCTGATGGATGTTCTGGATAGACCTTTGGAAATCTATGAAAACACAATTGTCTTGAAAGCAACACTTTCCTTTATAGGAACCAGGTTTTATTTTGTGATAAAAATGGATTTATGGATTATAACATGCTAGGCCTTAGAGAACTGGGCATAGATTTTTATATCATAAGACCCAAGGTAGGCAGAAACAGTTGATGTCCTGTGAGCTGCACTCCCACTGAAAGAGATGTAAGAGTTTCAACAGCAGGCACAGCTGGAGCTCCAGACACCTCGCGGGTCCATGACAAAGGGCCTGGAGGCCCTTCCTGGAGACCTCCCTTTGGGCACATGGCAAGGTTCTGCAGAAACACTGGCAGAAAGCATAGATTAAGAGCAGAACCTGAGGAGAGTGAACTTTTGTCTCACCACTTAATGAATAGTCTAGGAACTGTGAATCTCAAGGAAAAGACCTTTATTCAACATGGCACCAGAGAGATAGGGTAGCGATGGCCGAGCAAGATGGTTTTGGGGGCTGGACCATTTGCAAACTCCTCAAACTACTGCACATTCCATAGTGGAGGAAAAAAGCAGAAAGCGGCCAAGGCCCACCCCTCCACCACAAAAAGAATGGAGTACCCGAGCCAATGGGGAGAATGGGAGAGAACCCGAGCTGGAGGATACAGAATGGACTGGCCTTGGGACTGCAGGCCACCGCAGGACCGTGCATTTCCACAGTGGTTGCCCGTGCACCAAGACCGCAATCCTGGTTAACATGCACCCCTGAGCTTGAGTCCACAGTGTAGAGAATGTAGCCCATGGTCCTGGTGCCTACCTCCCCAACCCAGGACAATGCCAGGGCATGAATCACTGAGGAGGACAGAGCAGAAGAGTGATGGGGAGAGCCATTGAACTGTTGGGGAGAGCATTCACCCTGAAAAAGTGAGGTTCAAGTTTGAAGGAGTTGAATCACCTTGCATTGCTGGGAAGTTCATGATCTTTCTGCTGCCGATAGAAGTGGGGGCTTGTGCACTTCATGCAGTTCAGTTTTAGAGAAATACAATCATTTGCATCTTTGCAAATCCTCCTTTCAGAAATGTACATTTTTAACTGATTGCCCTTGTACCTAAAACTACTTACAAGCTGTAAAAATGGTATATGTCCCCCCGCACTGCATCCCCCATAAACCACCCCATCAAGAAAGAGAAACATTGCCCCAAGCTGAAAGTATCAGTGATAGTTTTTGGAGGGTGCAGCGCTTTAGAAGCAGCATTTTTTCAAGTTAAGTTAGAGACGTTAAATACCGTTAGAATCCACGTCCACCCCTATCCATGTCCGTGAGGACTGATTCCTCAGTGGGAGATGAAACTGATGTCATGAGAAGGATCAGGTTCAGGGTCAGCTCCTGGGTCTGCCGGGTGACTGACCTTGGTTTTCTCATCCGTAAAACGTGAACATTGCTGCCTAAGGAGTTTCAGGGATTCACAGATGATCTACGTAAAGGCACACCTGTAAACTGCAGGTGTGCACATCTGAAGATATGAGTGAGGCACCCCCTCCTGTATGACTTAGATGCAACCACCATCCATGCTTCCCTGTGACTCCTGTGAGACCCACGGGGGACCCCTGCTGTGCTGTGACAAGTGTTCACACTGACCTTTCCCCTTTTCCTGAACTTGCTGACAGGCCAGACCCAGGCCCCACCTTCACTTCTGTGTCTCAAGAGTGATTGCCTGAGATTACAATTGCTTGTCCCCTAAAACTGGCTAGACACAGAGACAAACGTTTCCCCATCAGACCTCCCCTGACTGCAGAACAATCCCAAGAGCAAATCACTCAGCTGCGACCTGCCTGTGCCTCCCTATGAAAGTGCGGCAAAGCCACCCTGCTGAGACCTTGAACTTGGATCTGGGGTGCTCCCCTTATCGCAGTAAGCTAAGGACATTATCTCCTGTCTTGTGCAGTTTTAAAGTTTGTCAACATCTATAGCTACATTCATATCTCTATCTTTCTATCTAATCTCTATCATCCACCTATCTACCTATTGTCTATCTATCATCTGTCTAATTAGCTCTTCACTCACTGTGTATACAAATAGGCTATGGGTTGGAGCTGATCGTTGGGTACCCGTGTATCATTTATCTATCTAATCTCTGTTGTCTATCTATGTATCTATCTACCTACCTACCTACCAACCTATCATCTGTCTACTCATCTAACCTCTGTCTGTCATCTATCTAGTCTCTGTTGTCTGTCATCTATTTATCATACATGCGTATGTACACACACATACCCACACATATATAGTATTTGTGCCCGTCTAGTCATTTTCAATATATAATCTTTTTTTTTTTTTTTTTGAGATGAAGTTTTGCTCTTGTTGCCCAGGCTGGAGCGCAATGGCGTGATCTCGGCTCACTGCAACCTCCGCCTCCTGGGTTCAAGTGATTCTCTTGCCTCAGCCTCCTGAGTAGCTGGGATTACAGGCATGTGCCACCAGGCTCAGCTAATTTTGGAAATTTTATTTTATTTTATTTTATTTTATTTTATTTTATTTTATTTTATTTTATTTTATTTTATTTATTTATTTTTTTAGTAGAGATGGGGTTTCTCCATGTTGGTCAGGCTGGTCTCGAACTCCTGACCTCAGGTGATCTGCCTGCCTCGGCTTCCCAAACTGCTGGGATTACAGGCGTGAGCTACCATGCCTGGCCCTACATAATCTTTTTCCAACTTGATGTTTCCTTGGTTTGGGGCATGAAAGAGAATGTAGCTTAAAGCTGATCCTAAATGTTCGCTGCTCCAGATGTGGCCCACGGACAGCAAGCACCGGCATTGCTGGGATAGAGGTCAGAAGACATTCCCTGTGAAGGACCACATCATAAATATTTCAGCTTTTCTGGGCCACACAGGGCCTCTGTTGTTTGGTCTCCTTTTTTTTTTTTTTTTCAATCCTTTAAAAATATAAAAAGCCATTCTTAGCTTGCTGTGTACACACACAGGCTAGGAGCTGGGGCTGGTCCTCGGGTGGGTGGCAGTCCGTGGAGTCCTGACCTAGGAGGCGGTTAGAAATGTGGAATCACAAGCCTTTGCCTACCTCTACTGAAGCAGAATTTGCATTTTAACAAGAGGCCCAGGAGATTTGTGTGCACATTAAAGTTTGAGAAGCAAACAACTTATTAATCCATGTCAACTAAGGTAGAGGCTGATTTTCATATTTGTCATTTATAAATTGATTTCATTGAGATATTTAGTACCTCCTTTGCTGCAATCTGTGGTCTGAACTACATTATGCAGTACTTTTAAAATACAGACACACAAACCCAGGTGTTTCATCTTCAGCGAGCAATTCAAAGGGTCCCAGAACATGCAAGCTGAGAGATGTTTGCTTTGTGCTCTGAGAGCAATGGAGAAAGCTAGTGACCTGCTGTGCTTAACTGACCCGGAAATAGCTTTGCACTTAATTTTAATTTGCTTTGGGTGGCAACGGTGTTCTCTTTCTGAGGAGAAAAGCAGCAGCCCCCCACTCCGGTGACAGGCTACGGCTTCGACTGATTGCAGAGACATCTAACGGCGAGGGGAGGCAGGGCCACTGCAGAGCCGGGCGCCATCTTCCTGCCGAGAAGGAAGAAGCGCCTGCGGCAGCTTCCCAAGACGCTGGCGAGCTCCGTGCTCCACCTCGGAGGGGCCGTGGGGGCCTCCCCACAACCAGAGGCCACCTGCGCTCGGGCTCCTTACAGCCAGAAGTAGACTCCAGGTCTAGGGGAAAGGCCCAGAGAAGGGACACTGCGATCCTCTGGCAGGACTGATTTATTCTGTCTTCTCCAACTAGACCAGCTCAGGCAACGTGAAAGTGCCTTCAAGGAGAGCTCTGGGGTCCTGCAGGCCCCACTTCCCACCTCTTCTCACTGACCTCAGGCACAGGTGGCTTCTGTGATCTCCTTCCCGCTCCCAGTCCGCTCTCATCGCAGACACCTGGGAGGATCTGTGCCCACAGCCTCGGAGGGCCCTTCTCAGGGCCTTGCTCTTTTTTTTTTTTTTGAGACAGAGTTTCGCTCTTGTCGCCCAGGCTGGAGTGCAATGGCGTGATCTCGACTCACTGCAACCTCCACCTCCCGGGTTCAAGAGATTCTCCTGCCTCAGCTTCCCGAGTAGCTGGGATTAGAGGCGCCCGCCACCACGCCCAGCTAATTTTTGTATTTTTGGTAGTGATGGGGTGTCCCCAGATTGGCCAGGCTGGTCTCCAGCTCCTGACCTCAGGTGATCCACCTGCCTCGGCCTCCCAAAGTACTTTTCTGGTAGTTCTTTATAGCAACACAAGAAGGGCCTAAGACACTACCTGTCACCCCCAGGGACACCCCTGGGTTCTGCTGAGTGCCAGGCCGCCTCCTGGGCACTTGGACTGGGCAGTGGTTTGCCTCCCAATCACTCTTGTCTTGTGGCAGCTGTGCTCCCTTCCCTCTGAGACAGACGGGCTCAGCAGGGGAGGCTGTGGAGCCTCCTATGCTTCCCCGCAGGCCAGGCTGTCCCCAGAGAGTGCTTGGGGCTGCATCCACCATCTCCCATGACACAGGAGAACTGCTGGAGACAGACATGCAGGACTGTTGGGTGCTGGGGACAGGTTTGTGTCCAAATAGATAATAACTTTCCCATAGTCACTCAATATCAAGAGGCAGAGCTAGAATTCTAATACGTATTTTTCTGACATCAGTTTCCTCCACCTCATGATGACACGACATTGTTTCTCATTGTAAACTCTCAAAATATAGTGGCTTTAATGTTCAGGACCCTCTGCTCTTTGGTATTTCTTTGGGCTGTTTTCTTGCGCTGGTGAATATTGTACAGATGTTTTAGCTAATTGCAGAACTTGAACGCAAAGCCTGGAAATTGCATGTATATATTTAGTAGCCTATTTGCTGATCTTCAGGGTCATAGAAAGCATCTTTTGTTGCAGGGAATGTTGGTTGTTTCCCTGTAGAAGGTCTCCATTTTTTTTTCTTAATTAAAATGAACCTGGTAGAGGTAAAATTTCAGCTAAGCACAACACCTCTCGGTGGAAAGACCTCCATCTGTAACGTTTGCAGCTCAGGTATGTCCCAGTGACTAGGTTCAGGCCAAGGAGATGTAGGCAAGGGAGCTGTGTCTGATGCTTGGGAAATGTTCTTCTAAACTGGGGATGCCCCCTCTTTCCCCCTCTCCTCCTGTGCTCTGGGATGTGGATAGGATGGGTAAGGGCAGGTTCAGGACCCCTCACAGCACTGTGGCCCAGCAGCACAGCGGGGAGGCTTGAACTCCAGTGCTAAGGATGCCAGGGAGCCCTGGACTGCCTGGTTCTGGGAGCTTTCTGTGGGGATGCGACCTTCTGCTTTGTTTAGTCATTATAATGCTGACATTTCCATCACACACTACAGAAATGATCAACGTATGCCCCTCACAAGAGTTGAGATGAAGGGCGATGCCTCAGACCAGTGACTTTCCTAGATGCACTCCAGACCCAGATTCCTGAGCTTTGTGGACCCAGAACTCAGGCAAGAGCTCAGAGGACACATAATTTTTCCTTTCCCCCAAATCCACAACCTTCTGACAGGGCCTCTGGTGGGTGGTGAAACTGAGGGTTTGAAAGCATCATTAATTGTTCTCTGCTGTCTGCATCATCTCTTTCTTTGGACTTGACAACTATTAAATGATCTAAAGGCAACTCTCTTTTCTAAAGACCACTTACAGCCTCTCCCTCTTCTCAGCTCTGTGATCATCTCCCTTTGTCCCCCCTTTATACAAAGCCCTGTACTTTCACCCACTGGAGCATCAGCCTGCCTCCCCACCCTTCAGTGGTCTTAAAACTTTGCCCCTCTGAATTCTCTTTCTGTCTCCACACCTATTCAGGCTACATCTCAGCAAGTCATTCTCCCGGAAAAGATATCAGAATAACTCTGGCTGAATTAGTATGTTAATAATAGCTACAGATCAAGGATATTTGCACTAGGCAACTCTTCAACTCAAAGGCATCCATTTGTAATATGAGAATGTCAGGCATGAGGAGCTGGCTTGGGAGACACAGGCATTTTGGATTTAGTTTCCCACACCCTGAAAGTGTTTGCCTGATCACAACACATTTCCTGTCCATGCTTAGACCAAAATCTAAAACATTACATCGAGTTTCTGAAAGGGCTGTTGTCATCCAAGAGGGACCATGGTGGAATCGTCGTGGTGGTTTTCTGAACAGCTGAGATGAACATGTCAGAAGGTACTCAGAGATCACTTGGCTCTGGAGGAGTCAAACAGACCATGTCCCAGGAAACTGGGGTGTCCAGCCCCATGCACCTCGAGTCTCTATTCTGTCCGTCTCCACCGGGCTGGATGGTGCAGGACGCGCACCAGGCTGGCTTCAGCCCTGAACAGAAGCTATTACACTCAGAGGTCACCTGTCTATCTTCCCAGGCCCTCTCTTGCCAGGCAGCGGAGCATGGGTTGAGGAGGAAGGTATCCAACCTGATTAGATGGGTCCCCTGTGCAATATTTATGATCTTAAGTAAATTATTTATATTTTACTGCTCAAATATCCTCTACTATAGATTGCAGGTAATCATACATGTTTGAAGGACTCTAAACATTAAATGTTTAAGTGTTGCTAAGTCCCCAGTACTGTGGTCACGCCTGGCAATTGATTTTCACCCTTTCTTTCTTCTCTCGTGCACCTGGGGGTTTCCCCCTTCCCTTTTCCTCTTTCTCTCTCTCTGCTCCTTTCTTCCCACTCTCCTAATTGGCACTGGGACTTTTCTATCAACGGATTCATTGGCAATTCGCTGGAAATTCTAGTAGGTAAAGGCAGTGAGTTTTCTTGAGGATGTTGTAAAGGATTAAAAAAATCTAGCCAGAGCTGGAAAAAGAGAGGAAGAAAGAAGAAAAGGAAGGGGCCCAGGATGGGAAGTTAAACATTTTTTTTTTTTAAAGGAGGGAGGAAGAGGGGCCTGAGTGCAGGCAGAAAAGTTTAGCTTTTCTTCTTCTCCCAGCTTCCAGGTGGCCCCTGGAAACCCACTCCAGCTGGTTTTCCTGGGGGCTTCTAAGCTGCACCCTAACTGTGGGTGGTGTCCGCCAGTCTCCACTTCACAACATCTTTCTGGAGACTTGGCAAGTTATGGCGGGTGGCTGCAAACCTCACTCTGCAAACAACCTTACCCTGGGAGTTTGGTGAGGACAGGGCAGGGGTCGGGGAAGCTGTGCCTGTCACCTGTTGTCAACTGGTGGATCTGATTTGTTTGATTCAACAAATATTCACTTGAATGAAAGAATTCATTCACATATCCATCGTCCGCTTATGCCTCACAGCCCCTGTGCTGCACACAGGAGGTGCCATGATAATCACACAGACCTGGCCCCTAAGCCCTCACTGCTGAGGAGGAACCTGGCGGAACGTTCCCAGGAGAGCTGGGAGGGGCACAGCCGACTCTACTAAAAATAGAAATCTGCTAATGTTCAGACCCACTGTCTTTTGCCACCCCTACTTTCAGCACGCCCTATATTATTCTCACCATGAGCTTCCTCTGCAAGGAAGAGGGAAACAAATCGCTGTGTTTGTCCATTCTTCTGCAGGGTCGTTTTGACCCTGAGGAAACTCTAGGCTCATGTTTAGGTTTTACAGACACGGTGACCTTTCCTATTGTCTCTGCTCCCAAGCCTCAAGGGGAAGCACACTGGAGGTGTGAGGAGGCTAGAGGTTTGTCTAGTAAAACTCCAGGGAGAGTTTTACTAGAAAACAACATATGTGCTTCTGAAAATTACCCTGCTATTCAAAATCCTGCAATAAAAACCCCAGGGCGTATGAGATTGAAGACAAAACACTCAAAATCTTAATCAGTGACACGTTTAGAGAGAGAGAGACAGAGAGAGAAGAACCTAATAAAAATGTCAGCACAGCTTTCCACATGTAAATGGTTAAGAATCAGAATCCTACCATAAATGCAGCTCTTTACCTTGAGAAAGACCTGCCATGAGCTTGTGGAAGTGGCTGTGAGAGGGTTTGCTGCTTGGGGGTTGTCGCGAGTGGTGGAAGGCAGGTTCCCTGAAGTGATGGGAAAACAGTAATGCCTGATGTTTGTGGGTGGCCCCACACCCCGCGAGGAGCTGAGGTAACAGTAGTGTTTGAGGTGTGTTATGCATTTCTAGCTCTTACCTGGTTTGGTTCTTTGGGTCGCCCAGTATTTCTTTCAGATGAGTCCGTGCAGAAGCAAACATGAAATCCACATTTGGCCAAAGCTCTTTCCTAACATATCAATCCTGTTGGAACAAATTGGCTTTTCTGAAACCAGGGCTATCATGGAACACACTGTATTTCCTAATTGGCTGGGTATGGTCCTGAAGAAAGCCTATAGTCCGGTGCAATCATTACTAGCATCCCCATTTCACTCTCAAACTAACCCAGTTCCAACAGTAGAATTCTCTGGTCATTCTAGGTCTATTCAGCCAGTGCAATCATTACTAGCATCCCCATTTCACTCTCAAACTACCCCAGTTCCAACAGTAGAATTCCCTGGTCATTCTAGGTCTATTCGGCCAGTGCAATCATTACTAGCATCCCCATTTCACTCTCAAACTACCCCCAGCTCCAACAGTAGAATTCTCTGGTCATTCTAGGGTCTATTCGGCCGGTGCAATCATTACTAGCATCCCCATTTCACTCTCAAACTACCCCCGTTCCAACAGTAGAATTCTCTGGTCATTCTAGGTCTATTCGGCACCCCGAGGACCAGCAGGCTATCCCACCTGAAAAGTATGTTTTGTAATGAAAGCATTCCCTTGGTGTGTGGGCCCATAGTTTCTCCCACAGTTGTGTAGCATGACGGGCAGGTGGTTCTTCCATTAGCACCCTTCCGTATTCTTTGGGTCCCAGCCCTAAGCCTCCTTTTTAATAAGCTCTTCTCTAATTCAGCCTAAATCAACTCCTTCTTTCGGACTTCACCCTCAGTTCCATCTTAGCTGTTATATTGTAACTCTGGGAATGAGTCCAACCAGATGAAGGAGGTGAGGGATACTCAAGGTCTAAGACTATCAGTTCCATAATTGGTAAATCTCTCCATATCTTCCTACAATTTTTGTATTTGTTTTTTATTTTTAATTTTAGTTTGCGCAGAAGTCACCTGGAGCACTTGTTAACAATACAGATTTCTGGGCCCCATTAATAGAGATGTTCATTCAGGAGATCTCAGAGATTTAGGGAATGTGGATTTTAAATGAAGATACTGGGTTGTTATGAGGGGTTGCTCCATGGCCCACACTTTGGGAGGCGTTGCTCTAGATCCTAGACCTCATAGCCTCATCCCACAGCACTCAGCCTGACCAGCAGCAAGTGGTAAATAATGCCTGTGAATAGATGCAGTGCTATAGTTCACCTGTCACTCTTTTAAGCTTTACAGATATTTGAGGATTCAAAGCCAGGTGCTTGAAGGGTAAGCTCTGGGCATGGCAATGCTGCGATGGAACCCTGGGGCCTGCACAGCTGAGCAACCTTTCAAAATTAACTGAAAATCTTTGGCCTTGGTTATCATATCCACAAAATGGTCTGCATCATGCCAATCTCTCAGGGTTATTGCAAAATGAAGAAGCGACACTATGCACATCTCCTCTCTCAAAAATGCAAAAGTCATGCATAACAAAGACAGGCCCTTAATGTCGTCATTGTTTTAAAAAAGCAAATAACCTATAGAGGAATTAACACTTAAATCCATTATGCACCCTTCGTCAGCTGACATAGCAGACACAAATGGCTGATGAAAACAGAGCCTGGCCAGTGCTGGTGGGAGGAGTGTGATTCAGATAGCCCCAGGAAGGACAGACAGACAGGAGAGCCTCCTGACCAGGGAAGGACAGACAGACAGGAGACCCTCCTGTCCCCAAGAAGGATAGACAGACAGCTGCTCAGGGAAGGACAGACAGACAGGAGACCCTCCTGCCTCTGAGAAGGATAGACAGACAGCTGCTCAGGGAAGGAGAGACAGACAGACAGGAGAGCCTCCTGCCCCCGGAAAGGAAAGGCAGACAGCTGCTCAGAGAAGAACAGACAGACAGACAGACAGACAGGAGATCATCCTGCCCCCGGGAAGGACAGACAGACAGACACACAGGAGACCCTCCTGCCCCCGGAAAGGACAGGCAGACAGCTGCTCAGAGAAGAACAGACAGACAGACAGACAGGAGATCATCCTGCCCCCGGGAAGGACAGACAGACAGACAGACACACAGGAGACCCCCCTGCCTGTTTGCTCCCATCTGCTCTGCCTCCCCCCCCAGACCCACACGCTTCGCCACACCTTTGCCAACAGTACAAAGAGCATGCACAGCACATTCATTCAAAGAAAATGAGACAAAAGGAATCAAAGGGCACTTTTGCAAATACACCAGAGGAAAGACGCGCTTCAGATGAAAGAGCAAAAGTCCTCCAAGTCAGGGACGACAGAGGCTGGCTCTAAAACGTCGGTGCTTCTAAGGCTCTGGTTTGATTAGGAATCACCTGGGGGAGGAACCAATGTAATAATTTCTATGTTAGGAAGTCAGGCAGAGGCGGCAAGGAGAGCAATGGAGTGGGGCTCAGTGGCATTAGTCTGGGCAGGCTGGAAGCCCGTCTAGTGGAACTAGCACAGCACACAGACCCAGCCCCTGTCTTTGGGCTTGTCCCTTGCTGACCAGAGGATTTTTGGTCACCTTGTCCTTGAGCCTGAAATTTAAAAGAAAGATGAAGTCTTCCCACGTGCCCCTCCCAAACTCGCTCCTCATCCCATTAAAAAATACCCGCTGAAAGGGCTGCGGGCATTCCAGGGTGCTGTGATGTGTGGCAGCTCCAGAGCAAGGGGAGACGGTGGCTCTTCTCTTCTCGGAATGGATGGGGCCACCCCTCGGTCATTAGCCCCCATTCTGGGTACCACACTCAGGAGATGAACATACCTGAGCTGGTGCAAGGACTGCTCTGAGAGGTCTCCACACCCTGCCATGAGAGGAGAGATCCAGGGAACTGAGCATCCTGTTCCTGGAATAAAGACTTCTTTTTTTGGAAGGGTGGTGGGGTGAAACTCATTGCATTTAAGATACCAGGTGGGAGAAGAACAAAAGTTTTTTTAGTTCACTGCCCTGAACCCATTTTCCAGACCGGAGGACTCTTGATGCTGTCTGCCCTGCTTGCTTCGTGGGGTGACCACATCTCAAAGGCAGTTCTGGATACATAAGCACCATGAGCTGCCAAGTACTATGCAGACATAAAGGACATTCCCATCCAAAATGTGAGCATCCACAGGTCAGCTGGCCGAGCAGCACCAGCCTGCGTGGTTCTGAGCAGTGTGGAGCATCCCGCTTTGTATCATTCACAAAATTACAAGAAGAAAGTAGGGAGGAAGGCTGTCACTTGAAACAAGTAAATCCTTAGAAGATGCTGGAGATGTACAGATTTTGTCTATCCCACAGGGCTGAAATCATCCATTAATTTTCAGAATTGCTGGCAGCCATTTCTGAAAACCCTCAAAGGAATGTACGGGAACCATAGCTTGCATGGGGAAAAGCCCTAGGGTTTCGCCTTCCTGGATATGAAGATGGCACTTGTTCACCTCCACATACCAGCAATGATCTATGTTAGCTTGATTTTGCTAATGTGGATGCATTTACTACACAAAAAACAGGCTGTTCAGCAGCCAATCCAATTAATATCAATACTATTTTGGTCCTGTTTGTATTAATATACTTAAGGAGTTGACTAATGTGGAATATTCTTAATATGTGAGAGAAGTACCCAGGCTTACCCAGCCTGGGTAAGGCACAGACCTTACAATCAGACATACCTGGACTGAGAACTCCTGGGGGTGGCTCAGCAGGTGGCACTGGGTTAGACTCCTAGGCTCATCCTTCTCCACCCCTGCCACTGCCTGCTCCTGACTGTCTTCTTAGGAAAGCCCACTCCTCCCCTCCTCAGCTGTGAGCATCCCCCTTTTATTAAACTCTGTATGCACACTTGTGTGTTTGCACCTAATATATAGCATTGTTAGGTTGCCGGGAGCCTCCCCCTTTTATTAAACACACGTGTGCACATGCTTGTGCATATACAGCTAACAAGAAGTATAGCAGAAATGAATTTTAAATTTCCAGACACCTGCAATATAAAACTCAAAATATCTGTATACTGGCTGGGCGCGGTGGCTCATACCTGTAATCCCAGCACTTTGGGAGGCCGAGGCAGGTGGATCACCTGATGTCAAGGGTTCAAGACCAGCCTGGGCAACGTGGTGAAACCCTGTCTCTACTGAAAAATACAAAAATTGGCCGGGCATGGTGGCATGCACCTACAGTCCCAGCTACTTGGGAGGCTGAGGCAGGGGAATCACTTGAACCACGAGGCAGAAGTTGCAGTGAGTCGAGATCATGTCATTGCACTCCAGCCTGGGTGACAGAGCAAGACTCTGTCTCAAAAAACAAAACAAAACAAAACAAAACTGTATATCGTATGCACCTAACAATAAGTAAGCAGAAATAAATTTTAAACTCCCAGACACCTGTAATATAAAACTCAAAATATCTGATTATGCAACATTTTTTCCAAATGTGCACGCAATCCATTGCAAATTCCCTGAAATAAAAAGTCAGTCTCACGAATGTTATCTTTCCACATATAATACCATCTATTTCAATAAAGTTTACATATACATTCTGATATTTTAATAAAGTTTATAAATGTTGCAATATTTCTCATAAATTTATTAGAAAGTTTATTTATCACAAATTTAATAGAAAAAATTTATAATTCAACTCATGGAACAATGGAAGATGTAGCATAACACTGAAGGCATTATCTAAAACAAGTTAAAAAAATTAATAAAACACATGCCCTACAGACTTCAGAGCTCTTTCTGACAGGATTACCAAACTCTGTGACAAAAGGGAATACAGTAGATATTTAAATGACTTCACTAAAGTGTTTGATACTCTGCATTTTCATAAACAATTGACACCCAAGCAACTATGAATGTGAATTAATAATAGACTTTCCATAAGCTACAATTCTAATAAGTACATACTTCTTAGAATATGTAAAATTAAAAAGACTAACCACACCACGTGTTGGTGAGGGTGTGGAGGAACTAGAACTTCCTTTCACTGCTGATGGGAATGTAAAATGGTGCAGCCACCTTGGAAAACAGCTTGTCAGTTTCTTAAAAAATTAAACATATATTTACTATATGTGTGATCTAGCCATTCAATTCCTAGATATTTTCCAAAGAGATAGAAAAATATATTCATACAAAGACTTGAACATGAATCTTCATGGTAATGTTAATTGTAATAGACCAAGACTGGAAGCAACCCAAGTATCATGAACAGCCAAATGGATACTGAAATTTTGGTCTATCCATAGCATGGAATACTGCTCAGCAATGATAAGCAATGGCCTACTGACATACACAACATGGCTATGTCTCTAACTCTGCATGCTGCATAAAAGAAGCCAAACAAAAACATTCCACATATATCAAGCTTTAAGAAATGCAAATTCATCTATATTAACTGAGGACAGATCAGCACTTGATTGGGGATAAAGAGAGTAGGAGGAACAGCAGAGAGGGTTAACAAATGGAGCAAAAGGGAGCATTGGAGGTGAACATGTTCACTGCCTTCATTGTGGTAATGGTTTCACAAGTGTATACATGTGTTAAAATTGATCAGATTATACACTTTGAATGTGTGTTATTCATTCTATATCAGTTATCCCTTAATAAGATGTTTAATGTTTTTAAAGGGAGATTCCCACTGCCATAAACCAAGAACAGTAACCTGTGGTTCCAGTCCACTCAAAGGATGACATCTTGCAATTAAAGGTTTTTACTGTTTAGTCACAATATTCAACATTTTGAGGTGGAAAAGTCACGGCATTCTCACACACGCCTAGGAAAAGTGTGAAATGGTCCTGTTGATCTGGACGGCGATTTGTCAATGTGCACCCAGAGACTTACAAGTGGTTGTAACCTTAGATCAGCTGGGAACCCACTAGGATGCATCGTCCAGAGAAACACCCATGTATGTATTTTTGAAAATATCCAAAATGTTATTTAAAACAGTGATAAGTGAAAAAGTAACCCAAAGCCCAACACTGAGGAATTAGTTAAATAAATGTGGACTGTGAATTGTGTATTCTCTCTGTCTTTCTCAACACAAATGCTCTCTCTCTGTCTCTCTCTCTCACACACAAACATAAAGATTTTTGAAAATAAAAAACACAAATGGAAGGATTCTGCATAGGATCGTGCAGTATGCTCATCTATAATGTACCTTGTGCTTGTTTCCACGTCAGTAAATAAAGAATTCACTTGTTTTTTTCATGACTTTAATGTACATACTTCAAGTAATTTAACATGCCATCAAATGAGGACCCTTTAGATTTTTCCCATTTTTTTTAAAAAAATGAATAATACAGCAGTAAACTTCCAAATGCTTATATTTTTCACTTGTGAGAATTCTCCAATTTATTCTGTAGAATGAATTCTGAGAAGTGGAATTTCTGAGTCAAGCTATATACTCATTTCAAAAAGCAGCAAGTATTTGGTCTCTAAAAATTGTGCTCTAGTGTGCATGTACTCCAGCAACCTGTCCCTACTCATCCTGCCAACAGTAAAAATTACCAAATGCACTGACCTCTGTGACATGATGAGCTAAAATGGATGTACTCATTGCTCCAGTGCTTTTTTCTTTAAGCATTAGTTTGGTGAATATTTCTGACCTGTGAACTGCCTTTTTACATCTGTAACCCACAGACTCTTTTGTTTGCCTGGGTTACCTTTCTAATCAAGAAAGCCCCACTGTGTTAGTCCATTGTCATACTGCTATGAAGAAATACCAGAGACTGGTAATTTATAAAGAAAAAGAGGTTGATTGGACTCACAGTTCCACATGGCTGGGGAGGCCTCACAATCATGGCAGAAGGCAAAGGATGAGCAAAGGCACCTCTTACATGGTGGCAGGCAAGAGAGTGTGTGCAGGGGAACTGCCCTTTATAAAACAATCAGATCTTGTGAGACTTACTCACTATCATGAGAACGGCATGAGAAAAACCTGCACCCATGATTCAATTACCTCTCACTCGGTCCCTCCCATGACACATGGGGATTATGGGAGCTACAGTTCAAGATGAGATTTGGGTGGGGACAGGGCCAAACCATATCGCCCACCCAGCAGCCGCTCCATGTGACTCTGCTGGAGTGTAACCTGTGTGTGTCCTTGGCCCCTGGAAATTGCATCTGACTCTGGCTGGGCCACAGCCCTGGGCAAACCCATCAAGTCAGAATTGGCAGGTGACCCGAACAGGGCCAGTCTGTCTCTCCTCCGAATTTTCCAATCAGTAGTGTGGGGGATCACTTTCTCTTATCTTGTGATTATTGGTTGTGGGAACATTGATCTTTAATTTTTTCCCCTGCCATGTGGTTTGACTGTGATCGTAGCAGGAGAGAATAAGTCCAAATCACAAAGACCGTCAGAGACTCATTGAGACCGGAATGTCGCCATGCCTATTCCATTTTCTGCCTTATTCCTTAAGCCAATAGATTTTTCCTAATTGAGCCAATGGAGGTTGGCTCATTGTCTAGTATCCAGTATCCTTTCACTGTTTTTAAAAAGTTGATTAGCCTGGGCATGGTGGCTCACGCCTGTAATCCCAGCACCTTGGGCAGTCAAGATGGGAAGATCACCAGAGCCCAGGAATTCAAGAGTAGCCTGGGCAACATAGGAAAACTCCATTTCTACAATTTTTTTTTTTTAATTAGCTGGGTGTGGTGACACGTGCCTGTAGTCCCAGCCACTTGGGAGGCTGAGGTGGAAGTTGCAGTGAGCCATGATTGTGCCACAGCACTCCAGCCTGGGTAACAGAGTGAGATCCTGTCTCAAAAAGTATTAATAAATAAATAGTTGATTGAAGTTTTCATTTGATAAAACAACATGGAGAAAACTAGTCCCTTGTCTCCCATTTCTGAATTAGAAAATAACAATAAGGAGCTCTAGAAAAACTAAGGTGTGCTGGGGGTCACCGAGCCAATTATTTTACCTTTTCCCAAGTGTTTATTATGTAACAAACTAAATTAATTTAAATAAAAACAGTCAACCTGAAGATGTAATCAACTGGTAACACCAGAAGCAACTGTGTGCAGAGTTGAACAAATTTAACTTCGCTCTTGAGGCAGAGTAGTCAAATCGGTCCACGCGGCGGGAACTGCTGGTGTGTGAGAGCAACCTTGGAGTACCCTACTCCACTTCTAACCAGGTCAGGTCTGGGAGCAGTTGGTGGCAGTGCCAGCCAAAAGGAGCATATGCAAAATGAATTAGGAGGTTAGTCAGCACCAAAGACGCTCAGGTCCCTCCCAGGCTGCATCGGCAGCCAGAGGAGATAGCCAAGCACTCCCAAGAAGAGGAGTGGGCAGCCAGCTCCCACTAGTAGGCCGGCAGCTCCGCTCTCCACCAGCTGTGGCCGCCATGTGGCCATCTGTGTCTGTGCCAGGCTGGAGGAGGCTGCAAAAGGCGCCCTGGCTAAATGTGACTCGAAGGACACTTTCTTGCGGAATGACCTTAGATTCTCCTTCCACATCAAGTTTCTTCCATATGACCCCCGCAGACTTGTGCATGCACTCACACGTCCATGCCCACACACACACGCATTCTGTCTTCGAGGCTAATAGTGGCTCCATGTGTGCAGCTGCCTGTGCCCTGGAAGGAGAGAGTGTCTGTGGCACCTGCCAGAGGGAGGAGACAGTATTCTGTCAGCCTGAAGCAGAGGGTTGAGTAGAAATGGCTCTGTTGCAAGTTCCACTTTTCCCTTCTGGGTGAATAGTAGACCCCGATGCTGATCACGGTGACCGAGTCCCTCGTCTTCCTGGCCTGTGCTGGCTGGAGCAGTGGCCAGTTTGACCTCACCTGAAAGCAGCCAGACTATGGTCTTAGCATTTCTTTGCTGGGAGAAGATTTCCAGAAGCCCTGCGGCTGGTATCATTAGCGTCCTGGGGCAGAGGCTGGCACCTCACTGCTCCACTGCTCCCAGGGTCCATCTTTAGTGACAGCTTGGAGGGGGGAAAGTGTACTTTTGAAAATGCTCACTGCGGGAAAAAAAAAGAAATAGAAAAGAACACTCTGCAAGAACAGTGCATGTGAAGTTAGGGTTGGTGAACAGAACAAAATGAGAACGGATGGTCCTCACTCTCCCATCCTGACCTCATCCCAACCAAAGTATTGATGACAAAGGCGGCCCCTCCATGGCCTGCCCTTCTTGGTCCCTCCTGAAGGACTCCACCTCTCACCCCTGCTGCCAGCAGAGCAGCCCCAGAAACCAACCACATCTCATCTCTCCTCAGCTGTGCCCTTAGTCAATAGTTCTTAATTTAGTGCTAAATGGACTCATGCTATTTTATAAAAATATAATGTGGGGGGAGGCTGAAATGTAGTTGCTGGCTTTAAAAACATCACCTTATTTATTGTCATTACTTTATAAAAGGAACATCTTACTCACACCCAGTGTAGGACTGCATCACGCCAACATGGAGATAATTGTTCAAGCTGAACATACTCAGCTTCATTATTCCTTACTCTTTTGTCCCCATTTTTCTCTGTTTTTCGGAGACCAGGGCCGTAGTGGCCAGGCTGTGTTAGGACCCCAGTCCTGCTGCTTTCAATAGCCAAACCTCACCTCTGCTGCCTGTCAGGTGGAAAAGGATCAACGCTACCTCGTCAGGGCGTTTACAACTGATACGGCTCGATGTAACAGCCTTCACAAGGAGTTGGCACTTATTAACAAGAAACTGGGTCTTATCCTAAGTAGATAAGTAATCAAGGTGGAATTTCAGGCAATGTGGCAAGCCAGGAGGCATCAGTACTTTGGGACCTTTTAGACAGGATACTCTGTGTGCATGCTCCTTGCCACGTTCCTGAATGGCAAGATGCCCGTGAACGCTGAGCTCCTGGGCCGGAGTCCGAGACTCAGCACCGTTCCTTTGCAATCCATGGGAAGGAGGCTACAGACGCGGCACCTGCTCTGGGAAACGACTCCCCCGAGATCCAGCTCTAAGCTCTCCAAATCTATCACCTTTGTTTATGGTTGAAAGACTTTCAATTCTGGTTAATAAAGAGCAAGTCTAGATGACACTGCCTAACCAAACAGAGTAAATGAACATAGAAAATCTTACCCTAGAACCTTGAGTAACAAAGGGTTTGAACTGCAAGGTGCCCTGACAGCAAACCCCAAGTTCACCTCTGCCCGGCCTCACTGGTCACTCTAGGTGGCTGTTGGCTCTCAGCGGCTGGCTCCCCCAGTGACCCATGTACTTGGACTATGATGTGCTTTGAACACAGACCCAGATGCCTGACTGAAGACAATCCCTCTCCTGGGAATTCAAAGCCAGAAAAGATGCACAGAGATGGAAGGAGGTAGGGAAACTTCCTTGTCAGATGAGAGTGACCTGCATTAATGCTCCTAGGATGGGCCCTGACCTTCCCAAACACCGGTGGGAATACTTCCCTTTGGTTCTGTGAGTTATCCCATAATTCTTCCAATAAACCTTAATTTTTCATCGATTGTTCTTTTTTTTTCATACTCAAGTTAGACCAAGTCAGCTTCTGTTACTTGCAACTTAAGACTCTCCATATCATGTATGCTACTTGGCAAAGCTCCTTCCCTGACCCTGAGCAGGTGACAAGATTTCCAACGCTCCACTTCCTGTGGAATGCATGTCATATTAATATCTTCTGAGAGGATGGTGGTGAAGATGACCAGACGTACGTGTGGAAAACCACTGAGAAGTGACGAAGTTCAAGGCTGCTTTTAGTTACTCCTTATACGTGCCACAGAGAAGCAGCCATTTTTCTTTCTTTTTTGTTAAACTCATTCCCGATGTCCTGAGGTTTCAAACAAGCTTGAAATATGAAACAAGCAAGCCAGCCTGGAATCATAGGTGCTCTCTAGTCCACATTTTCGGTGTATTCACCTCATAGATGATAATAATGGTGATAATAGCAATAATGTTTGGTGCTCATTTAGAACCTGTAACATATGAATGCATGTATTAACTCTGATTTTACAACTTTCACTACAGAGTTAAGGAAACTGAGGCCCCGAAAGTTAAGGGGCATGTACAGGAACCTGCAGAGAACATTAGAGTCCTTGTGTTCGCCAAGCTCTCTGTACTTCATCATGCTGGTGCCCTATTAAATAAAGAGAAAACGTGAGAATGTAGAAGCCTGGCACAGCAGGCAGGGCTGGTGGAGGGTGAAGAGGGTCGGAGTGAATGACTTTCACATCTCCATCCAGTTTTGCAGCATCAGCAGGACCAAATGCACAGTTGAATTGTGCAAATGGGAATCCCAGACACACTTCAGAGATAATAAAATTGGAGAAGTTGTGAACACCAGTGAACGAAGCTCAAAGGTAGATGAGGCTTAAGTCCTTACCTGAAGAATAATTTCTACCCCAATAAAAGGAGTCCATAGATAGTGACTTCGGCCACGTAGTCCAGAGACATGCAGTTCTGCGAACAGTAGGTGTCACGTCATTACCTCATTAGGAATGAGTGTTTCAGCTGACATGCAGGAAATGACCTCTTGCTGACTAGGGTTGGTGATGTCAGGCACTGCTGCAGCTGAGTCACCCATGATACAATGGGCTAAGTCATACACTTCATTACTAACACTTACCTTAGGAATCCTAGACATAACCTTTTCAGAGGAGCTGGGGAAGAGGGCTCGGTGAGCCAGAGGGGATCTGTCATAGAACCCTCCTCTGATCTTATAGGGAATTCTAGAAGGGGCACGAAGCTTGAGGGGAGAGGAGCTATGTTTTAATTTCTAATCAATCACTTATTATATCTCTGTCCTTGGCCAAGATTCTTACCTCTTTTGGCATTAATGTTCTCATTTGTAAAACAGAAACATGATCAGCCCTCTGCCTCCCAAAATCAAATGAGGTGATATGCATGAGAACATTTTGTATACCGCAAATGGTATTTCTGATGGCTCCAGTGTTGACAGCATTAAATACTGTGATTATTTATTTTTAATGATCTGTGCCCAGCACACAGGTAGGATGAGGAACAGGAAAATCTGGAAGGGAGACTGGCTTTGCTGTTTTGCTCAAGGCCTGCTCCATCAGGTGGGAGGATGGGCTCTGGGTGGAGAGCAGTGGAGGAGCTGGGAGGTCAGGGGAAGGCCGTGCAAGGCTGCGGAGGCTTCTCTTCTCATTTTGCAAAGGCAGGAACAGGAAGGGACAACTGAGTGGGTAGTGTATAGGAAATGAAGCACACAGAACCAAGAGCTGCCCCTGGGCCAGTGCCCACACTTAGCAAACAGGGGATAAAGACCCATCATCCAAGGAGCAAACCAGCCATTAAAAATGTAAGATGAAAATTAAGGTAGCATAAGGCCCTGAAAGCCAAAAAAGACAGGTTTTCCAGGAGGGAACACGGTAAAAAGTGATGCAGAGAAGATGTCAAGAACCAAAAGAATGAGGGCCAACAAAAGGCCTTTGATTTAGCAATAAGACATCTTTGGTGCCCTGCTAGAAGTTTACGGCAGCTCCACATGGGAGCCACAGGAGAGGGCACATTGTGAGGACACACAGCCTCCTACACCCCCAGGACTTGTCCTGATCACACGTTTGCAAAAGGTCCATCAATTGATTAATTGTTAGGAGGCTACATTTTTAAAACTTTAAAAATTTTCTCTACATCCTAGTTATATTACTAGCCTAGAAAAATTAAAACAAAAATTAATACCAATGAATCCTCATTAGGAAATTTAAAACATGAAACTACCCAGTCAGATTTTCAGGTTGCATGAAGAAGGTTTCATACCATCTGAAAAGGCTTTACCAATGGCTTAGAAAATCACTGTGCACCACCACCTGCAGTATTCTGTTACCAGGCAGGATTTGGAATTTCTCAGCAGGCGTGGCCCCTTGGTGAACCTGTGTATATCAAGCTGCCTTCTGAAGATATCTAATCTCGAGAGGTCTAATAGATGCTGTCATGGACTAATGAGAAGGTTAATATGTAAAAGTCATTAATAGAAGAACCCTCTTTAATTACAAACTGAAACAGTAAAGCAAAACCAAAATGTCCAGAACAATATTTAGGAGCATGTGTTTCGACTTGGGTTGTGATAAAAATCACTTCTGCCCCCAGTACCATGGTGAGATGCAAAATGGTACTGCATGTCTGGATGCTGGTTTCAGATACCCTCCTCCTTCCTTACAGAAACTGTTTTTGGGAAGGTTGAGCTCTGAGTCATGCATAGGAGTATGGATTCGCTTTCCTGGGTTCACTTCTAGCCAGTAGTCTCTGTGTTTTAAAAATTTAATTCTAATGGATGAATGAAAATTAATTTTAATTAGGGAAGCTGATGGGGAAGGTTTTGGCAGGAGTAGAGCTCTGCTTGAATTCAGAAAATCAATCCAAACAGAGCAGCTTCCGTCGCCCCTGGAACTAGGCTCTGTCCTACATAACCAGGTCAGCAATGGGCCGTCTTCTTATCTGTTATGAGACTGCGGAATTTGGGGCGAGCAGCACACGTTTCCTATTGCTGCATCAGTGTCACACTATACACACACCTTCACCTTTGTGTTCTCCAAAAGGGAAATCCCTGTCCCATGGGTCAATGTCACTAGACTGTGAGTGGTGGGTCCTGGGGTTTCTTTCCTGGCCTGACACCCTGGCTGGGCTGGGGTGCCAAGGAACACGGGAGTGTTGAGGTGAAACACCTTAGCTGCCAACCCTCTAGTGTGTGACAAGGGGAACCATGGAATTTCTCTGGGTTTTTTTTCTCATGTCCAAAATGGGGCAAACGATGTCTTTGCAAATCTGATTCACAACATGGTGGTAGGATACAGAGGGCTGATGGCACCAGCATGCTCCAGGAAGGCACCCAATGTGTTAAGGTTGCAAAGCTACGGATGAAGCACTTCCTTCTGCAAGCTTAAGCTCTCTAAATCCTCCTTTCCTTATGCCTTCTCACCCTTCACATCACAGAGGAGTTAGAGGTGAGAGGAAAATGAGACCCAGCAGGAGCAGGGAGACCGCAACTAGAGACAGGACATGGAGTGGCCCTGAAGAAGGTGCCTGTGACGGCCTTCTCTGGTCTGGTGACACACGGCCGTGAGGGCCACAAGACACAATGGTTGCCCAGTTCCAATGGACTCACAGAGCTGCAGCTGCCGTGGGGCCTCCCTCCGTTCCATCATTGGCTCTTTGCCAATGATGTGTCTGGTTCTCTCCATGTGTCTGGTTCTCTCAGAGAAGAGAAGCATTTAAGCACATTCTGATCCTACCCATTGATGCTGCTCCCAGCTCAGGTACAGCCTTTTCCCTTTAGTTAAAGCCCACGATGCCATATCCAAGGTGCACTGTTCAGCCAGAGGCCGGGGTGTGCCAGTGTCCCTGCATTCAGAGACCGTCCGTGGGGCTGAGACGGAGCAGCTTCAAGATGTGTTCCCTCCCACACTTTCTCATTTCAGGATCCCAGGCAATCAGTGTGGGGTGACAAATGGCAGTGGCTTTACTGCTGTTGGTGTTCTGAGATCCGAATGAGGTTGCAGCCAGAAGCCCAAGGATGAAGTATGGCATTAAAATAATCAAGATTAAAAATATGTACCCTCCCAAGTCAGCAGAGCAGAGCTAACAACCCCATATAAAGAAGCTTTGCGTGGGATGATCCTGTGTCTGGGAGGCAGGAGCAGAGATGCAGCAGCTATAAATCTCCCTCCTGCACCCACTGCAGAGCCAGGGCCAGGAGGGATGCAGAGAGCAGAGCTGTGAGAGTGCTTGCAGTGGGAGCAGGGAAGGCATGTGTGTGCATGTGTGTGCCTGTGTGTGCATGTGTGCATGTGTGTGTGTGAGACAGAGAAAGAGAAAGAGAGACAGACTCCAGGAGGGATAGGGAGAGTATGCAAGGTAGGTGCAGCCTGACCTGACAGGGAATGCCAGTACTCATTTTTCTCTTATGTAACCTGGAATGGCAGCCCTGCTTTCCTGACTTCAGCCTGTGCATTTATCTTTTAAAATTGCATTTTGCCATAAATCAAGATTCCACAGCATGGTCTTTTTTTCTTCATGTCTGCAACCCCTAGAAAATCTCCCTCCTCCCCTTTCCCTCTCTCTGTCGTCTGCACCTCCCTACTCCCTTCCACGCTCAGTTCATGGATCACATCCAGCAGGCTCCCTTCTCTTCTGTTCCTGCTATAAATAGTAACTTTTCAGATGACAACTTGCTTCTTTAGGGGTAGAAATCTATCTTCCAATCCACAAACATGCATAAGACACCTGCTATGTGTTACCCTGCATGTTAGGAGCCGTGCGTGTATGTGTGTGTGTGTGTGCAGTGCATCTGCAAGCGTGTGTGTGTGTGGATGGGGCTCCTTAGAAACAGTAACGGGTTTGTAAACTTAGAGCTCAGGAATCTCAATCTAAGGAGGTGGGTGAGGCACTGAGGGCAGGAGGTGTACATAAGTGACTGCAACACAGTTCAAATGAATAATTATATTTAAAAAGTTTAAAATAAAGAGGTGCAGGAGAAAGCAAGTTTCTGTGGAACTAGAAAGGCTAAGGAGGCCAGCATAACATCATGTATTTTATTCTCCTATGACAGGAGGACTTTTCATGAGGAATGAGCGTGGCTCTAGGCCCTCAGGGCTTAGGATTCTAAAGGGACGTTGACCCATCTGTATCTTTGTCACACCACTGTCCCTTACCGAAGCTCTGTAAATTCATTAATTCACTCATTCATTGGGGATTCGAGTAAACTAATAAAATAGTTTTCTTATTCTCAGTGGGACAAGGCCTTCATGATAATTAACTCAGGAAAATAGGCGACTTCTGAAAATAAAGGGCCCTGTGGCTTGTCTCCAGCACACCCCTCACTTTACACTCGCCTTTGTCAAGCAAAAGGCGCTGTGCTTCACTGTGCAGTGCTCTTCCGCCAAGTGAGGGGTCAGAAGGCAGGTCCACAGCCGCAAAGGCAGAGCAGGGGGCCACCGGGCTTCCTGGCGCTGAACTCCGGCTCGCATTCTGGCTGAGTGGATTTAGGCAAGTTTTTGGCATATTTCTCAGCTTCCTCATCTGTAAGTGGTGGATAACAGAAGCACCTTTCCGACAAGGTTGTTGTGAGGATACAAAGTGATGATAAATGAGCCATGTTAGAGTAGGAACACACAGCCACGGCTACCTTAGTGCTGTTGCTAAATGATGTTTAGGACTTCATCTAGTGTGATTCCTTAAAGTTCTATGATTCATACATCATTTGGAATTTGTCTACTGTGAGGGCTACACATTTGTTTCCCATTTAAAGCTCTCCTTAGGCATATAGAGCGCTCTATGGGCAGAGCCCAGCTCCCTGTGTTATGGGGTCTCTTTATGTATGCTTTTTGATGAGGATGATAAAAGTGTTATAGAATGTTCGAGCTAAAAGTGGCCTTAGAGCTTACCAATCAAAGCTTTTTTTCTACAGATGAAGAACAAGGGGACTGAGAGGTTTCATGATTTGTTCTATTCAACTTTGAGCTCTTCGTAACGGGTGACACACAGCTGGGTATTTAAATGCTTCTTAGTACAAGACTGATGGAAGAACAAATGGGTGGGCAGGTGAATGGGTGAAGGGATAGATGGACACATAGATAGATGGAACATAGGCTAGATGGACGTATGGATGACTGATTATGGATGGATAAATGGATGGATGGATGGATGGATAAATGATGGATGAATGTGTGAGTGAATAAATGAATGAATGGGTAGATGAATGGGTGTGTAGATAGTTGGATGGATGAAGGGATGGATGGCTCAATTAATGAATAGATGAATGAATGGATGGGTGGGTGGATGGATGGGCAGATGGGGGATGGGCAGGTGGATGGTGTATGGGTAAATGGATGGGCAGATGGATGGATGGATGGTTGGATGGATGGATGGGTAAGTAGACAGATGAATAAGTAGGTGGATGGATGGAGGCATGGGTAGGTAGGTAGATTAATGGATGGGTAGATAAATGGATGGAGGGATGGATGGATGGATGGATAAATTATGGATGGCTGGGTGGTTAGATGAATGGATGAATGTATGACTGGGTGGACGACTGAGTGCGAGGATGGATGGGTAGGTGGGCAGATGGGCAGTTGGACGGAGAGATGGATGAATGAGTAAATGAATGGATAGGTAGGTAGATTGATGGATGGGTAGGTGGAAGGATGGAAGGATGGATAATGATGGATGGATTGATGGGTAAATAAATGGATGGATAAATTAATGGGTGGGTAAACAGGTGAACGAATGGATGAAGGGTCAGCTGGACGAATGTATAAGAAGGTGGATTGATGGATGTGTGGATGGGTAGATGGGTGAATGAATGAATGATAGCCAGACAAATGGTGCTTTAGCTTTGATTTATTAAAATGCAAAAATAATGGAGGATGTCATTTTTGGTTGTAATTTAGCAAAGGTTTTCCAAGGAGGACATTCAGGCAATTATTGATAATGAAGTGCAGTTTGAGTTTCAGAGAGTTATTTGTAGAAGAATAAGGAATGAAGGGAGGGGCAACACAAATAGGAGGCTGGGGAATTGAAGAAAGGATGCAAAAGGAAGATACTGAGGGCAACACTCCCTTTCACACACACATGTTAAAGGACTGTCTGCTGCACATACTCTAAATGTTATCTCAGTTAATTCTCCCCAACAAATTACAGGTACTCTTTTATCATTCTTCTTCTTCTATTTTTAACACAAGTGAGGTAGGAGGGGCAAAACAAAGCCTCAGAGGGGTTGAACAACTTCTTTGAGAGCACACAGCAGTCACTTTTTTTTTCCTGGTATTCAAACTGACGACTGAGTCTCCCAAGGCCATGGATACTCTGTCAAAGGGCATGGCCACTGGGAAGCAGACACTAATGGCCAGCCATGTGCCCCTCACAGGACATGCTGTACTGGTGAGGACAATGGGGCTGGCTTTACGGGAAGCAGGCAGGTGGTATTGATAAAACAGGGGTGCCTCCAGGGTGGCAAGCACTGAGATTGAGTCTGTCCCTGGCTGTGGGGATTGAAAGGGTGAAGTCCCTGAAGTCTGCTGCAAAACTGCTCCTGGTCCTCCTTCTAGAAAGAAAAGCTGTTCCTGTCTGTCTGCATGCAATTCTCAGCTGCTCAGCCCCAGACAGCCCGGCCTACTTACTCATTATCCTCTGGGTGCCCTGCCCTTGGTCCTGGATCGGGCAGGAGGAGAGCTGGGCTGACAGGGGGCAGCAGCCCAGACCCACCCTCCTCCTCCGAGGACAAAGAGCTGCTGCCTCTCCCCTTGTCTGGAAAGCTCCCTGTGTCTGCAGGCTGAGCGCCTGCCGGGATGAAGTGCCAGCCCAGCGCCGGCTTATGCGGCTCAGTGCCTGCAATTTGCACAGGGGGAGTTGAGATATTTCAGACACCTGAGGTGCTTGTAATATCTGAGTGGAGGGAAAATATAGATGCCTTCACCGCCTCCTCCCACGCTGCCCTCAGAATCCAGGGCAGTGCAGGGTGAACTTTTGATCAAGGTGACATTGGTTTAAAATAGAAAAATGGCACTAATTTTTGTAAAGGCTGGACAGAGAACTGAAGAAACCAAAAGACGAATGAAATTCCCAGGCAACCCAGCCCTGGCCAAGTAGAGGGCAGCGGTACCTCCTTCAGGGCAGGGCTTCCCAGACTTAGAGGTGTACACTGAGTGTGGGGGGTTGGGGGGTGCTCCTGGGATCTTATCAAAATGCAGGTTCTGATTCTGGGAAGTTCTGGGGTGAAACCTGGGGTTTTGCGTTTCTAAAAAGCTTTCAGGTGACCCCTATTGCTCGTCCTGAGTCGTGCTGGGTTGCAAGGAGCCACCTTCTTTTGGGACAACTTCTCTCTGCGCAGCTGCAAGTCATCCTCCAAGCTCCAGCTGTCCCATGGTTAAGGGGAGCAGCTCTCTTCCCAAAGAACAACCCCGATGGGCACCTGCCAGCCACAGCTAGTCACTGGCACATTGAGTTCATGTGTTCCTTCTAGGAAAGCGCCCTCACAGAGTAGACTCTGCAGCCCGGGGAGCTCCTGGGGCCTCCACGTAAGGGTCTGAGTTCCTCCGACTCCCCATGCAGCCCCCACCACTCTCTAGTAGGAGAGTCTTAGCTGACCATGAAAGCTGGGGCTATTCCTGTTCTGTGAGTCCTGCAGAAAATATCATGGGGAATTGATCACTGGAGAAGTCAGGCCCTAGGTCACAGCTCCTTTCCTGAGTAAATCCATTGAATTAGCAATCTGAATGTCTGCAGAGCCTCATGCTCACCCTTGGCTGGTGGTGCTGGGCTGAGACCCAGGAACAAGAGGAACCGTCTGGGACCCAGTCCCAGGGCCTCACCCATCTGTGATGTCATAGGTTGAGGGCCCAGCTGGGCCCTTTCATTCCAGCTTAGACACAAGGTTTCCAATTATTTTTCCAATAATTTTCAGAGGGATTCTATCCCAAGTCATCTTGACAAGAGCTTCCATCATGAGTGACTCTGAGCTCCCAGGAAAACCCCACAGGCAAGGATTCCATCACTAAAGAAAATGTTTGGCTACATTTTATTTTCTCTCTGAAAATCTCTGTTCCAGGATCCTGAAAGGAAGGAAGAGGAAAAATATTGGTTCCCGGCTGAATGCCACATCTTCAGAAACATGAAAATCAGCAAGCTTAGTATATTCTGTGCCCTGAGTGGGATTCTTCCCCGAGACTCTGGGCATTGAAACTGGAGGGTGCAAGGCAAGAGTATGATGTTCAAGTCTATGTGCCAATGAAAATGACTCTGAAACCAGGTAAAGGTGGCCAGCGGTCAGCTGTCTGGCTTCACTGTGTTTCCACCGGCAGGTTTGGTGCATGCCAAGGGCCACTGTATGCACGACAGGCTTAAACTTTCACAGCAGCCTTACAGCAATAGATGCGGCTATTTCTGTTTTCCATGTGAACTTCATGAAGCTGAAGTTTCAATGACTTTCCTAAGAGCCAGTTCCTCAGCAGTGGCGGAGCTGGGACTTGAAGAAGCGTTAATTACACTCCCTTTCCAGGACACAGCACACCCGTTCTCATCTGGGGGCCTGCAGCCTGCTCCCACCTATGTGGCCTTGTGCTATCACTACACCCGAGACAGCCCTGGACTTTTCACACCCTCTTGCAGACTAAGAAAGTCATCATCAGGAAGGAGAAAAGGCAAAATTTGACTTCAGGTTTCTCAGCTTCAAATCCTGGACTTGCTCTGATGGAGTCTGCAGCAGAGACCCAGCCTCCTTTTTCACCTGACAGTCACCATTGTGAGTTCGTTCTAATGGTTTGAACACCTCTGTCTAAGAGCTCACTTAAACTGTGACTGGCCACTCACACTGTCGGGTGAATTCTTTCCTTGGATCTGGTTCTAGAAATGATGTGCTGTGGGATGGGGCCCACACATGAGGTCGCAGAAGCCGAATGGAGCATTGATCACGCACTCAGAATCCTCGGCTCTGATGGGGCTTCTCCAGTTTGCCCACGGTGTCGTACCTCACACCCAAAAGACATTCGACAGATGTCTGCAGCTCTAAGTAGCATCAACTCAAATTGGAAAATTAGTAGCTACTAATGCACGCGACAGCACTTCCAAAGGTTCAGGCCAAGTGTGGCTCTTATACATTATCATCGTGGTATGCATGCTTTCATTTTACCTCCACAGGCAGAAGTGTGGGCCTTGCTGTCCTTTCCCATATTAAAAAAAAAAAAAGTGAAGACACACAGTTAGTAAGTGATTAGCTCATATTGTACCACCTAGTTGGTAGCAGAGCCCGTGGAGGTTGCCTGTGTCTCTGCATAAGGGGGTAAGAATCTGCTGTCCAGTCCCCGGTTCCCACCTCCCAGTCAACAGAGCCCCTGCAATTAGGAGGGGGATGTGCCCTGCTGTGACTAGATGTCCCCAACCTCTCCCAGAAGAAAGACTTCCAGTGAGATGCAAGGAAGACCCTCTGGTTTGGCCTCCTCTCCTCCCATCTCCCTCCCTCCTGTAGGAACATGAGCATAATGGCTGGAGCTTCAGGGTCATGGTGGCACCATGAGAGAAAGAACTAGGGACTCATTTCAGAAATGTCGCCCTAATGCCCTTGAATGTGGGGACAAAGGCCAGTCACCGTCCATTTGTAGGTTCCTCATTACAAAAAGGTAAACTCATTACACAAAGGTAAAGCAAATACACCTTTCAGCTGTTGCAGTCCAGTGCTTGACTCTGTGTCCTGCAAGGCTCCAGAAGTGGGCTCAGCATGGTGGTCACCAGACATAGTGGCATACAGTACCCAGGGGCTGCCATGCTGGGGGCTGTGACCCAGAGAGGTGCAGACACAGGCAGTGCCTCTCTTGCTCCCTGGTGCAGGCAGAGGCAGCAGCTGCCGCTAGATGAGCCTCCCTCTGGGTGACCAGGAGGGGTCTTTCAGTGTTGTTTCCAAGCATGGATCAAGAGGGACATGGACACTTCACAGGCTGCAAAGTAGCTGTCCTTCCAGAAGCCTCCTGAGCAATCACCAAGGCAAAGTGAATGAATTTTAATTAAAGTCTCAGAACAATCAAAGACAATCAGGTGTCTCTCCCCTCGGAATGCTGACAGCTCCCGATGGCCCGAGGCTGCAGGAGCAGACAAGCAGGGAGGGGAGCAGCCCTCGCAGCAACCAGGACAGGCAGCCTGTGCCCTCAGCCCCTCCTGGCTCCAGCTGGCACAGTGGGTGCCCGTGGTCTGCCCACTCCCTGAGGTCTCATTCCTGGCCTGACCTCCATCCCTTTCAGAAGTAGGCCTGGTCACTCAGCACTGTCTCTGCAGCCCGGGCCCTCTGAGCCTCTCCAAGTTCAGGAAAAGGAGGAAGGATAAAACCCCTTTGAAAAACATGTTGCTGGAGCCATCGGTGGCCCCTGGGCCTGGATTTTAATCTGGCTCTGCACAGAGCCCCCAGAAAACCCACTCGATTTCTGTATCTCAGTTTCCTAGTCTATAGAATGGAGAGTCTTAGGATCAAATGAGATAAGGACAGTGAAAGAAACATGTAGCCACGTAAAATTTTGTGGAAACATTTAAGTGCTATTATTCTCCAGTGGGTGTGTTTTTCTTAGGTTAGCCTGCATGGTTGCTAGAAATGTAATTTCTAAAGTTTTGGAAGACAGCTCTGAGTGGGTACTCCCGAGGAGGCTGCTGGCAACCCCACAATATCAGGGACTTAAGGATCGCCCGGAGGAACCTGGTGCAGCACCTCCGTTTTAGGGATGAGCAGACAGAGAGCAGAGCGAGAGAGAGACCGCGCCAAGGCCACGTGGCTCCTACGGCTCTGCTCTGCCATGGATCCGCGTCTCTCTGCAGCTCCTTCCTGCTGCTTCTGAGCTTTGCGCCCCCACGGGCTCTCCTGCCTGCCTGGCACCCTCCTGGGCAGCTCCTCTCTGTGCAAAATGGAATCCTGTTGTTAACAGCAATAACTATTTTTACACAAACAAATGGCTATAGACACTATATTCAGGACAAAAATCCAGGGAAGATAAAGCGACTGTGGCCAGAAGAGGCTGATGGTGGAGAAGGAAGCAGCTTTAAAATAGCTGTGAAAAAAATCCCAACCTGGGAGTGGGCAGAAGGCGGCACTGGAGTTTTACCTTGCCCTGCTGCAGAGTCTCATATTCTTCATCCTCGGGCAGAACGGATGAACAGTCACCCCCAGCTATGTGGATATTCCATTTGTATCTGCATTTAAGTTTTCTTAAATGAGATGGGTGAATGTGGCTGGATTGTGCCAGTTTTTAAGGATGAAGGGCTGGTGGGTGGAGGCAGAATAAGGAAGACATGACCTATTCCTGTTTTGATCCTAGTGAAAGAGGAGGCTGCCCAGGAGTGGGGAGACCCTGGAGGAAAGCACAAGGGCTGGGGAATTGGGCAGCAGGGCGAGGCTAGTTCTTGATCAGACGTACTAAAGGCTGAGGGTGCACTCTGACCTAATTTGGGGACGACCTTAAAAAAAGAGCTCCAGAAAGCAGTGAGAGAAGGTCTGGCCTTCACACGGGGAGGTGAGGTGAGTGATCTGGGGCCATGGCAGCTCAGTTTAGAGGGATTGCAATGAAACAGCAGACACGTTAGGCTGTAAGACCCTGACACAGACGGAATCCTCTATTTCATTAATCGATACGTAATCCCCACCTGGAATGAGGGTATTTTGTGCTCTCAGTGACCAGCTGGGGAAATTCTAACAATGCTGCAGAGTGAAGGTAACAATAGCTGCATCCTGTTTTTGGATTCTAGAATTCTTAAAGCAATTTTAACTATATGATTCCATGTCATGGTCACAGCAACCTCTCTGGTGTACAGTCTAACCTCTTCCTTTTGTAGACGATGAAATTGAGATAATGGGGGGTCGCTCAGATTTCCCAAACTGCTGACAATGGGCTGCGCCGCACCTGCTCCTGGTGAAAATTCCTATGAGCTCTCTCTGACTGAATACACATGAGGGGCCAGGGTGCCATGTCAGGGAGTCCTGAGTCTGCGGGCAGTGGCTGCAGTAGAAAGGAAGTTCTGGAGGCTGAGGCGGGCAGATCACCTGAGGTCAGGAGTTTGAGACCAGCCTGGCCAACAAGGTGAAACCCCGTCTCTACTAAAAATACAAAAGTTAGCTGGGCACGGTGGCAGGCACCTATAGTCCCAGCTACTTGGGAAGCTGAGGCAGGAAAATCACTTGAACCTGGGAGGCAGAGGTTGCAGTGAGCTGAGATCATGCCACTGCACTCCAGCTTGGGTGACAGAGTGAGACTCTGTAAAAAAAAAAAAAAAAAAAAAAAAATTAAGAAGAAGAAGAAGAAAGGAAGTTCTGTCCACAGTGAAAATGGTGGCTGTGCTCTCACAGAGATTGTTCTGATCAGGTGGGTTCTGGTGAATAGCGACTAGAGCAACAAGACAGGCAGTGCATTCCCAGGAGCAAGTACAGCTTGGAGGAAAGAGGAAAATCCTGGGGACGAGCCTGCATTAGACCCACACTCTGTCAGAGAACAGGCACTTTGACTACTCTTCTGGGTATTCCAGCAGAATGACTAATGATGTCTTGCATAGTTTCCATATGTCACTTATGCCACCAGGTTCCAAAACTAAATTTAACGAACATGACTTTGTTTTTAACAACTTTTATTTGCTTTGATTTAACAATGCAACTGCCTGATGAATTAACATCTAGTTTACCTGGCCAATGTTAGGTGCATCGAAGCTCACAAGAACCCCAGCTTTGGCATCAGACTGATGTGGATTCACATTCTCAGCCTATGTATGTCTATCTACAAAACATTTGTATACTGAAGCCATGATTTTCACAACAAATGTATGGAGATAATATCCTGTCATAGTTATGAGGATGTGTTCATGTATATAATGTGCCTAGCAGAATGTTTAGCATGAGAAACTTTCTGTGAGGGTAGATAAAAATAAGTGTTCGTAATAGCAACAATGTGCTTTACAATATCAGACATGCAGGTTATATAATGTCAGCAAACCACACAATTATTACCTGAAGGAGAGTAACCATGCCCCTAAAATAAAAACAAAGAAAAATAAAGATGAGACAAAACGAAGCAAATAAATTCAAATAAATTGTGGAACTGATACATAAGATAATGTTTTAACAGTGGTCAGAGTTTCATGAGAGCAGGAATAAGATCTTACTTACTCTGATGTCAAACTCATGGCAAACACACAATGGTTTTTTGAATGAATGAGTGAAGAAATAAATCAATAGTTCTGAAAACTGCTTGATTTGGAACAGGATACCATCCAGGATGCGGCTCCTCCATGAGTTAAGGCCTTAGCATACAACAGTGATAATATACTGCCTGTCTTCATAAAAGTTTAGTGCCTCCCAAATCTCTAGAATATGTATAATTAATTTGGATATGTGTGTGCCAGATACTAACAACTAGGCTCACTAGACACTCTTCAAAATTTAAGGGGTAAATATGCATTTACATATTCTTCTCTCCATCCACCCACCCACCATTCCAGTGTTTATTGGGTGCTTGCATACACCAGGCTATCTTCCAGGTGGTGGATGACATTCCATTCACAAGGCAGGGGTGATCCTGGCCCTCCAGTGTTAACCTGGCCACTGAGGAGGGAGATAATGTACCACAAAAATACACATGGACTATGTAGCAAGGAAATAACTTTCCTGGAAAAAGTAGTTCTAATAATACATTGTGATGACTGCAATAACTTTTTCCTTTTTTTTTCAAATTCCAGGTCATTAAAAATTTTCTGAGGCCACAGTTTTATCCAGATAGCATTGCATTATATAATTGTTGTTCGATACTCCCAGGCTGAGAGATGTTTATGGTGTTCTTCATATTATTAATGGACTTTTACCAATGCTTAATTGCTTACTGATTACTCTATTTTTCACTCTTAGATCATTCACTTGAAGACACCTCCAGTTATAAAGCTTGAATTTTATCATGCAGCCTAATAATCTTTCTTTATTTCATTTTGGTGAATTCAAAAAAATTATTTTTTTCAGTTATCATGGATCAAAATGCTCAACCTAATGCAAAATAAATGACAGAAATGGAGGATGCAGTGTATGGTCACAGGACACAGTTCGTGATCTAATTGAGAGAGTGGATGAAATGTGTGTGTGTGCTGCAGGGGCACGTATTTCAGCAACAATGTGTATTTTTAAAGACTCAGTGCAGCATGGTGGCCATGAATGAAGCCCTTCACATCCAGGAGGGATGACTGCTATGCTGAGGGAGCACGGGAGCAGAGGCAGCGTGGGAGCGGAGGCAGCACGGGAGCGGAGGGAGCATGGGAGCGGAGGGAGCACGTTGAAGGAGCTCTATGTCCAGCCTTTCCTCTGCCAGCTTCCTTGAAGCAGCAAATACTCTGCCGGGAGGTAAACAAAACAGGACTAGAGTGCTCATGGCAGACACCACCTCCTAATATAGTGCCTGGCTACCTGGGAAAGGGTTGTAGTCATGGAAGGATCCAGGACCAATCCCTTGGGGAGTAAAGTGAGCAGGGGAGGCAAGGCAGAAGCTGCACTGCAGTTCTGTCCCTGCCAATCAATCAGCCATTCGTCAGATCAATCAATCAGCCAGTCCTCTGCAGCTGGGACAGCCCTTCGGAGCCTTCCTTATTGAGGTGAGGTGACTGGGCATTTATAGCCCTGCAATGACCAGTCACTGATGAGGTTGCCCCCAGAAAAGGGGGTGCGGTTAGACAGGACAGCTCTCTTTAGCCATGGGCACTGGCTGGAGAGGGACTCATGTGACACTTCAGCCACCAACACTCAGCAAAAGGGGTGACGGGTGTTTAACCCTGAACTGGGTAAGTCCGATAACATTTTCTCCATTCGATAACACATGCTTAAAAGCAGATGAATGAAGTAGCCAAGACGTTTCTTTCTTGACCCTGCGTCCACCTCTTGCTTCTGTTCAACTCCTCCATCTTCCTTAAAGTGCATACTTCCTGAGCAAGGTCTCAGGACATGACTCCCAATTCCTCCTTCCCATTCACTCCTCAACAGGGTCCAGTCTGGTCTCTTCCCACATTGGGACTCAGTAACCACTTTTGTCTAAATAAACAATGACCTCCAGGCTTCTAAACACTGCAAAGAGCCTCCTTCCTCGGCAAAGTCCTTCACATCTCTAGGTTTCCGTGACCTCGGACTCCTCTTGTTTTGTCCCATAACCCAGCGGGGCCCTCACAGTCCTGTTTGGTGCTTCATCCTCCCCTACAAGTCGGTAAGCCTTGGGGTCTTGGCTCTGGTCTCCATCTTCGCCCCTCCCTGCTCTGTGCTCTCTCCCCAGACAGCCTCTGTACCCACGACTAAAAACACTCCCTCCACACACTTGCTCACTAGCTGAGACCTCCAACCCAGACCCAGCCCCTCCCCTGACATTCCTCTTTCCTGGCTTCTCCGCTAGTCTATCTCAAATACATGCCAGTGGCCCTTTCCCCAAGCCCCTCCCACAGCCCCTCTGCTCTCAGAGGTTATCATTGCCCATTCAGTTGTACAAGCCTGGAAACCAAGAATCATTGTGACAACTGTCTTAGTCCATTTTGCTCTCCTATAACAAAATGGTAATGAGTATGGGTAACTCATACAGAACAGAGATTTATTTCATACTGTTCTGGAGCCTGGAAAGTCCAAGGTCGAGGGGTCCGTGTCTGACAAGGGTCTTCTTTCTGTCTCTTCCCATAGCAAAAGGCAGATGGAGGTTGGGGAAGGGAGGGAGAAAAGGAGGAAAGGGAGGTGGGGAGGGAACGGAGGAAGCCAAACTCATCCGTTTTAGCAGGAACCCACTTCTCTGGCAATGGCATTGATCTATTTATGAGGACAGTGCCCCCTGACCCAGTTACCTCTTAAAGATGCCACCTGTCAACACTGCTGCAGTGGGGATGGTTTCCAACACATCAACTTTGGGGAACATATTCAAACTACAGCAACACCTTTCCCTTTCTTACTTCTCAAGTTCAATCTATCACCATGACATGTGGTTTTATTTCCCCATATGTCTCTTAAACATAAATTCATCTCTGCATTTTCCCCACCACTACTCGGGCCAAAGCTGCTGGGACCATTGCAATAATATCACTGTTTACCTACTTCTCTCCTCCAATGCACTCACCATAAGATAATCAAAGTGATACATTATTTAAAATGAAAATCGGACACTGTCACCCCATTACTTCACACCCCCAGTGGATTTCCGTTACTTTTCACAGAAACAAAAAGATGTGCTCATGACTTCCCACAGTGCCTGACAGGGTCTGGCTTCCCCTGCTCCTCGGCCCCCAACCCATCACTCACACCACCCTGTCCCCACCCTTGCACACTCTTCCCTGGGGTAGAACACTGTTCCCTTGTGCCCACTTACTCCCTCTATCTTTTCGGTGTTAGCTTGAGGGACTTCTCCCTTTGGAAAGCAACCCCTTCTTCATGAACTGGGCAACATCCCTGGCACCTGCTGTCATGTGCCTGCATATCTCTCTGTCACAGTGCCTACTGTACATGAAATTTTCCATTGGTTCATGAAATTATTTAATTAAAATCTGACATTCTCCTTCTACTGTAAGCTCTGTGAGTATAGAGACAGTTCAGGCACAGTGCTCATGACATATTTTTTGGATGGAAAGATGGGTGGGTGGGTGAATACATAAATGAGTTCACTGAGATGTGGAACACAGAGGAAAGAACAGACACCTGTTCTGGGAATGATGACCACGTCGGTGTTGAGAATGCTGCGTTTACGAGATCTGGGTGACATGGAGTTGCTCTGTCCAGCCCATGCAGACATCAGTCTCAGGAGAACACACCCTGACGGCTCTTTGGTCACAGACTTTCAGCTTCCAGAACCATGGGAAAATGGATTCCAGATGTTCAGGCTGCCCAGTCTGTGAGATTTTATTGTGGAAGCCCAAAGTGACTAATACACTGGCTAAAGCAAAATCCAGGGCATCTGACACCAAAAAAATCCTTTTTTGGTGTTGAAAAGAATACTTTTCAATAAACAATATAGTAATCAATATTATCATGTTGCTGAAAGATTCTTAAAAACAAACAAACACAAAGACAAAATCTGAAAATCATCCATTGACTTTTATCATAAGAAGTCACTGATATTCTCAAAGAGAGTGTTTCCAGGGGAAAAGTCATGAAGAATTCATGGGAAGCAGGGAAACACAGATGCCATGGAGGTCAAGTTTCTTGCAAAGTCGGGGTGGACAGAAGACATAACACAGGACTGTGGCCAGAAGTGAATGAGGGTGGAGAGATTTTTTTTCTTTTTTTTTTTGCTGTTGGGATGATCCAAGAGCAGGTGTGCATGCTGGTGTGGGCTCATAGAGGGTGGATGCTGGAAGGGAGAGGAGAGGTCAAATGCTGATAGAAGGAGGTTCTCAAGAGAGCAGGCTTGACTGGGGTCAACTGGTGTCAACTTGACTGGGGTACAGGGTGCCCAGGTAGTTGGTTTGAATATTTGTCCCCTCCAAATCTCATGTTAAAATTTTTTTAACATGAGATTTAAAAACCTCCAGTGTTGGAGGTGGGACCTAGTGGGGGTTTTTGGGTCATGGAGATGGATGCCTCATGAATTGCTTGGTGTTCTCCTCTTAACAATGAGTTCTCACTCTATGAGTTCCTGCAAGATTGGGTTGTTGAAAATCATCTTGCACCTCCTCCCTCGCTCATCCTTCCTGTCCCACTGTATGATGCCTTCTCCCCTACACCTTCCACCATGAGTAGAAGCTCCTGGAGGCCTCACCAGATACAGATTCTGGTACCGTGCTTTCTGTACAGCCTGTAGAACTGTGAGCCAAATAAACCTCTTTTCTTTATAAATTACCCAGCCCCAGGTGTTCCTTTTAACAATGTAAAACAAACTAAGAAAGTTGGTAAAGCATGCTTTTTGGATGTTTCTGTGAGGGTGCGTCCAGAAGAGACTAGCATTTGAACTAGTAAACTGAGTAAAGAAGAAGACGGCCCTCACCAATGTAAGAGGGCATCATCCAATTCACTGAGGGCCCAGATGAAACAAAACAACAGAGGAAGAGCAGATTATCTCTCTGCTTGAGCTGAGGTATCCATCCTCTCCTCCTCTTGGGCCTTTGTGCTCCTGGTTCTTTTCTGGACTTGGGCTTGGACTTACACCAGTGACTCCCCTGGTTCTCAGGCCTCTGAGTTTGTACTGGAACAACACTACCAGCTTCCCTGGGGTTGCAGCTAGCAGATGTAGATTGTGGGTCTTCTTAGCCTTAATAATTATGTGAGCCAATATTCCCCCATGATAAATATATCTATTCCCATAGATAGATATATGTTATATTGGTTTTGTTTCTATGGAGAACCCTAAAATAGTAAGCAAAACAAAATGGACAGCAGACAAAGGAAGGATGAAGTTTCAAGTCAGTTTTTCAGTTTGGTGGCCTGAAAGCTAAGTGGGTCTTGACTGAAGGATTCTATTTTCTCTGAAGTCTGAGGGAGTTCAATTTATTCATTCTGGGTGGCTCTCAGGGATATAGCTAAGAAGCATTGGGGAAAATTTAGCTATGCAGGTTTCAGTTCAATAATAAGAGCGTCTGAATAGTGACAATTGTTTTCAGTAATGATATCTAACTTTCACTGAGCATTTATCACGTGCCAGGCTTTAAGTTAATTTATCTCATTCAATTATTTCAGCAACCTGATGAGGTTGGTATCATTATTATTTTTATTTTGCACACAAAAATTAAGATTCTTAAAGGGGAAGTAAATTTCTGAAGGTCACACTATCAGAAGTTAATCCAAATATAGAAATAGCTTGACTGGTAGTGAGTTCCCTATCACTGATAGTAATTTTCCCTAAATTGTGTAATAATTATTTAGATAAAAAAATAGGAGTTTCTTTTAGAAATAGAGGATAAAAATATATTTTGTTAGGGAAGGCTGGCCATTTTCCTACCAAGTACTTAAAATAATTGTTCGTTAGGTATGCTGTAAAGAATAATTCCAACAAAAGAAATGAGATTGCAATAACTTGGTAGTTTAAAAACTCAGCATTTTGGAATCCTGGAGGTCCATGAACATATCCCAGGGTCCCTCAAGAGGGGCTGGCTTCTTTCTTTTCTGCTTCTGCCCCATCGTAAGTAAGACAGCTACATGTCCACTGGCTCTCCTGTGTATTGAGACCACTTGTAAAATTTCATATAAAAAAGTTGTATGGATAAGAAAATGTCTAGAAGCCATCAGAATGAAAATCCTTCATCATATTCTAGCCCTATAATTCCGTGGAAAGAATTTTCTGGAGGGCAGGTGTGAACTGGAGGCTGGAACAGTGGCCTTTTCCACACTGCCTAGTCCCCCCATCCTGGGTACCCCGCCCAGCCTGCTCTGCGCTGCACCGCCTGCCTCTCAGAAGAATCTCCTCTTCTGCGAAGGCCATTCAGGGCTTCCCAACCCGGGCCAGCCCTCGTAGCTCCCAGGGGCTCTGAACACCCAGTGGCTGGGCCACTTCGAGCTCTCTGGGGGAGAGGATTTGCATTTGCAGCAGGCTCTGGCCTCCTGGGTGTGGCCCGGGTCTGCATGAACCTCCCAGGCCGGGGATGGAGCCCTGCGGCTCTGCCAGGGGGATGCTCCCTCCCTGTCCTTTGAAAATGTCGGCTGTGAAAACAGCACTGGCAGGCACACTCTCTGCTCACACAGAAAGCTCCTGACTCAGCTGTTTCTCGTCGATGCTGGCAGTGTCCCCCGGGACGGGGAGGGCAGGCCGTGGCCAGGCCAGCCACGGAGGAGGCTCTGGGTGACCTGTGGGGCCATTTGCCACCCGTCACTCCAGGTCTGCGGTCTGCCGAGCCACCACCTGCACCTTGTGCTCTTCCAAGATGGAATTCCGGGGGTGGGCACTGGGCAGCTAATCACCAATTGGTGATCGAGCTGCCGTTCCCATGGTGATTTCCCATCGAGCCCACACACCCTGGGCTCTCATCCCCTCCCATTCACTGTAACCTCCATTAAGTAGAAACAAAAGATTAATATGGCAGAAGCCATTTAATGAACTCGGCAGTGGTGCAGAGGCTTTTAGCTTTTTCCTGGAGTGGATTCCTGGAACAGCAAGGCTGGGGCCCCTCAGCCCCTGCAGGAGGTGCCACAGGCTTTCCCGGCGTCTGATGTCTCGCCCCATTGTCAGACTTCAATTGCAGCAAATGCCTGCCCAGACAGTCTCCTGGTTTAGGGGAAGACCCCCTTTCTTTACGTCTGTGTGTAATTCATTTTATCTGTTCACACCAGGAAGGGAGGAAAATAGGAAATCAAAAGAAATGAAGAATGATGCAAACTTTCTCTCCCAACAGGCAAGGGAAGGGAAGAAGGGGGCAGTCAGAGATGGGCAGCGTGTGGAGAAGCAAATTGGGCATCTGGAGCCCCCATTGCTTGCCACTTGGTATGTGGTCACAGAGCACACCACCTCCTGTGGTCCTATTGTGAAATAGGATGAAGTTGGGGCCCCCCAGCCAGTGTGAGGCTTTAGGGGTTCTGAACAGTATCTGCAGAGATGCTCATTTAAAAGGCGTGGGTGGGAAGGGTTCATATCCATATCCTACATTGTATAAGCGCCCACCTTCTCTCCTTTTCTCAGTTCATTTTCCCTCCCCACTCAGCCATCTCTGATGGGAGCCAGTTCTGGACTGGGGCCCTGAGGAGGGAAGTGACAGAGCCGCAGCACTGCCATCTTGGACACACACTGCCATCTTGGACACGCACGGCCATTTTAAGTTCCCTTGATTAAAAACCGCCTAAATCCAGCCCCAAAACCTCAGCCTAATGGTTAATGTCAGCATGACCAGAAACATTCCAACCCTGAGATAAACCCCTCTCCAGCCAGAAACATGCCAATCCCAAGATAACCTACCCTCTGACCAGAGACATGCCAGCCCCGCAATAAACTTTCCCTCACACAGAAACATTCCAAGCCTGCAATAAACTCCCCCTTCCTAAACCCTTAAATACCCTTAGTCTCTAAGAGAGAATGCTCCTGATGGAAATTGGCCAGGAGCCCCTCTCAGGTTTATTCTCCAAAATAAAACTGTCTTTGACTGTTGAGCCACTTTTCATGTTTCTTTCTTCTTTCTTTAGCTCTATGGGAAGGCCTTCCTGTTCTGTCCTGACCACATGCACCTGCCCTACCTGAGTGGTGTGGATCTCACATGAAACTCTGGCTTCTTGGGAAGGGGCTTCCAGGGCTGGCCTGTTTGTGGTGTTCACACAGGATCCTAGTCTGTGCCTCCTGTGTGAATGCAATTGTCCCTGAGATGACCTACCGAGAATCCTCTAGTCCCAGAATGGTCAAAAGGCCTTTCAGGGAATATCTCAGCCATGCATGCCAGCTAGCAATAAAAAGAAATAAGGCTTCACTGTCAAAGTGAAGTAGGAGAAACAGGGAAAATAACTAATTATGAAAGGGATAAAAACAAAAATACAAGATCCAGGGCCCCTGGTGGAGGCTGACTACGATGGGAGGGGTTTTTAGCAACAGAAAGCCTGGGTCCAAACCTCCCCTCTGGTCCCTGCTAACCATGCAAGTTCAGGGACTTGCTTGACCTCACCAGCAGGACCATTCACGGATGAGGGTTATGTGCGCCAAGCCTGGCCCAGTGCAGGTGCCAGTCAGTGACTCATGCTATTTTCTGTTTTCCTGTCTCTTGTGCTCTCACCCTTGTCTGACTCTCCCTGACCAAAATCATTGTGGAGGGGAGGAACATCTCCTGACACTTCCCCCAGGCTGCTGGGAACCCCATGCTCTGGCAAAACCATCGCTTCTCTCTCCAGCCTTAGTTTGGTTTCCTCTTTGGTAATGCTGTCTGTGTGCAGGGCTGAGGAGGAGCTGGACCCTGGATGGTGGGTGTTAAGCTTGTTGGGTTGTTTACCAGAACTAAAGACCAATGTTTCCCCAGTGATGACCACAAATTGTAGCTGAATAAGGGATGGAGTCAGAATCAGAGAAGTAATGCCTGACGATGGCTCCAGGGGTTGAATGCGGAGCACGGCTGGGAAACCAGGCTAGGAGCTGTGGAGGAAGTAATCAGAGAGACAGGCTCTGGTCCTGAGATATGTCTTCTCACTGAACTTCTGGGTTAGGCCCCACTGGCCTCAGTGAAGTCAGGAAGGGATAGCAGAAGCTGGGAGGCCCATCCAGGGTGGGGCTCCAGGTTGTGGCCCCTTGAATCTGTGCCCAGAAAAAATTTTTCTTCAGTAATTGAAATTGCTGGGTAACTTATTTTTAGTTCAAACTAAACTCCCTGTAATCATTATTTTTAAACTACAGAGCAACTTCATATTTTATTTAGTGGAATAATGGTCATGTGTTGATTTGAAAGCATTAAAAATAAGAGAAAGGCTGTTCTGGACAGGTGCAGTGGCTCACGCCTGTAATCCCAGCACTTTGGGAGGCTGATGTGGGCAGATCACCAGGTCAGGAGATCGAGACTATCTTGGCTAACACGGTGAAACCCTGTCTCCACTAAAAATACAAAAAATTAGCTGGGCGTGGTGGCAGGCACCTGTAGTCCCAGGTACTCAGGAGGCTGAGGCAGGAGAATGGCGTGAACCCAGCAGACGGAGCTTGCAGTGAGCTGAGATTGTGCCACTGCACTCCAGCCTGGGCGACAGGGCGAGACTCCATCTCAAAAAAAAAAAAAAAAAAGAGAAAGGCTGTTCTGATACAGACGTCAGAGAAGAGGCCAATCTCCCTTCCACTACTACAGTATAGACACACTTTCAATGAATAGCTTGTCATTCAGTCCAGGAAATATTTTGTTTATTATACCTCAAGCTGCACAATGTTGATGATTTTTAAAAGTCCTCATAAAAGGATTTATATATAAGCAATGTATGAGACTTATAAAATTAGTGCCATACAGGCTTAAAATCATATATTCACAAAGTTGGAGAAAGACAAATTAATTTCTGCACTTTTCGTGCAATTTACACTAAAATCTGACATGCTTTTCTATGAAAGAAAAAAAGATGCCACTTCTAAGTTTCTAATTCCTAGATGTTAGACTTCTCTGAAGGTGAATTCACTTATTTTTAAGCTAGTAGCAAATTTAACACTCAATCTAAACTTGCAAAGCTGTTTTTGAAAGTTCATTTTCACTTCAATTGCAGAACTGAAATTCTCTCTGTAGGGGCACCACTGGCAAGCAGGAGAAGTGGTACCAAAGCCTGTTCCACAGCTAGTGCTCACCCTGGCAGCTTTGCTGAGAGCCCTTCTTAGGCATGTCCAGTCTAGGGGGAGATGTTTTTGTTCTCACCACAGCACCATGTGGTGACATCCGGAAGCTTGGGATCTCTGCAGCTTCTCCCAGACACAGTGACTTTCCCGTTGCTCCTGGTTAATGATGCAGCAGAGCCCTGGGCAGGGAGGCCTGTGCCTGATATGCAGAACATCACAGCTAAGCAAAAGCTGTGGCTCGCTCCAGATGGGCAGGGCTGGCTGCGGCCCTCGCACCAGTTCAGCAGGATTTGCCTCTGTTTCTGTGGTCCATTGCCACACCTGCCCCAGACACTCCCGTCCAAGCACTCTGAGTCTGAGTTCTTCAGTGGTCTCTGACCTGTCTGCCAAAACCCTACTGAGGAGATTTGAGGAATGGCAAGGTCCACATGGCAGAGCCTCAGCACTTTGCTGGTCAGATGGCCAACAATGATGGGTGGAATTTGAAACAAGAGGCCCAGATGGGATCGAATCCCAGGAATACCAAAGAAGTGTCCTCAGGATTTGTATAATCTCGTTGTATAGATGACCCCTAGTCCTAATCCAGGACCCATATTCTCTGAGTGGATGATTGATCTTTTGAAAGAGCCAGTGGTTTTCCCACAGTGGGATGCATCACATTAAAATTAATCAACAGAATAGAAATTAAAGCTGAAACTAAGCTGAACATAAATTATTATCTTCTTTGGGGAGACACCTACATGGTCCATGAGTGCAGTGTGTGAAGGCAGTGGTCCCTGCAGGTTTCCAGCACCAATGCCTCCCTGCTGGATGAAGACGTGTAACCATGCAGGCCTTCCAGGCCAGGGTCTCCTCTTCTGTGAATGGGGACAATGGCACCCTTCTCACAGGGCTGTTCTCAGAGAATGGAACTAAAGTGCTCAGTGAGCACCGAATTTTCAGTGAACGTTAAGTGCAGAGAAGCTCTTACTGTCAGAAGAGTGCAGAAGGCGTTTGTCCGTCCTTCAGGTCCTGGAAGTGAGTGGGTATGGACTCCCCACACAAAGGTCCCTGGGGAAAGGATGGTCTCAGCAGATGGGAGCTAAGTGTGGAAAGCTGAGTGTATGGAGCAGGACAGAGGCACTCACCAGGACTGAGTCTACTGCAGAGTTAAGGATTGGGTGGAACTGAGCGAAAGGCTCTACCGCCCAGAATCTCTACTTCCACACTGGGAAGGTGGGGAGAGCTTTTCGTAGAAGACAGATTTATTCTGAGAATTGACTGAGACAGCGTGCGTGAAAGCCGTCAGCAGAGCCCGTGTTACTGAGGGGGCTGCACGCGCTGTGGAGGGGTTGGAGAGTGGAAGCCCACTGCTCTCGTGTGCCTGGCTGTGGGCTAAGCTGCGGGACTGGGGTGGGGGTGCAGAGGAAATGTGGCCTGTCACCCCAAGACTCAGCCTGCCAGCGAGGGACTATCATGCCGTTTTCTTGCTTTGCCTTGAACTCTCATGTTGTGTACAATGAAGAATATAAAGACATGGACTTCTGGGTATGAGCCTTGTGTACGGACCCCAAAAAGCCAGAAAGTTTGAGTTTGGAAAGGTAGTATGGTGGCTTTGACACCAGGCAAGTCAGTGGCAGCCTGGGCAAGCCAACACTTCTGCATTTCCTGAATGTTTAAGTCAGTCTCACAAGCTTATTTTGAAAATTAGAGATAATGCCTGTACAGGAGCTGACTCCTGAAGAGCACTAGATATTAAAAAAAACCTGTTATTATTGTAACCAGAACCAACGCAGTTCTCTGCTCCAGCCTAAGGGCCTGGCTCCACAGGGTGGCATCTACTAGGAGCTAAACACAGCCCCAGCAAGCGAGAGAGGAATGTGAACATGTACTGCCTCGTCTCTGGGGGAGCGAGGAAGAGGGACAGGCCAGAGTGCACCACATACAGGAAGGACCCTTATGCTCCCTTCATCTGGTCCTCTCCCTGAATGCTGTGGCTCACAATGGCTGTTCATCACCATCATCTCCTGGCACTCCTACAACATCTCTGCCCCTGTGTCACTCCCCTCTCACATCAGGCCTCTGATAAAACCACTTGGTCTGCTTTCATCTGCTCATCTGCATCTCCTCTTCATGCCTCACCCACCCAGCACAACTAGGTCCTGACCTAATGCTGACCAAGCAGGCAAGGGATCTTTCCTCCGAGAGCAGAGATGGGGACGCTCACTGCAAATGCATACATGCATGTATAGATGCACACGTGTGTTTATACACACATTCAGACATGCACACATGCACATACACACACATGCGCACAGAAACACATGCACACACATGCACATGCACACACGCACAAGCACACACACACATGCACATAAACATACACGCACACACACAAATGTATATATCTTTGTCCCACGATCCGTCCTTTGTATTCTTCACCTATTTGTCTGACCCCTACATCCATCATTAGATTTCTCTGTCTCCAGCCCTCACTCAAACATCCCTCCCTTTGCTGCCTTGGCCAAGCTCTGCCTGCTAAGGACTCCTACCCCGGGGCCCCTCTGGTGCCCAGTGGTCTGCAGATGTGGCCTTGTACTTGTTACATAACTGTCTGTTTCTCCTCTGACTCTGTGACTAGAGAGTGTTTCAAAGGCAGGCACTAGGTATGAGTCATCTTTGCCTCTGCAGCAATTTCTACAATATCTAGGGCATAGTAAACTCTCATATAATGAATCAAATAATGAACAAATGAAGTAAATAAAATTACTATATGAATAATGCAGGGAAAAAAGAACATTGCTGGTATGTATATAATTAACTCAAGGATATGATTACTACATATGAACGCAAGATATTGTGTAAGTCAGAAAGTGACGTGGCTCACTGTCAGATCAGGGCATGTACAGATTCCTGTAGTATAAACGCCACAGAAAATATGTGCTAGATTAAGCCCAGCATCATTTTTTAAACATCTTTGAGATGTCAGTGATGTACAGTAAAATACCAAACCATAAGTGTACAGCTTGTTGAAGTTTTACACATGTGTGCTTGTGTAGCCACCATCAGATGAGATACAGAACACAACCTCCACCAAAAAAAAGAGAGAACACAGTGTGCTTCTTCATCAGAGAACCACTCCAGAGCACTGCTTCTAGCAATCATGGACCATCTTTCTGAAGGAAAGCCCATCCCAGGTGAGGCTGGAGAGCAGTGAGACCTGTTTGTATCTCACCCTGAATCCCAGTGCCCTGTGGACCAGGCTACCAGTGGATCTGTGTTCCTAGAAATGACATGTTGAAGTCCTAACCCCCAGTATTTTTTAATGTGACCTTATTTGGAAATAGGGTTTTTGCAGGTGTAATCAATTTAAGATGAGGTGGTTAGGCTAGTCCCTCAGAACCTTCCAAAGGACCCGACCTGCAGGCACATTTGGTATGCCTTGGCTGTGTCCCCACCCAAATCTCAACTTGAATTGTATCTCCCAGAATTCCCATGTGTTGTGGGAGGGACCCAGGGGGGAGGTAATTGAATGATGGGGGCCAGTCTTTCCCCTGCCATTCTCTTGACAGTGAATAAGTCTCACAAGATCTGATGGGTTTATCCGGGGTTTCCACTTTTGTTTCCTCATTTTTCCCTTGCTTCTGCCATGTAAGAAGTGCCTTTCACCTCCCGCCATTATTATGAGGCCTCCCCAGCCATTTGGAAGTGTAAGTCCAATTAAACCTCTTTTTGTTCCCAGTTTCAGGTATGTCTTTACCAGGAGTGTGAAAATGAACCAATATGGTAAATTGGTACCAGTAGAGTGGGGTGCTGCTGAAAAGATACTGGAAAATGTGGAAGTGATTTTGGAACTGGGTAACAGGCAGAGGTTGGAACAGTTTGGAGGGCTCAGAAGAAGACAGAAAAATGTGGGAATGTTTGGAACTTCCTAGAGACTTGTTGAATGGCTTTGCTCAAAACGCTGATAGCAATATGGACAATAAGGTCCAGGCTGAGACGGTCTCAGATGGAGATGAAGAGCTTATTGGGAACTGAAGCAAAGATGACTCTTGTTATGTTTTAGCAAAGATACTGGCAGCATTTGTCCCCTGCTCTAGAGATTTGTGGAATTTTGAGCTTGAGAGAGATGATTTCGGGTATCTGGTGGAAGAAATTTCCAAGCAGCAAAGCATTCTAAAGGTGACTCGGGTGCTGTTAAAACCATTCCATTTTCAAAGGGAAACAGCCTAGAAATTCAGAAAATTTGCAGCCTGACAATGCAGCAGAAAAGAAAATAATAAAAACAGTTTTTGAGGAGAAATTCAAGCCGGCTGCAGAAATTTCATTAAGTAGCAAGGAGCCTGATATTAATCCCCGAGACCATGGGGAAAATATCTCCAGGCCATGACTGAGACCTTCATGGCAGCCCCTCCCACCACAGGCCCAAGGCCCAGGAGGAAAAAGTGGTTTCATGGGCTGGGCCCAGGGTCCTCATGCTGTGTGCAGCCTAGGGACTTGGTGCCCTGCATCCCAGCCACTACAGCCACGGCTGAAAGGGGCCAAGGTAGAACTCGAGCCTTGGCTTCAGAGGGTGGAAGCCCCAAGGCTTGGCATCTTCCACGTGGTATTGAGCTTGCCAGTACACAGAAGTCAAGAATTGAGGTTTGGAAATCTCTGCCTATATTTCAGAAGATGTATGGAAATGCCTGGAAGTCCAGGCAAAAGTTTGCTGCAGGAGTGGGGCCCCCATGGAGAACCTCTGCTAGGGCAGTGCAGAAAGGATATGTGGGGTTGGAGCCCCCACACAGAGTCCCTACTGGGGTACTGCCTAGTAGAGCTGTGAGAAGAGGGCCACCATCCTCCAGACCCCAGAACAGTAGATCCACCAACAGCTTGCACCACGTGCCTGGAAAAGCTGCAGGCACTCAACACCAGACAGTGAAAGCAGCCGTGAGTATCCTGCAAAGCCACAGGGGCAGAGCTGCCCAAGACCATGGCAACCAACCTTTTGCATCCACATGACTTGGATGTGAGACATGGAGTCAAAGGAGATCATTTTGGAGCTTTAAAATTTGACTGCCCCCCTGCGTTTTGGACTTGCAAGGACCCTGTAACCCCCTTTGTCTTGGCCAATTTATCCCATTTGGAACGGCTGTGTTTACACAATACCTGTACCCGCATTGTATCTAGGAAGTAACTAGCTTGCTTTTGATGTTATTGGCTCATAGGTGGAAGGGACTTGCCTTGTCTCAGATAAGACTTTGGACTGTGGACTTTTGGCTTAATGCTGACATGAGTTAAGACTTTGGGGGACTATTGGGAAGGCATGATTGGTTTTGAAATGTGAGGATTTGAGATTTGGAGGGGACCGGGTGGAATGATATTGTTTGGCTGTGTCACCACCCAAATCTCAACTCAAACTGTGTCTCGCAGAATTTCCACATGTGGGAGGGACCCAGGGGGAGGTAATTGAATCACGTGGGCTGGTCTTCCCCGTGCTAGTATCGTGATAGTGAAATTAGTCTCACGAGATCTTATAGGTGTATCAGGGGTTTCCACTTTGGCTTCATCCTCATTTTTCTCTTACTGCTGCCATGTAAGAAGTGCCTTTCACCTCCCACCATGATTCTGAGGCCTCCCCAGTCATGTGGAACTGTAAGTCCAATTAAACCTCTTTTTGTACCCAATTTCGGGTATGTCTTCATCAGCAGCATAAAAAAGAACAAATACAACGTTGATTTTTGACTTCTGACCTCCAGAAAGGTGGAAGAATAAACATTTGTCCTGTCAAGCCACCCAACTGGTGCTTATTATGACAGTCCCAGGAAACTAACATACACCCATGATGTGTGCCTCTGACAGCTGACACCTTGCTTGCATTTGTTGATAACTGTCTCGCAAACCTACTGTCTTAGTCCGTTCTCATGCGCTGTAAATAACTGCCTGAGACTGGGTAACTTATAAAAGAAAGAGGTTTAATTGACTCACAGTTCTGCAGGGCTGGGGAGGCCCCAGGAAACTTACAATGATGGCTGAAAGGGAAGCAAACATGTCCTTCATATGGTGGCAGCAAGGAGAAATGCTGAGCGAAGTGAGGGAAAAACCCTTATAAAACCATCCGATCTCATGAGAACTCACTCACTACCATGAGAACAGCATGGCGGAACTGCCCCTGTGATGTAATTACCTCCCACAAGATCCCTCCCCCAACATGTGGGGATTATTACAATTCAGATTACAATTCAGGATGAGATTTCAGTGGGGACACACAGAGCCTGACCATATTACCTACTATGCTCAGACTCGTGAACAATTGGTAATTGTGGGTACAGTGAAACATTCAACAATCATGGAGCTAAGAGCCTCAGGGAACCCTCATGTTGTCTCTCCCATACCCATGTTCTGTGAATAGCTGACTAGTTAAGAGTCAGATATGTTACCTATTTTGATGATGCTTTCTCATACCAAGGTTTTACTCAAAACAAAAGTGACAAAGTAGCAAAATTCCATACCTTTTCTATTCACTGGTTATCTGGAAGAATAACCCATGGCCCCTTAGCCACGGGATTGCTATAGGATTATTTTCTAGTTATCTGCATGTCATTAGATGTCTTCCTCTGATCCTCCATGTCCTCATCAAGTAAATCTACTTCTTATTTTGAAGGAGGATGGTCACATGTCAATCAACTTGCATGGTCTAGTAACATCACTTATTCTCCAATGAGCATGGATATATTTTATTCATTCATTGAACTGGCAGATAATTATTGTCTACCAAGACCCTAGAACAGTAATCAGCAATGAAGAGAATATCAAGAAGTATCTATGACACCTGTTTTTAGAAAGCACACCTTGTCATTGGAATGGCACAAACTGTAAATTAAATATAGAGAAAAATTTTAAGCCAAATGTTTAGAATTTTCTATAGATTTCATTCTTGAAATCTCTGCAGATCTTACTGGTTCTGTTCAATGTGTAACACACTGTATTCCTTGAACAGAAACTTCCACTGGAAATCTTCATTGCCTGTTGGAAAGAGCATTTAGACTTGGAATCACCATAAGATGGAGGAGAGAACTCTGGGTGTTGCATTAGGGATCTCGTGGTCACCATGATGCTGTTGTAAACATTGGACATATTTTCATGGTAATCAATTTATCTGTGGTTTCATGGTTATACTTAGCCTGAAAATGCTGAATCATATAGAGACATTGAGAGCTTATCTGTGAAGGACAAGCATTCATAGAATAAAATTTGTGCAACTGGTAAAGAAGTCCTTGTTCTTTTCTGAAGAGTCCAGAAGTCTCGTAACTGCATCTGCTCCAGCCAGGTATGCCTTATGCTGTGTACCGGTCACAGCCCTTGTTGGCAACCTTTCTCTCAAGTTAACACTCAATCCTCTTAGACCATTGAGAATGCAGTACATACCCTCTCCAGTGGAAAACATTTTTATCAGCACAAGTTTCCAAACTTCTTTTTCATATGGATTCAAATCCCAATTAACTGTACAGAATTTACAGCTGAGAGTTATATTAAACTGTCTCAGGTAGGCTATGCTACAGCCGAACCATCTAATAAATTCAAATTACTTTTAAAGTATCTAATCTTATTAATAATTTATGGTATTTCAGAATATAAGCATGTTCCTTTGGTCATAGTACATGCAAGCACTCTAGCCACTATTGACCTGAAAACATAGAAATTAAATTTAGTTGTCTGAAACTCATTCTTATTTTTAAAAGTTTGCACTGATCAAGTTATTGGATCTCACCCAGCAAAGATAGGTCCCTTTCTGTAGGTAATTCAGAAAGCATTTGAAATTGTAGAAAGAATCCAAGAAAAGCACGTAACACGTTCATGCCTTTGCTACCCCACCTGCTCTGCTTGGACGTGTGTCTCTCCTCCCCCCGTCTAGGACACCTGACAAATCTTTCCCCTGAAGCCCCGCCTCCTCCCTCTAGTTCTTCTGTGTTCTCATTGCATCCTGTATGGTCTTTTACTGCAACACTTTGGTTATGCATATCTGTTTATACATCTCTGTCTCCCTTTGATACTCTAAATACCATTACACAGGGACTATGTGTTATTTGCATGTGTGGCTGTAGCACCTATGATTGATGCCTGACACACGGTGGAAACACACACATAGTTTCTCATCAAATGAATGAATAAATGAATGGACTGTATGGACCCCCAAAATTGTCTTGCAATGACTGAGGTAACCTAGCATCATATGACTCTTTTACAGAATTATAGCTTAACCCATAATGATCCCCTCCTCTGTGCAAGGTGTGTGATTAACACTTCAATGAACATGTCTGACAATTTTCCTTGTCTGAGTTGAGGAAATATGTGAGAAGTAATTGCATTTTCTCCTTTCACCATTTTGTTTCATCATTTTCACATAAATGGTCATGAGGTTGAAAGAATTGCGCAGATGTCTAACTGCTTGAAGGTTTGTGGAGGCATTAGGTTTTAATGCCTCAATAGAGCCCTTTATAGCCAACCACAGGAATTAATCTTCAGAGTTGATTAATGTTTGGATATAGTCTACTGTCTCAATCATCTCTACCTAGAATTAGATGGGGAGTTACAAGACAGGCAAATTATTTTCTCTATGTCCCTGTTCCCACTTACTCTTCAGCCAGGTTTTCCAGAAGAATGAGACTCCATGGAGCTGGATCCAGAGTGCCCACCCGGCAGCTGTGCTTGCAGAGTGCCCCCATCCCAGGAGCAGCAACTGTGCCATGGGATTGAGATGCTGACAAACCTAAAAAGCATTCTTTTGGGGCACCTGACAGTACTAGTTATCTGACATTGGGATTTCTGCAGAATTACCTAAGTACCAGCCAGAAAAATAAAATAAAATAAAATAAGAAAAAAAAATCATTTTTTGTCCCCAAGTTGCTAATGAATGGGAATGTCCCATATCTCCTCACTTAGGAGCAAAATTGTAGAAAGCTTCCCCAGAAAAGGTCATCTTATTCAGGTAGAAATGGTTTTTGCCACGTAGGAAGGATATTTTACTTACAAATGATGAGTTCATGTGTATCAGTGGGTCTTTGCTCTTGCTGCTACTATAAGTTGCCAAGCAAATCCTCTTGTCTAGATATTTTGAATCAGAATTTTCCAGTCTTTGAGCAAGAGCAGAGCAGAATTGATATTTTATTCACCTTGTGTCCTTCAAGGTAATAACAATACCTGGAATGTTGAGGGAAAATATTAGTTTTTAAAGTTTCAGGAAATTATGGAGGAAATTGTGTAGATAAACCATCAGAATCCTAACACCTGATATAAACTCATCCATCATTTCCCCTGTGCATATTTTCTCACATTTGAAACCAAAAGAGAATCCACAAATAAAAGAAAGACATTTTATTTCACATATTTGGTAAATATGTTGAGTCTTTCCATAACTTGTTAATATTTTTAGAGGTGAGTAAAAAGCTTGATGTTGTTAAACAGCAGAAATTAGGAGGCTTCTAAGGCTAGCAAGAGTTTAGAAATGATTGGATTGGTAGCTGACATTAATTACTTATACTGACTCATAAAAATCATTGTAGAAAAATTTCTCAAAGAGCCAAAATCAATCAACCAACACATATTTAGTCCCATCATAGGGCTAACACTGAGTCAACTGTGTGAGGTACTTTGGTCATAGGGTTTATGCTGCCAGCGGGGTTACAATTAACAGAAAGATATAAGATATGCATCTTAAAAATATTTAGGCCAGGCACAGTGGCTCATGCCTGTAATCCCAGCACTTTGGCATGCTGAGGCAGGTGGATCACAAGGTTAGGACATCAAGACCAATCCGGCCAACATGTTGAAACCCTGTCTCTACTAAAAACACAAAACTTAGCTGGGCCTTATGGCATGCTCCTGTAGTCCCAGGTACTCAGGAGGCTGAGGCAGGAGAATTTCTTGAACCCAGGAGGCAGAGGCTGCAGTGAACCGAGATAGCACCACTGCACTCCAGCCTGGGCAACATAGACAGACTCCATCTCAAAATAATAATAATAATTAAATAAGTCATTGCCTTTTGTAGGACAGATAATTCTAAATTATAGCATGATGTCATTAGATGTAAATCGTGCATGGACTAAAAAATATCAAACCATACAAAGATAAATCAGACAGGAGTCTCTCTCCCAATGAGCTGTCTTTTAGGGAATCATCTCACAAAGGTTCTGGGCACTATGTTTGGTAGATAGCCTAATGAATGCAATAGTCATACAAAAATCATCAGAGTTGGAAGGTGCATCCGTAAAGGTATGGTCAAGGCACAGAGCAGAGGGAGTGGGGTGGGTTCCAAGGCGACTTCACAAAGCGGAGTACAGCCTGAGCTGGATTCGGAAGCTAATCTGGCCATCTTGGGGCAAAGGCAAGGGTGCACAGAGAAGGGGCCACAAGGCATCTTCCAGAATCTGCTTAAATGTGGTTGACTGCAATGAGGAGTTCAGGGCAGAGGTGCTGACTAATGAGGGTGAAGAGCACGTCAGCCAGGGTTCTGCAGAAAGAAACACGTGTGTGTATATGTTTGTGTGTGGGTTGAATAAGCAGATTTATTATACATAATTGGCTCATGTGATTATCATGGCTGGCAAGTCCTAGGATCCACAGGGTGAGTCAGCACGCTGGAGAACCAGGAGAACTGATGTGTAGTACCAACCTAGGAAGACCAAATGCTTTCGTTTGAGTCCAAAAGAAAAAGAAAAAGAAAAGAAAAGAAAAGAAAAGAAAAGAAAAGAAAAGAAAAGAAAAGAAAAGAGCCATCCACAGGGTGAGTCAGCACGCTGGAGAACCAGGAGACCTGATGTGTAGTACCAACCTAGGAAGACCAAATGCTTTAGTTTGAGTCCAAAAGAAAAAGAAAAGAAAAGAAAAGAAAAGAGCCAATGTCCCAGTTTGGAAAGTTGCCAAGCAGGAAAAATTATCTCTTACTCCAGAGAGGGTCTTTTTGTCCTATTCAGGCCTTCAATGGATTGGATGAGGCCCACCCATGCTAGAGAGAGAAATCAGTGTTTCCAAGTCTACTAATTCAGATGTTAATCTCATCAGAAAACATCTTCACAGAAACAACCAGAATAATGTTTGAGCAAACATCTGGGCACCCATGGCGCAGTCAAGTTGACACATAAAATTCACCTTCACAGAGAGGTTGAGTCATGGATGGCCTGATATACCCTGGCAAGACGTTTGAACTTGATCTTCTCTGTGACAGACAGGAGCTATCAAAGTTTCCAGCTACGAATGATGTCATTGTGTTAGCTGGTGTGCAAGCTGGTGCTACTGCTTTGTGGAAGCAATTCCACTTAGATGCCCTAGGCTGATATCACTTCTAGATTACCGGCTTCATGAAATAAGTGAAATTCAGCTTAAGAGTTTTAAGTCTTTTTATTTATTTATCATTTGGATGGGCAACAGGCAGAAGTGAAAAAGGCCCAGTTGCCCAGAATTCAAAAGTGCAGATTACAAAACAATAGAGGCCAAGAACAACAAGTGTGGAAAAAGCATATAAATACCTATATACACACATAAGTATATACATAATACACATGCATATGGACATGGACACTCATACATGCAAATACGTGTTTATATTCAAAATATACAAGCATACGATATTCATATACACATTCCTCCCATTCTCCTTAGCATCTTAGAACAGATAAGATGACATATGCTAAAAGAAAGATGTTTCTAATGAATTCTTTTCCTTTCTGAACATTCCTCCTACAAGAAAAAAGTCCAGTCTTAAAATCTGTCTGCTGAGAGTTTTGTACACAACAGACACTGTGATCAGCACTTTACATTTATTTTCTTAGTTAACCATCACATCGAATGCTGGAAGGAAGTTCTCTTCTTGTACTAGTTGAGGACAATGAAGAAGTTCACCTGAGATTAAACAGTTTTCTATAGTAACATACAAGCAGAAACTATTGTGGACAGAAAACATGTTGAGTTGGACTTTTCGAAGCCCTTATATTCAACCTGGAGGAAACCTAGCAGGAAGGCATGAGGTCTTCTGACTTCCAACGTGGAACATGTTTCAAAGACAACTTACTGACTCATCACTTTACAGGGAAGGAACTCACCCAGGTTAAAAGGTGGACAGAGTGAGACCTGGAATTTGAACCAAGCCCCCAGATCATTTACCACTGGCTTACAGCTTCATAGGGGATGGTCACACAAGTGGGCAGCATTAGACCTGGAGCAGGAGCCAGCCTCCTGCCTCCCAGCCTAGTGCTCTTTTCATTACCCCAAAAAATTCAGGGTTGCTTAGACATAGTGTAAAAACAAACGTTTTGACTAAACCAGAGAAGAAGCAAATTTGAATGTCACCTTGTACAAAATCGGGGCCTCAGAGAAGTCCTGTGTAAGTCACACCTTTGGAAATGCAATTGCTTACGGGCCTTTCACTGGGGCTCTGGTCATTCAGTGTGTCCGGTGGCTCTTTGACTTTACCTTTCTTTTCCTCTCACCTGTAGTCAAATAACTCATATTTATAAGTAAAATATAAAATACTGTGATGCAGAGTAGTGAAATTTGGATTCATGCTGCTTTAGAGGTCTGTGAACCAACAGCAATTACACCAGAAATTGAGGTGTGGGAGGATGCATGTGTACTTGGGTTGTGTGTTTCTAAATTTTGAGGTGATAAAATACATACTGTTTTTTTCAACTTTTAAAGAAATGTATCCAAAATGACAGAAAACACTAAAGCATGGAAACTTTCAGGCCAATAATGGTAACTGATGGAAAAATAGGTATAATTTTTTATAGTGATAGTTTTAGCACATAAGTTGTGTTATAATTTAGACAAGAAGAAAAAACTTAGAAGTAAATGAACCTGACCATCTAGGCACATTCTGTGCATTTATAAAGCAGCCTAGAGGAGTTTCCAGGGTTAGGACAGCAAAGCCCGTCTAAACCCCCTTCACTAGTGCCCCAGGAGTCCTGGGGTCTTGGTTCTGCAGGACCTCAACACTGACCTATTCCAGTGTCTATTCAGTACTTTGATTGTTATTGTAACTCTATGCACCTCTGTGCTCATCTCCCCTCATGACTTCTCACTCCCACTTTGCAAGCCTTTGATTAAATTATGCTGCTCCTTTCTTGAGGTACATGCTGCTGTCCTATGGCAATTTGTCCCATGATATGGTTTGGCTGTGTCTCCACCCAAATTTCATCTTGAATTGCAGCTCCCATAATCCCCATGTGTGCTGGGAGGGACCAGAGGGAGGTAACTGAATCATGGCGGCTGGTCTTTCCTGAGCTGTTCTCATGATAGTGAACATGGCTCACAAGATCTGATGGTTTTATAAAGGGCAGTTTCCCTGCACATTCCCTCTTGCCTTCCACCATGTAAGACGTGACTTTGCTCCTCATTCGCCTTCCACCGTGATGGTGAGGCCTCCCCAGCCATGTGGAATTGTGAGTCCATTAAACTTCTTTTCTTTCTAAATTACCCACTCTCAGGTATGTCTTTATTAGCAGCATGAGAACAGACTAATATATCCCGATCCTCCCCTCCAGGGTTACACAGATCTATCCAGTCCCCTTCCTCACGATGCCACATTTCCCTGTGTCCACCCTCCTCCAGGTTCTAGTCCTCCTCTTCTTTCTGTGACCATCCCATGCCTTGCTATTTGGTCTCCCATTGACATCTCATCAGGTGAAGACTGACACCAGACATTAGCCCTTATCAGCTCAAAGAGGATGGGAGGGCCATCATTCATTGACTCATAGCCAATAAATAATCATTTCTTCATATTCTCTCTGGAAGACAGGGAATTTCCCTTATGTCTCACATGTCCAGTTATTTTTATGGACACAAAAATAACATTTTATATTTTTCCGTAATGTATTTTATTTTGAAGTTCACAGCCTTCTACAACAACCCTCCCAGAGGTAGCCACTGGAAAATGCCAAAGAAGGCAACTACGAGCCCAGAGGGGAGGCCTGGTAGGGCCTTACCTGTTGTGACAAATTTGACTACTTTTTATTTCTTTTGTTATATTTGTCCAAATTATTGTTCTCCTTGTTTTTGACTGGCCTCATTTTCTACCATTTGCCCACATGTGGCTAGCTGTGGTGTTGGAATATACTTTAGCATGAAGTTGGGAAAACTATAGGAAAGAGGGAAGAAAAAAATATGCCTCATTCCTTTGAAGGTGTCACCGTTCTATTCACCTACTTGTAAGTTTAATTCTAATTTCCCCTTAATATCCCTGTTTTCTGCCTCCAATGTTCTTTACCTTTTCTGTCTCTTTCCTCCTCCTTTCTAGCTACCAGCTTCCCTTGAAAATGGCTTGTCAGAATTCTAGATAGAGGCACAGGATGAGGGGCCACTCTACATCATGTCATGAAAGGGACCCGCAGGAGGTAACTGAATCATGGGGGCGGGCCTTTCCCGTGCTGTTCTCATGATAGCAAATATGCCTCACGAGATCTCATGGTTTTATAAAGAGCAAAATCTAATGGTTTTATAAAGGGACACAGGACGAGGGGCTACTCTACATCATTTTGCCCCACTCGGAACCCACAGTCCTGTACAAGGAGTAAAGGCCCTGGAGCACGATGTTAACTTTCTCTACAGAAGTGTCTTGTTGCATGAAACGTGGAACAAAATGATCGTAATACACATCACTAGCCAAAATAATCCAGAGGTGCCAGCCTATTTAAATATTCTCATTTTAGGACAAAAATTGGAGGCTTAAGAGATACTTGAAAATAGTGATTTTTATTTAAATTCAACATTTTCTGCTTATGTTGACTGTGACTACAGTCCCATAATGTATTCCTAGGCTCCAAATATGAGTTATATTAAACCGTTTTCTGAGAAAAGTGCAACATAATATGTCTTTTATTCCCATGGGTTCCTCTTCATATTGCCTCACCACCAAAAGACCAAAAATACATTTTAATTAATAATAAGAAGAATTACTATGAAGTTATTAGTGACTTTGTTCATATATGAGAAACAGGACAGTTTTAACATGCAATACATTCCTTAAATAATCATTTTATGGATATCCGAAGTAATTTACAAAGGTAAAAATTGATAACGTGCAATTCTCAGTCATGTCACGCATCATTGATTTCACCTATAAACACTTACTACACTTGTAATTAACCAAGTTAACCATATTCATAAAGATTGTCAATAGAAAGGGAAAGTCCTGTTTTCACATAATAAAAAATTACTTTTTTTGTTTATTTTCCGGTATTCTCTTCTGCTCCATATATGCTTAGAGTTTTGATCCCCTGTGTGTTCTCTGTATTTTCAGCAGAAAGAATAGTTTCTCAAAGGAAATATAGATGGGTGGGGGAGGGAACTCGACATGTCTTATATTTTTTAACATTCTATACCTAGAATAAAGCTGATATATGTATTGTATTGAAATGACATTACTCTGCAAATGACATCATTATATGTTTAGAAATTCCAAACGTTTCTGTAAGCTATTAGAATTAAAAAGTCAAATTTCTATATAACAAAATAAAAATTAAAAAATGTTTATAGTAGCAAAACAACTCACATAAAATATATAAAAATAAATCAAACAAAAGTGTGTAAGACCTCTACACTGAAAACTATGCAACATTAATGAAAGCAATTCCACTGCTGGGTATATACCCAAAGGAAATTCAATCAGTAAGTCAAAGAGATATCTGCACTCCTGTGCCCATGGAAGCACTACTCACAACACCCAAGATATGGAATCAATCCAAGGGCTCATTGATGGATGAATAGATAAGGAAAATCCATGAGTTCATCGATGGATGAATAGATAAGGAAAATGTGGTATAAAAACAAATTTCAGCCTTAAAAGAGAAGGAAATCCTGTCATTTATAACTACAGAAACCTGGAGGGCATTATGTTAGGTTAAATAAGCCAGGCACAGAAGGACAAGTATGAGGTAAGGTCACTTATATATGGAAGCTAAAAAAGGTGAACTCCTGGAAACAGGCAGGAGAACGCTGATTGTCAGGAGCTGGTGGGAAGGGGGTTGGGGAGATGTTGGTTAAGAGGTGTCAACTTTCTGCTACACAGGAGAAGTAAGTTCAAGAGACCTATTGTACAACATGGTGATTCTACTTAATAACAGTGTGTCGCACACTTGAAAATTGCTGAGAGAAGATTAAGTGTTCTCACCACAAAAAATAATACATATGTGAGGTAATGCATATGTTAATAGCTTCATTTAGCAATTCCACGATGTCTACATATTTTTAAACATCGTGTTGTACATCCCAAATGTGTATAATTTTTATTTTTAAAAACTGGCCAGGTGCAGTGGCTCATGCCTATAATCCCAGCACTTTGGGAGGCCGAGGTGGGTGGATCATCTGAGGTCATGAGTTCAGGACCAGACTGGCCAACATGGTGAAACCCCGTCTCTACTAAAAATACAAAAATTAGCCAGGTGTGGTGGTGCACAGCTGTAGTCCCAGCTACTCGGGAGGCTAAGGCAGGAGAAGCGCTTGAACCCAGGAGGCGAAGATTGCAGTGAGCCGAGATTGCGCCACTGCACTCCAGCCTGGGCAATAATAGAGAGAGACTCAATCTTGAAAAACAAATAAATAAATAAGTAAATAAATAAGAAGAAAAGAAATTATATACCTAAATATACAGAGATATATATTATGCTTATAGCTTAAAAATAATTACTATATTAATTTCAATTTTTCCCCCAACAATCTGTACATATGATGCAATTACAATTAAAATTCTAGCAGGCTTTTTACAGACTGTTGAAAAATTGTTCCTAAAATTCCTGTGGCAATGCAAATGGTCAAGGCAATCTTGAAGAACAAGAATAGAGCTAAGTTACTGAAGCTACCAGATATTCAGATCTGATCTAAAGCTGCAGTAATTAAGACAGAAGAGTCAGATAGAGAAACAGACCAATAGAACAGAACAGAGTGTAGAATCATCCCACACACAAAATTCACCTGGCTGATGAGAACTGTGGTGCTGCAGAATGTGGACAGGCAGGAGTCGTTTTAATAAATTGGGCTGAGTAAACAGGAAAAAGCAGAAAATTCATCTTAACCTTCACTTCACCAATTCACAGAAACAAACCAGATGCGCTGCACATCTAAATGTAAAAAATGAAACAGTAAAACTTTTAGAATACATAGATCATTCCTATGTTTTGGAGTAAGGAAACATTTCTTAAATAGGACAAAGCTATGAACAAAATATTAATACATTTGACTATAATAAGATTAAGTACTTCTGTTTATCAATGGGCATTAAAAGAGTGAAAAGACAAACCATAGAGTTAAATGTTTGCAATGCATCCATCCAACAAAAGATTCACACAGAGATATATAAAGAACTTGAATGAATCAATAAGAAAAAAAGCAAAGAAAAATCAATAAAAAATAGGGAAGCAAGTTAAATAGCTATTTCATAAAAGCATGTGAAGATGGCCAATAAATATGTTCAAAGATGTTGAACTTCCCTTGTCACCAGGAACATGCAAATTACATTTTCAGTGTGGCATTGCTGTATGACCAACAGAAAAACTAAGATGAAGAAAGACTTTCCATGCTGCGTTATGTAGAAGGCATGGAAGCACCAGGACCCTTGTTCATTTCTGGTGGGTGTACAAATTGTTAAAACTTTGGAAAAGAGCTAGGTCAGTGTACACAATATTATTAGCAGCACTCTTTATCATAGCTCAAAACTGCAAACTATCCAAATACCCAGCACCTATACGATGGGTCCAAAAATTATGACAGAGCCACACAATGGAACTCTGAAGCAATGATGATGACTGGACCACAACTTCCTGCAACAATGTGGATACATCTCAGTAGCAAATGCCCCATAGGAGAGTGCACGGCCTCAGTTTATTCTACAAATTCCAGAAACTGGCAAAATCAACCGATGGTCTTGTGGGTCAGGACAGTGGTTACTCTTGGAGGAGGTAGTAATGGAAGAGATGGAGGGTGGCTTCCCGGATCCTGGCTGTCCTCTGGTTCTTGATTAGGGCTCTGGTGAATACAGGTGTGCTCCGTTTGTGAAAATCTATTGCACCATATGCTGTACACTTAGAGTTTTATAGTTTTGCTTACAGAGGCTATTCTTCAATAGAAGATTCCCCAAACTGAGTTCATATCAAACAAGATAATTTGATGAATTTAATGATTCTTTCAAACCTTTGATTTCTAAAACCAATTTTTTTGGCTTACTGGAGTTCAGAATTCTTGATGTTGCATGATAACCTTGCTCACATGAATCAGTTTAGACAAGCAATATTCACTCTGATTCCTAGAGAGTATTCAGTGTAAAATTCACACATTCACACACTTTTTTAGTACACTACTTTCAAGGTCTCAATAAATTTTGGCATACCTTCCTCTGTGACAAGAGGCATTTTTATGTGAAAGCTTGTACCTACATCATCTCTCAAAATGAAATGCAGATTGTGCTACATTTACATAAATGTGGTTACACTTGGGTCTTTTTAGGTCAGTTGTATAGACAGTAATGAACAAGGAAGTTCGTCAGTACCATTTTAGAAAAGTGAACTAGGCTGGTCACGGTGGCTCACGCCTCTAATCCTAGCACTTTGGGAGGCTGAGGCAGGTGGATTGCCAGAGCTCAGGGATTCGAAACCAGCCTGGGCAACATGGTGAAACCCCACCTCTACTAAAATTACAAAAAAATTAGCCGGGCGTGGTGGCGTGCTCCTGTAGTCTCAGCTACTCAGGAGTCTGAGGCAAGAGAATTGCTTGAACCCGGGAGGCAGAGGTTGCAGTGAGCCGAGATGGCGCCACTGCACTCCAGCCTGGGTGAAAGAGTGAGACTCCATCTCAAAAAAAAAAAAAAAAGATAAATTAATCAACTCCTGAGGAAATCGGAATGTTTTCTAAACAAGGTACTTTCCCTCAATAGGTATGAATCTACTTTTATTCCATGACACAACATGAAACTTGCTGTTTCTATGTGTCCCTCCCTCCAGCCTCTCCAGGAGAGGTGTGCGGTCAGCACCACACACCCCACATTCCCCAGGCAAGTGTTCAGGAGGTGAACGGGGCCCAGGTCCAGGCTACCCTCTGCCTTGGTGTGGGATACCTCTGCTCCATGCAAGGGGTGAATTTTCTTATTTGCAAAACATATTATGAGGGCCAGCCACATGTTATTACCTTTACTCAGTCCCTCTCTCCTATGTTTTTAAACAGTGATTTCAAGACATTTAGGAAAATATAGATTCCCCTTCTTGACACTTTGAAAGGGTTAGATGGTTTTGGTTTACAATGGCCTTATTATCTATGAATATCTTGTTCTGATCATGCATCAAAAAAAATGATGTCAAGCATATAGAGGTGATCTATTTTCCTATTCTGTAAGATGATTTGACTGCTGAAACAATAAATAACTATGTCCTTCAAATCTCTCTTTTTTTCTGCTTGTCCTTGTTTCTTTAATAGTGTTGATCTTTTTACCTACTCTTGCCAGTTCTCCCACCTCAACCTATGTTCATTCACACACACACACACACACACACACACACACACACACTCTCACCCAGCTTCTACCCCAAATCATGTGATAAGCATTTCTATTATTGAGATTTTTTTCTAGCACTTACACTTGTCATTTTTTACAGTCTAGTTTGGTGTTATGTTTCTTGTACCTGAATCGTGGAACTGTCTTTTTACTCAGACTTAGCTACGTATACAACGGCCCTGGCAAAGAGGAAGTCTGCCAAGCCATGGAGCGCTGAAGCAAATCCACGGACAGCCTCTTATTCTGGAACGCGTGTCGCTCTGATGCTGTAGTAATTAGGTGAACTTGAAGCAGTACTTGGATTTGAGAATTGTCCTTGAGTGTGTTCTGCAATAAATTATTTAAGTGAGATGTGGAGGAACTAATTGGTTAATAACCATAATTGGGATTAAAGAGTAATTTTGATTTTTAAAAGATGCTTATAAGGATAAATATTCAGTTGTCTCATTTTGCTATTAAAAAAAATAAGTCTCCTTCAATGACTTCATATAATGGGAAACACAGGTGGGCTAAATGCTACCCTCGTGTTGAGGTGACTAGCCGTTGTCAAAGCCCCTGCTGGGGGCAGGCTACTGGAGGCAAGCTGTTTGCCTGTGCTTTGCCCTAAGGATATTGACTATTATTATTTATGATTTATGTTGCTCAGTGAATGTACATTGTGCAGAGCAATAGATTAAATGGTGCTGAACAAAGAACACACTTCCAGCCCCCAGGAGGGGACTTAAAATGTAGACACTTAAGTGACACAGTTCAGGACTTGCATGGAGCTTGCGGGTGTGGGGCACCCTGAGCACAATGGCTGAGGGAGAAGTTGACTCTTTATTAAGGAGAGAAGAAAGCCGGCAATTGGGTCTGAGTTAGGCAGTGCATAAAAAAGAAAGCACAATACTGGCTTTAGGAGAAGAAAACAAGGCAACATAGGAAGAGAATTCAGACAGAAAAGAGGGACAAAACCAACTGAATTTGCTCTAGAGTTGCAGTAATCTTTCCAAAGACCACTCAGACACATTTAATAATTTATTTTTGAACTAGATCATCAGTATGGATTTTACCTATGTAGAGTTTGTGTCGTTTTTCTTATCAATGATTTGTAAGATTTTATAGTGTTAGTAAGCAACTAGATTACTACGTAGCTTTGCTTATATTTGGGTCTGTGTGATTCCAAGAATCTGCATCTTCTTTGTCTATCCCTTCATTGTATATAGCAGCTAGCCCAGTTCTTTGCACATAGTATGTGCTCAATAAGCATTTATAGATTGCCTGAGGATAGAATTCAGGTTTTTCCCTCTTTGAGTGGAAAAGGGAATGAAGATGGATCTTAAATTCCGATGTTTCAGGTGCTTGGTATCAGCAACATGTAGTCCGTAACTTCAGGGCTGCACTACTATGAACAAACAGATACTATGGAGGCAGGGCCAGTTGCACTAACTACCCAGAGGTTTAATTCAGAAGGTTTTAAAGCTATGCCCATAAATTCAGGACACATGCCAGGTCTAATTCTGGAAATTCTGGAAATAATCAATTCTGTTCACACGTAATAAGTAGTAGCACTTCATGACCAAATGCTGATGTTTGCTTTCTTATTCCTTTTTATAACCAAAGTCTTACTTCCCAAATGGTATCTCTTCCAAGACATTTCTAATCTGAAAGGAAGTCCAAATTGGCACAGGGATAGCAACTTCCTTGGCGCAAGTGACTATTTAGAAAGTAGTATTCTGAGTATTCTGCAGGGATGGTTTAAATAACTCGTGCTCATATTTGCATATTGCAATGGCAGGGCTTTGCTGTAAAGGAAAAACTGGTGACACTGAGTCAACTCCCTCTTATTCAAAGTCACAGCCTCTGCCTCTCAGTTGCTTCTTCGCACTGTGCTTAATACCAGGGCAAAAATTTACCTGCTTAGGAAAGCATCTTCACCTCGTGGCCTCTAAGAGAAAAAAAAACAAACTCCTTAGCCTGTCAGACAAAGATGCATAACTATTGGACCCAACCCACCACCTGACTTCACACCCACAGGGATCTGAGAGTGCTCTGTTCTGGGGGCAGGCACTCTCAGTGCTCTCTGACTGAAGCTCTGCTCCCCTCCACAGAAGGCCATTCCCAGACTTTTTTCCTTCTGCAAGTGCTGATGGAATATCACATTTAAAAGATTCTACAGTAGTTCAGGGAAAAAAAAAGGTGATACTTAGTAAGCATTACAGAAACATGTTCGGGCTAAATACAATCTAAAATATCAGTATTATCTAATTTACTTATTAGTAGGTTTTGCTAAACTTCTCTTTTTGAAGTATCATTTCCATATCAAAACATTAAAAATGTTAATGATCTCTAATGTCATCACCTTGACATAGTTTATTTTTTCTATGTTTCTTTCTAGTCTAACTATATCAATTCATGTTTTTTACATAGAGGTAATAATGGTATGCATACAATTTTATGTTGTTTTTATTATTTTTATAGTGCTATATTTATTTTTTTCATAAGTATACTATTAGTGCTTATAATATATCTTAGAGTTACTTAATCGTATATTTATAGCCATTCTCTAATTGCTGGATGCTTACTTCTAAAGCTTTATTTATAAATAATGAGATGATGTACATCTTCAGGCCTTGAAGCATCTCAACTTATTTTAATTATTTCCTTAAAATAAGCTTGAAATCAATTATTAGGTTAAAAAGTAAAAACAGCAAATGTCTGATAGTATTTTCTTAAATAGATACTTTGATATTTTAAGGCCTTCATTAGCAAATTTCAACATACATAAGAATTGTTCTGGAACCTTATTTAAAAATATAGATTTTCTGAGTTTTACCTGGGGATATGATGATACAGGACAATGGAGGTGGAGCCTAGAAATCTGAATTTCAGCTATCACCTTGGGTGATTCTGATGCAGATATTTACATTATTAAATAGAAAGAAAAATAGAAACAAAGATATAAGAAAATCTTCAAGAAAATCTAGTTTTACCTTTCCTTCCTTGTGTGGCCACATATTGTTCTAAATATTGTAATTCAGAAATTCAGGTTAACACCACATCGAGAATAATACGAGAATATTTTTAATGTGCCTGATGTTCTTATTGAGTCCAATTTATCTTATGGTATTAATTAACTCATTTAAAAGTTTCTTTCTAAAGAAAGAAGGCTGAAAACACCTGACAGAAAATAGTATAACTGAATACACATTCCATACCTGAACAGAAAAAGGACAAAGGGAGCCCGAATAGTGGTGTGGGGATGTCTGTGGATACGGGCGCCTTTGGAAAGCACATGCCACATACAAATTAGTGCCATGCAGAGCGTTTCCCGAAACATGAGGAGACCACACATCTTCATATGTTTCTTGCTAGGTTTCTAGAACAACCTGCAACACTTTATTACTGCTTTGAGTCAGAATGATGTTTGTGATTTTCTTTCCTGGAGGGTTTCTCATTTCCCCAGGTTGTTGAGGGAAAAAAAAAAAAAAAAAAAAAAGAAGAAGAAGAAGAAGTAGCCAGCTGTGGCATGTTTGGTTTGGGTGGCAGAACAGCCAAAAATTTAAAGGGAAACATTATAATAATAGGGGTGATAGCTGGAGAAAGTCTGGGATAATAAAGTCTGCACAAGTCCCTGACTGATGGTTAGGCTCTGCATTTGTGTGGAAAATTACAGAAAGCCCCAAAACAGCAAGGGTGCTTTCAAACTTGCTGAATTTTAAAATGCATCCTTGAACTAGAGACAGCTTAACCAGATGCCTGAAGCCAAATTGGTTTGAGAAAACTGAGCATAACCTCTGACTAAATCCCTGGCTGAGAATTAAAATAAACAGAACCAAGGGAGGCACCTACATAGGCAGGTTTAAAAGAAAATTAAACTGGGAGGAAGAAATATTTCACAGTTTGTGTGCAAGCACATTAATTGCCTAACAAAACAAAATGAATAAACAAAAATCTAAGGAGCAAACAGAATCCAGGGCTGCTACGATCTACAATGTCTTGTTTTCAGTCAAAAATTATTAGCCACAAATATAAATGGGATAGTATGACCACAATCAAAAAAATAACTTTGAGTGGGTCTTGATTTTGAATTAGCAGTCATCAACTTAAAAGAAGCTATTATAAATATGTTCAAACAATTATAGAACAATTTTGATCCAATAATTTAAAGAAAGTATACTATTAGTGAGTAAACAGGAAATCTCAGTGGAGAAGGGAAAAGTATTTTTTTTAAAAAAAAGATCAAAATTCTAAGACTGAAAAACACAATATCTGAAATAAAAATTCATTGAATGGGTTAATCAGTAGCACTGACTTGGCAGAAGAAAGAACTGAGATTTAAAAAATTAGATAAATTAAAAAGTATCCAATTTGAAAAGCACCGAAAAAAAGGATAAAAGTGAAGAGAGATGCAGAGATTTATTAAACATTATCAAACATTTCAACATATGTATAATTGGAGTTCTAGAAAGATAGAAGGAAAATACAAATCACAAAAAATATTTAGAGTAGTAATGCCTAAAAATTCCCCAAATTTGATGACAACATTGGTTTTCAAATCCACAAAGCTCAAAAAGTCTCAAGTAAGATATACACAAAGAGAAATGCACCTAAACACTATATTCAAACCAGTAAAAACCCAAAGCAAAGCAAAAGTCCTGAAAGCAGTGAAGAAAACAACAAAAAAAAGACAATTCACATATGAAAAGGAAGGATATAATTTATAGATGACTTTTCATCCAAAGCAGTGGAATCCGTAGGATTCGAAATAAAATGTTCAAAACACTGAATGAAAAAAAAAAATGCCTTCATTGTATAAACAAACTTCCTTTAAAAATGAAAGCAGAACAGGGGCGTTTTTGATAAACAAACCCTGACAGAATTATTTGCTAGTGACCTGCACTGTAAAAATGCTAAGGAATATCTTTCACCTGAAGGTTTCAGATGAAACCTCAGATCCATGAAGGAAATAAAGAACACAGGAAATGTTAGATATAAAATATTGCTTACTGATTTTAAAATAAAATATTGGTTTATTATATATATTCCATATATAATGGAACAATTATATATTATTATCTTATAATTATATATGTTTATTTTGTTTCTTGACTTTATTAAAAACATATGACTGCTTAAAGTGAAATTTATAAGAACGTATTTTAAAGTTTATAATGTATATTGATGTAATATAAATAACAACAAAAGAACAATGGATTAGAAGGAAATGGGAACATACTGATATAAAGTTTTTACATTATATTGAATATATGTCAATATTGAATATATGTCAATATTGACTTGAAGTTAAAAATGAATATTGTATTATATTACCTAGAATATAAACACAAAGAAAAATAAACATTCAATATAATAACTAAAATACATTTATTCAACACACACACACAAAAACCATTAACTTAATAAAAGAGGAATAAAAGAAGAAAGGAGACCAATAAAGAGCAAAGGGCAGCAGACTAGATCTGGACCCAACCCTATCAGTGGTTCTGTTAGACTTGAGTAGACTCACCCCAAGCCAGGCCTCATCCTACTATGGACCATGAGGAAAACATGGCTTGCAGTGTGCTCGTGAGCTAAGAATGGTTTTTATCTATTTAAAAGACTGTTAAGGGAAGAGAAAGATAAGAGCACACATAAAAATGAAGACAAAGATGGGGAAGATGATAATGATTATAAGAAACAGAGAAGAGGAGGAGGAAGTGGTGCAGCAGATATTGTAGGTGGTCTTTATAGAAAATATTTGCTGAAAATTTGACTAATATTAATAAAAGGCAAGAATTTTCAGACTAGATAAAGAAAATTACTAAGACTTTGTCAGACATCAGTACAAGCCCTATAGTTATTAAAGGGACAAAAAAGGAATTACATGAAAAAATTATATCAGGAAATTTGAAGATTTAGATGAAGTAGACAAATTATTTGAAAGATATAAATTATATAATATGTCTCAAGAAAAAGTAGAAAATCTGGGCAACCCTATGTTTACTAAAGAAATTTAAATACAAATTAAACCTCTTGCTCATATACATATAACCACACACACAAACACATACACACTAGGCCTATATATTTCCACTACTGAATTATCTCAAATATTTATAAAAATACTCTTGCAGTAAAAAGAGGAAGAAAGAACACCTTCCAACTTATTTTTGGAGGCCAGTATTACATCAGTACCAAAACAGGAAAAAGAAATCAAAAGAAAACATTCATAGTTCCAAAACACACTGATTCAAAAATTCTTATAAAAAATATGCAGACCAAACAGAACAACATATGAAAAGGATACTATACAAAAATTAGGTTGGGTATATACACAAAATTCAAGTTTCATTTAACATCTGAAAATCATTTAATGTAATGCTATATTGGAAGAAAAGTAAGAAGTCAAATCATCTTTATAGATGCAGAAAAATCATTTGACAAAATGCAACAAAGATTCATGCTGAAAGTCTCAGGACACAAGGAATAAAAGAAAACTTCTTCAACCAGACAGAAGGCATCTACAAATACCTACATCTAACAGCACATTTAACGAGAAATATCTGAATATTTTCTGTTTATATTCAGGAAAAAGGCAAAATGTCTGCTTTCACCAATTTTATTCAACTTTGTGTTGAAGTCATAGCACAAATATGACAAGAAAAAAAGAGCAGATTCTTGGAAAAAAAAAGAATTGTATTCATTCACAGATGATATGACTATGAACCTAGAAAATCTTAAGGAAACTCCAAAATAACCTATAACAAATAATTTTGCAAATTTTCAGATTACGTAAATACAAAACCTGTTTTTTATACTAATAGTGAACATTCCGAAAAGTTCCATTCACAGTGCATAAAAAGTAAAATACTTAAAAATAAATTTAAATATGAATATGCACTGGTTCCTGTAAACAGAGGAATTAAAGAACACTAAAATACATGGAGGAAAAACTTTGTATCCTGATTGTAAGACTCAATATAGCTAAGATGAAAATATTCCCTGAATTGATCTGGAAATTTAATGTAATACCCACTAAAATCTATGAAAGTACTTCCGTAAAAATTTATAAGTTCATTCTGCAATGTACAGGAATGCAAAATGCCTAGAATAGTCAAAACAGCTGTAAATGACCAAAGGTCAGAGACCTGCACTGATTTTAAGATTTCTCTAAAAGTTTCATATTTTAGACAAAAGAAATTAGCACAAGGATAGACGTATACCTCAATAAGAGAGAATTGAGAGCCCAGAAATGAATCAAATTTATGAGCTCAATTGATTTTTGAAAAATGTACTTAGGTTATTTTCAGAGAAAAGAATTGCCTTTTTAATAAATAGTGCTAAAATATCTAGATGTCTGTATGAAAATAAAAAGAACCTTGACCCATTCCTCACATGGCAGATGAAAATGACTTCAAATGGACCAAAGGTCTAAACTTTATAACTACAACTCTGAATATTATAGAAAATATATACAAAAAGTTTTGTAATCTGGACATAGAGGTTTCCTAAGTAGGAAACAAAAAATACAAGACTTAAGAAAAAAAAAAAAAAAAAGAGCCAGGTGCGGTGGCTCACACCTGTAATCCTAGCACTTTGGGAGGCTAAGGTGGGTGGATCACAAGGTCAGGAGTTTGAGACCAGCCTGGACAATATGGTGAAACCCTGTCTCTACTAAAAATACAAAAATTAGCTGGGCACGGTGGTGGGCACCTGTAGTCCCAGCTACTCGGGAGGCTGAGGCAGGAGAATCGCTTGAACCCAGAAGGCCAAGGTTTCAGTGAGCCAAGATCACTCCACTGCACTCCAGCCTGGGTGACAGAGCGAGATTCCATTTAAAAAAAAAAAGAAGAAGAAGAAGAAGAAGAAAAGAGAAAGGAAAAAAGGTTGATAAATTAGACAACTCTTCAAGAGACATCATGAAGAAATAAAAAGGTAAACCACACTCTACAGGAATATATAATTTTTTCAATACATAAATCTGACAAAGGGTTGCATGCATAATATATAAATACTTGCCAAACTTAAGTAACAAGAAGACAGACAATTACAAAAAAGATGGGAGGGGACATAAGATTTGAACGGATATTTCACAAACAAAGATATACAAATGGCCAATCAGCACATGAAAAGCCTTTTAATATCATTGACCAATAAGGTAACCTTTATACCAGTACACACATTTTAGAAAGACTAAACTTGAAACGACTGAATTCCAATAGTGGGCAAGTCTGTGGACTCTGGAACCCTTAAGCATGGCTAGTAAGAAGGCAAGATCGTATAGGCACTTTGGGAAACAGTTTAGCAGTGTCTTCTAAGTTTAGTATGCTCTTACCATAGAACCCAGAAGTTTCACTAGGAGGCGTTAATTCAATAGTAATGAAAACATTTGTCCACACAAAGATCAGTACACAAGTGTTCATAGCAGCTTTTTTATTTGTTATAATTATTTTGTGATTTTTAAGTTTTTAAAGCTTTTTAATCGATTTTGGGGTTAAAGTGCAGTTTTGTTACATGGATCTATTTTGCAGTGGTGAAACTGGGGCTTCTAGTATAACCATCACCCAAATAGTGGACATCGTGTCCCTTAGGTACTTTCTCATCCCTTACCTTTTATGAAGTGCTTATCACTGAGCTGGGGAATGGGGATCATCAGTGAACAATTGGAAATACACAGGACACAGTCTGCCTTGAAGAGGACATGTGACTCTCCCCTGTGCTTGAGTTGGGCACATTTTGTACAGGGTGATTGTTTGTGATGTGATAAAGGGAACCTTCAATAGTCTCCCACTTCACTATCCATATTGCTTCGTAAGTGCTGTTCCCAAGCCATTGAGTGAGCCCTCTCCCAGGGTACAGTGCCAGCTCTGAAGCCTTTGGGGCTTTAAAATCTACCCTAGAGGATCTTGCTGGTTTAGATAAATGCCCACATACCCAATATCCATCTTGTGAGTGTTTCTTATCTGGAAAAAAGCAACCGATCTGAAATACAATGGAGGTGGTGGGAAAGTCCTAAGGTCTTGATGGGGTGGAATGGCTACTTCTTCAATAGGGTAGAAATTGCAAGAACTCCCCAAGGACAGATGAGAAGTGTGGAGGAAGTCTCTCCAATCTATAGATGCAGGTTTTGGGGTTTTTTAGGCACAGAAGGTTTTGTTTGTTTGTTGGTTGGTTGGCTGGTTGTCTACTGCCCCCCACAACTCCAGGAATGAGAATAAATCTCCTGAGTCTGCCAAGCCAAGACTGTTCCCCTTCTCTGCTCACTTCTAGAACCAGGTGTAGGGAATCCTCTGTAGTCCACTTGAGAAGTGAAGCCTGGATCTAGACAGAGTCCCCAGCTTCTGAATCCAAAACTACAAGGCTTTTAAGCACTCACAAGAAATTGCCTAACACATACGTGTATGCATATGCACCCGTCAACACACTGCAAGTCTTTTCCACAGCCCTGGCTCTAAACTAGGTGTGGAGGTCACACAGAAGAAAAAATGTTAGGATCTTTTCTTCTAGAATTTAAAAGAACACCTGTAGAGGATACTGCACAATTAAATGTCACTCGTGGCTTACTGTATGAACTGAACACTGTGTAAATGGTGTCTTTATTTGGCTCTGTGTTCTGAGCTTACAGGAGGGAGGGGAAGCTCACTTTGGGCTGGAATGGTCAGGAAATTTTTCTTTGTGAAATTAGCACCTGAGCTGAGTCTTAAAACATTGATGCAATTGACCCAGAGTGGATGGAGGTGCTTTGGAGTTTGACCTGTGCTGGGGTTTGGAGGTGGAGATGTGCCAGGATGAGTATACAGGCCTGGCTGAACCTGAGCATGGGGGTGGGGGTGGGAGAGCCCGTGGGAGGTGGCAGACAGGCCTGGCTGAACCTGAGCATGGGGACAGGGATGGCAGAGCCCGTGGGAGGCCAGAGAACATGCAGACGTGCAGAGCGCTGAGCAGGAGAACCGAGACTTTGCCCTGAAGGAAATTCTGGACGTTAGAGGAGGAAAGCAATGGCCTAGAAAGATGATTCTGAAGGCTTTGAGGATGAAGCATTAGCATGAGATACAGAAGTAGAGAACGATTCAGGCTCTGATCTAGGTGGTAACAGAGGAAAGAATAGTCGCAATGGGAAAACAGGGATAGATAAGAGAAATATCAAGATTCTTTTTTTCTTTTTAAACAATTAGAAGGTCTCAGGGGAGGATGGGATTGAGAGGTGACATAGGGAGAGCAAGAGAACCAGGTGCATTCTAGCAGGACTCAAATGTGAGTCCCAGAACCACAGAGGCCAGCACAAGAATACAGGGGAGGAGCTTGGGAAGTAGACTTTGGAGGAAGCAGGAGAGCGTCCTGTCAGTTACTGAGACTGAGATTTACAGTGAACGTTACAACTGGACATTATAGTTGGATATGGAATATGAGGGTTGAGAACTTCCAGGGAAAGAGAGTGAATTATATTTTAGAGTGATCAATTTCAACTGGACGCGGTGGCTCTCACCTGTAATCCCAGCCCTTGGGAGGCCAAGGCAAGTGTATGGTCTGAGGTCAGAAGTTTGAGACCAGCCTGGTCAATGTGGCGAAACCCCGTCTCTACTAAAAATACACACACACAAAAAAAAGAAAGAAAAGAAAAGAAAAGAAAAATTAGCTGGGCATGGTGGTACACTCCTGTAGTCCCAGCTACTTGGAGACTGAGACGGGAGAATTGCTTGAACTGGGAGGCAGAGATTGCATTGAGCTGAGATCACACCACTGCACTCCAACCTCGATGACAGACCAAGACTCCATCTCAAAAAAAGAAAAAAAAAGAAATTATATTGAAAGGCATGAATGTTTTCTCTGAGAAGAAACTCACTTAAAGATGATGTCTCATCACATACCTTGACATCAGCAAGTCTGTGTTGAACAAATGAAATTTATGTTTGACCTCTATTCTTGCAATCCATCCTCTTGTTTAGGGTTGAGTCTAGATATCGCAGGAAAGACAACAGTGGTGATGTGGATGCTAAGTCAAGTGAACCTCTGCTTACCTATGGCTTTGCCTATACATTTGCAAATCTGTGACCACCTACCCATGGTGTCAGTTCCCGTCCTTTCCAGCTCGTTGCTGCTATACCTATTGACATTTCACTCATTAAGAATTCTCGAGCTTCCTAGAATGCAGAGATTACTAAGTCCACAATTATTTATTGATTTCTGGCTATGCACCCAACACGGTACTAGGCACTGAGGATACCAAATAAATAAGTTATAGTCCATTCTCATAATTTATTAGGGGAAGGCCACATAGGCAATTGACCATTATAAAAATGTGTAATGAGTGCACTAATCGAGTTGTAAATCAATAAACTGTTGGTGGAGTGCTGCTGATGGGAGGGAGTGGGTTCTCGTAGGAAGTGGTGTTTGATCTGGACCTTAATGGATGAAGAAGAGTGAGGACAAAGCTTTCTGGGGAGGAGGAAACACATGAACAAAGAAATGAAAGCATGAAATTATGTGTAGTGTTTACTTTCGTGATTCATGTTAAAAATGACTGTGGTTTGTTCAGACAGAGGCCGAAGTGCCCTGGGATAATCTCTGTGCTGAGCCCTGGAGAGCACCGGCATCCTATGACCCCTTCAACTTGCCCAGGGATCAGCTGGCATTTCTAGTGTGATGTGTGTGTGCACCAGCATTCAAATCGCAAGTCGCAGCTGACAGGCTTTCATCCGGAGGTTGCTTTGTGCGGATGAGCATAAAGCATTTGAGAGCCTCGGGAGATGGCTGAATTCTGGGCCCACAAGCGAAGGCTCTCATTCTTTCACGTTCTCTGGACACTTGAGATCCTTTGTAGCCCCGAAAGGGAGGAACCTGAGAGCTGAGCGTTGTGTGCCTCAACTGCATTGAACACTGAGGAGAATTAGTGTATTCACTATCATCTCTTAATAGCAGAGTAAATGTCGAACCAGCTTTGTATCCCGTAATTTCTTGCCTTGCCTAATCTTTCCAGTTCATTTCGTACGAGTAACTGAGGCCATGGAGCCCAGGCACTGGCATTTTTCAGCACTGTGAGTCTTTGAACACGAAATCAATCTGTCTTTCTTGACTGCATTGTGGGTGCCCTTGCACGAGAGATGAAGGCAATTTGGGAGCTGCAGCTGTCAACCTCTTGTTTGAACCCATGGCCCACGTGGCTCTTTAGGCATGGGTGGAAGATGGGGTTTCTGTTATAGATAGCAGCATCGCTCCCACCTTGACATCTGGCTGAATTCCTGCTCAATTTAAAGCAGCTGCAGTTATTCCCCTGTTCTAACGACTCTCCTTATTACCTGACAATCTATCTGAACTATCGACTCATTTCCGACCTGCCAGTCCTCTCAAAAGTTATGGAAATGGTCTTCAAACTGCAGCTTCAGCACCTCCTCCCCCACAGGCTGTCTGCGCATCAATAGATCCTCTCATCGACAGAGGAGAGAGGCCAGTTGAGTGTGCCGTGCACTCCCAGGTGCTGAGCCTGGAGAAGGGAGGCTGCTGCCACCGGTCAGCTCCTGAGCATCACGCCGTCTTGGGCTGTGGCTGAGTGCATCTGTCACAGCCAGCTTCAGTGGTCTTGGCGCTGGACCGGAAAGGGCAAGGGGTATTGGCCTGGGTGGTTTCTACGTGCTGTAGAGCATTCTGTCTGCCCTCCTGCTCTTCTTTACCAAGACCCACCAGCTTCACATTTTTGAAAGAGGCTGTCAGTCAGAGCTTTCCAGTTCTTCATAATCTCTTTTCCTCATTCAGAAAAACGAGGAACTTTCCCTTAGAGAATGTTGGGCTCAGGATTTGCAGGCAGCTCAATCAAGCCAGGGACACATTTTACATGAATTTCTTAAGCATCACCTGGCCTGAACTCTTGCAGAGGAGGTGGAACAGGAGGGAGGGAGACCTCTGAGAGAGAAGGAGGAGACATTCATCTCTGCGCTTCTCAGGGAGGAAAGACCCATGAAGGCTCTGTCTCCTCACCTGTGAAAAGCCTGAAGATGCCTTTCAGCCTCCCACATCTGTCTTTTGAATTAAGGAAGACAACATAACAGAAATGTTTAGAAAATTACAAAAGAAATGTACTAAATATATATTGTTATAATTATTGGTAATATACTATTATTACTGTTAAAGGCTTGAGTTTTGCCCTTGTGGAGCTAACAACCTAGTTAAGACAAAAGCAGGCATAACATGAATAATTTGAGTACAATTAGGTTCTCTCTGCATAGAACAACTTATTATCATTAAGTTATCTCTATGTAGAACCACTTAAGAGTACAAGAGGTCTTTAGTGAAGGGAGACATAAACGCCATTTAACTTCTTTTGGGGGACTGGTTTAAAAGTTTTGTCCTTGGACTGACATTTACTGCAGATAAATGGAAGTGGTTAAAAAGAAGATCAAAAGGTAATGATACAAACTCCTATCTTTGGGATATAGCTTTTACATGGTAGCTTTTGATTCTAGACTTGCTTGGTGTATTAGTCTGTTTTCACCCTGCTAATAAAGACATACCTGAGACTGGGTCATTTATAAAGGAAAGAGGTTTAATGGACTCACAGTTCCACATGGCCAGGGAGACCTCACAATCATGGTGGAAGGTGAATGAGGAGCAAAGTCACGTCTTGTATGGTAGCAGGCAAGAGCTTGTGCAGGGGAACTTCCACTTATAAAACCATCAGATCTCATGAAACTTATTCACCACCATGAGAAGAGTATGGGAGAAACCGCCCCCATGATTCAATTAGCCCCACCTTGTCCTGCCCTTGACATGTGGGGATTATTACAATTCAAGGTGAGATTTGGGTGGGGACACAGTCAGACCATATCACCTTGTTAATCAGAAAGCCTCAACTCATTCATGCGGTGGCTTCATCAGGCGATCCCAGGCAGCCCTGGTGCTGCTCTGAGTCGTGATGAGGCTGTGTAGGAGGCGGTGCTGGAGGTCCGGACTCTGCAGACCCAGGCTCCACTTGCTCTTGAGTCAGCTTCTCCCTCTGGGGGACTGTGGCAATTTCTGTATTCCATCTTCACATTCATCATATTGGATTGCAGTTGTTTTTATAGAGCATCACTCCCCAACTACAAGCTGCATGACTTCAGATAAAAAAAGTGTGTATTCTTTTTAAATATTGTATATGTAGTTCCCAACACTGTGTTCTGCACATAATAGACAATAAATGCCATGGAAAAAGGGGGCAGAAAATAAATGTAGGAAGTGGAGAACTCAACACAAATAGAGAAAATCATGAATCAAGAAGCAATTCATAAAAACGAAAATTAGAAAACAGATTCAGGGCTAAAAGAGGTTGAGAATTGGTAGGAATATTTAGGGAAAGACAATTTGAAGTAAGTTTCAAATTGTCTATATAAGTTTTAAAAAATGATTTTTAATCTTTCATTTTGAAGTAATTTTAGACTTAATATAAATGTCTGAAAATTACTACATGTTGGAAATTAGGTTTATCCACCCTCGATTCAAAAAATAAACTTTTTTGTGTGTGTGGCTTTTATGAGGCACATTCTTTTAAGCAGAAACTTTGGAAACACAATAAACTTATTTTGTTTAAATCTGAGCTCAATTAATCAATTTTTATTTCTGAAATTAAACACAAAACTGTGGTCAAATTATCCTTACTTTACAATAATGACTATATTTCCAATCAAGTAGTCAAAATTATGTAAACAATAATTGTTTCTGTTAAAGAAACAATGCAGAACTTTAATTTTGTAATTAGAAAGATAAAAATGAATAAATAAAATGTAAGTTGCTGCACAGTTCTAATGCCCACTGCAATCTTGCTCACCACGCTCACAGATTTTATCTTTCTATTACTGTCATATTCCACTTGCAAGGTGTGGCTCAAACACAGCCATCTCTTCTTACATTCCCCCAAAAGAGCAGGATAGTTTTAATCAATTCAGAAGTTTAACTGAAGCCAGATATGCATTTATTTCTGAGAAGAAACCTCTTAAACAGTCCACATGCGTCTTAAGCTCATGGTCTACAAAACCAAACACATGACTGTTGTTTCTTTCCTACCTCCTACTCCGTGTTTTTTATGCTAATTCATGCATTCATTTATTCATTCATTCCTTAAAGATTTAAGCAAACTAGGCACTGGCGCAAAGCACTGAGAGAGATAAACACCAGCCCTGCTCACGGGGCTTACTTTCTAGTAGACAAATGAGAAATTAAATAACTGGACTTTTAACTCTCTTCTTGGAAAGCCTACAAAGAAATAATGAAAAGATGTGATGAGAGTGTTTTCACAGTGCACTTCACCTGGCCTTTCTGAAAGGGGACTGAGCACCCGTGAGGTGTGAATTGAAACATTGCTAAGTTGCAAAAATAACTAGCCATTCACGGAGGTGAGGTTGGAAGGGGTGAGAGAAGCACAGAGTTGCCAAGTGTGGAGGCCCAGAAGGGAGACTCTGCACAGAGTCCTCACTCTCATGTGTAACTCAAACCAGTTTCCAATGGGTGGATGCATTTGATATTCTCGCCAGCAATGTGTTGGAATTACAGTTACTCCCATATTTGCCTTTGCTTGGTATTAGCAGATTTTACATTTTAGCTATTGCAGCAGGTAGATGGGTGTGTCGTCATGGTCTCCGTTTGCATTGGTCTGAGGATCAGTACTGCTAAGGATCTTTAACAAGCGTGTTGCTGTTTGTGTATATATTGTTGGAACAATCAGCTACTCTGAAATCATTGGGAGCATAATTCTAGGCATCATCTGGGGCATCTTTTTTTCTCCACCGTTTCTCCAATAACAGCTCACTAAGTCCTGTACTTTTTACTCAGTAAACACCTTTGAAATCTCCGTACTGCTGTCCTCCACTGGCCCCCACCTAGATCAAGCAGAGGTCACCCCCAGTCTCATCTGCCTCAATAGCCTGCTAACCAGTGTACTTGCTTTGTCTTTTCTGTCTTTTGGTGCCTTCTCTGACATGCAATGCAAACCCTCCTGTGGTCATACCAAGCCTCTATTGCAAACTCTCAAGCACTCTTCCTTGTTCCTCCTAGGAAAAGACCAAAATCATGCATAAATCCACAGTAGCTGTGTGGGTCTGGCCACTTCCTCTCTTATAGCCTCATCTGACACCATGCAACACCTCTTTTTTGTGTACCCAGTCATGCTGGTCTCAAACTTCCTCTGAGGCACCTCCACTCTAGTCCCCCGGCTTCCACACGCTAGACCCTCTGCCTGATTTCTTTCTCTTTCAATCCTTCTCTAGGTTGGCCCTGACACATCCTTCAGAGCTCAGTATGCATCATCTTCACGTTTTCAGGACATTATTCCCTGAATTCCCGGAACAAGTCAAATGCTCCCTTATACGCTTTTGTGAGGCCATGTCTCTCTTGCTTGAAGAACTTGTTGCAACCAGGACTTTATACGTATTTTGTGAGTCTTAGGCTCACAACCAGTGCCTCCGCTATCTCCTAACCTGTCCTCTCTGGTCCATGAGGGGAGGATGTGCCTGTTAGGGCTCACCCTCATCTCCGCAGTGCCTTGAGGGGTGTATGGACCTCAGGAGGTGCTAATAAAACATCTGTTTATTAAGTTAAAAATAATGTAAAAATGTGTATTTAAAGATAAATCAGATCTAAGTTTTTTGTTGGAGTTGGGAAAATCGGAGCCACTTTTTAAATGGAGTGTGGGGTATTTTTAATTTCGAAGTTGCCAAGAGCAAGTGGCAGTAAGAGCAGCATCGAGAGAGCGACCGTGCTGCAGGAGGCTGGCCTGGAACCCACCGGAGAGGCCCGTGGGCTCAGCAGCATCGGGAGAGGGACCGTGTTGCGGGAGGCTGGCCTAGAACCTGCCGGAGGGGCCTGTGGGCTCAGCAACATCAAGAGAGTGACCGCGTTGCAGGAGGCTGGCCTGGAACCCACCAGAGGGGCCTGTGGGCTGCAGAATCTGGATTGTGAATCTGCTTGAAATGTGAGTGTGCTTCATATTTTTAAACCTCTTTTAAAGTGAGCTATCAAGGAAAGGCCTTTTTGTGAGTGTGTGAGTGAGCGTACCAGTGTAGGTTTGTATGCATATGAGTTTGTATGTGTATATGTTTGTGAGTTTCTGAGTGTGAGTTTGCATATGTATGCGTGAGGTCATGTGGGTGCCTCCCATGTGCAGAAAGCCGAGAAGGAGATGTGTTCATGTGTAGTGTCTACTGAGCAGTGGTCAGGCATTCAGTCGAGGTAGGGAACTAACCAAAGGTGAATGTGTGAATGTAAATTTCTCCCACTCATCCTCATCAAGGAATTTGCAAAAATACTGAGGAGACCATTAAATTTTCCTCAATGAAATAAAATTGAGATGTGAGACAATGTTACGTAAAAGGTACTGGCCCGGGTATCCCAGCTGACAATTTTCCCCCAACTAGACTGTGGGACCTTAGGGAGCAGAGACCATGTCTTATTCTTATTTATCTCACTCGCTGTAACTTGCACAGTGTTTGCATATAAATGTGTCCAATCAAATTGGAATTCTTTGATTTATTTCCTTGTTACAGTTTGCATCAAGGATTTCTGGGTTTGTCTTTTCAGAATGGAAATAAGGGAGTAATAGGTATGACTTTTTGATTCATTTTTTGTGGGAAAAATACCAGATTTATTCTGAAATTGCCATAAGCAAACTTTCTAGACATGAAAGCAGTTTCCCTACAGTGAGAAAGAATTATAGCTTATCACATGAGGCCCATGGTATTCAAGGGGTGTTGAGTTCAAAAAAAAGAGAAAAAGAGCCTCTCCATTTCCACTTCCCAGCCTTTTTTTAAAGCTGGGTGACCCCATGACTCAGTTCTGCACAGTGGGGCCTAAATGGTGGTCACCTGGGAGCTGCACAGGTGCGTGGGGGTTACGTGCAGAGCTACTGCTCTTGGTCTGTCTCTTCCTTCTGCCTGGACTCGGAAGGGGATGTGTGAAGGGCAGCAGGTATGTCAGCGGGCAAGGAGGCAGCGTGCTGAGAGGCAAAGCGGAATCTGAGAAAGCTTGATTGCTCAAGGACACTGTAGAATCACTTCCCCTGAAAAGGGCCCTTCTCTGTGGACTTACGTAAGAAAAAAAGCAAGTGCTTTAGCGTGTTTCTGTGGTTAACTTCTTTCAATGTGCAGCTGAAAGAAAGCCTAACTGAAAAATAAAAATTCCCAGAGTTTTGCTCAAGTTTCCCAACCCTCTCCCACGGTGCCCAGGTGTTTCATGGCAAGGCCCCAGCACCTGTGCTGTGCCTGGCTGGACTAGTGAGGTCTCACCGCTATTTTCCACATCACAGTCAGGAGTGGGAATGCTATTGAAGCAGCCTGACCAAGGTACTTGCAGGTCTTGCTTGGAAACCTGGAATAGAACCTTGTTCTCTCTCTACTGAGTGGGAGCGAGGAGGCTGGGGCCTCATCACCACCTGGCCCGCTCTTCCTGGCTGGGCTGCCAGCCTCCTGCAGGAGCTGAGAGAGGAAGACAGAGCAGAGGGAATATGCATTCTTAGCTACATTATTGATGCCAACCAGGCAAGCTCAAAGTCCCCTCCATATTTTCATTTCCAATTATGTGGGGCAATAAAATAAATGTAAGTTGGATTTTATATTATGTGAAACATATATGCTTTGCGGTGACAAAGGCAGGATGCTATCTTCAGCATTCTGATTCCAAATTTGGTTCTTACATATTCCTATGTCAACATCTAGTGTAGCACTTAATAATAACAATAACAAAGTGATCATCAACGTCTATTGCACGGGGTAATCAGAATTTACTAGATGAGGCTCTGACGCAAACGAAAAGGATAATAAGTGAAGTAAGATGTGGTTTTGAAGCCTGAGGATCTGGCCATGTAATCAGCCATCCATGTGCAGAAGAGGGAGTGACCACCTTTCTGAGTGGAAATGAAAATGGTTTCTCAGAGGCAGCGATGGATGTTTGAGGCCAGTCTGAGAGAGAAATAATATTTGCTAGGCAGAGAAGAGGGAGACAGGCTTTCCAGGCAAAGAGATCCACTTTTGCAAAGGCAGGAAGGCATGACAGAGTGTAGCGTCCCCAGGTCAAGGAGGAGGCCTGGCACGGCTGGAGAGAAGCAGGGGTTTCTGTCCTTGTGGAGCTGCACCTGCAGCAGGGAGCTCCGGCCGGATCACAGCACGTATGTAATGGGAAGGACTTTTATTTTATTTTACTCAGTGGAAAAGCTAATGGATTAAATCATCAGATTAATTTTTCACTAAAATAAATAATAATTCTGACAGCACTTCGGGAATCCATTGGAGTGGGAGAGAGCAAAGGCAGGAAGATCAGGTCATCATCATTTCTGTAATACAGATGAAAAGTGCTAGCTAGGAACTCTAAGAGCAGCCCTAGAGATGTAGTGGGGGAACATAGGGCCGTCCCTGGGGACAGCTGCCTGGATTTGGTGGCCCTTTCTCCACTTCCCAAACTTCTTCCCAAAGGTGTTAAGGGAAGGGCTAACTGATGAGAGAAATTGGGGATGCCAAAATTAGAAAAACATAGAGAGCTGAACCCTGAATAGAAGCCGTTTATAAGCTATGAAGCAAAGTCTAAATGGGTACTCAGAACCAAAAGGCCAGGGGCACGAATTGAGAGGGAGGTCCTGGAGCCAGAATCAGAGCGAGAAGATGAGCCAGAAGGGAGGGACCCAAGCCAGGACTTGGGGCTGCTGCCCATGGCTGGCTTCCGTGTCAGCTGTGGTGCCGTTCCTCAGGAATAGAGCTGGGCTGAGCTTGGAAACAATGCAAAGGGATCTAATAGGAGATGCAGACAGGTGGCAATGCCCTTAATCAAACAGACACAGCAGTTGTGACGTGGCCTGAGAGCAGGTGTGATCTGGTTTATGATGAATTGGAGCATCTTTGAGACAATCCGGTAAAGCTGCAGGTGACTAATGTGGAATTCAGGAGAGAGGTCAGAACTGCAGACGGGGACATGAGACTCATCACCAGGCAGATGCGATTTAGGTCGTCACAAGAAATGAGGTCATTCATTCAACGTTTAGTGAGAAGTTGCTATACATTAGGCACCTGAGCTGTATTCTGTAGTCAGAGGCACAAAATGACCACATTCAAAATGGGTAAATACTATCCCTGCCTTCCAGCAGCTCACAATCTAGGGCAGCTTTAGGGATAAAGACAGGGCCCCAAACTTCACTGGGCGGGCAAAAGAAGAGTGTGCTGGTAGAACAGGATCGTGAGTCTGTCAGTCACACCTCAGTCAGGAAAACAGAAGCCGACAGCCGTGGATGGGACTGAGAGAGCAACAGGGAGGCAGAGTACTTTTGGAGGAGTACAGAGAGTATCTCTTCTTGCCCAGAGATTACTAAACTGCTACCAACCCGGGGCTGAAGCCCTCTGACCCGCACTCGCCCTTCCTGTCTGGAATCACTGCAGCCGCCGTGTTGAAGCCGCCTCACTTCTGTGGGAGGAACTCAGGAGCCCACGTCACACTGTTGCTCTGGAAAACGTCACCAAGGCTGCTCGCACTGACATTGGCTACGGCCATGGTTAGAGCCGAGCCATCTGCTGCTGTGGCTGCTGCATAGCCTGCCTCAAGCAGAAAACAAATGCTGTCCTCCATCTTCCTACCCTTCATCCAGTACCTCTCACCCTACATCTTCCCAGAAGCCAGACGGTGTGAGAGTCAGGTCTATAGGCTTCCAGTCCCCCACCATCTAGAAGGGAGCCCAGGAAAGTGGGAAGGGGCTGGTCCCAGCAGAAGAGCGACCAGTCCGCTCTCGTGGCTTTTCCCCATCCACAAACATCGTCGACCTAGAGATGTTCTTCCAGGCATCATCAGTGAGCATGACGTCTTGCCTCTGCCTAACACCATGCGGCTGTCTCCTACGACCACCGTTCTCTAAAATAAGGAGACATGAGTTTCTGCCTGTCAGCATCTCCATCTCTGGGTGGCATGAATTCAAATCAAAATCCCACCTGCGTATTTTCTATCCAAAAGTCTCACTTGCAAAGTTAGCCAAATTCTCCAGTCCTTAGGTAAAATTGTAGGAGAAGTGATAAAGGGGAAAGAAACAGAAAGTAATTTGTTAGGATATAACCTATAGGGATATATATGTTTATGAATATAAATATGTAAGCACATATACATGCAGATACACATATGTATATATAAATACATATCTACCTATGTCTATGTCTATAGCTATATGTCTATCAAGCAAAAAAGAAAATATGCATAGGTACAGCAGTCCTCATTTCTGCAATTCATCTTGAGGTTACAATTATTATATTTATATTTTCTTTGTTGCTTTACTGATTACATTATCTTGTTGCCCTCAGATGGTATTTAACTAGTTGTAGTTCTTTACCCTGGGGGAGGAAAGTGACCCAAACCTTATCTGTAAATAATCTGAGTCCATACTGTCTTTGTTCTTTTTGAATTGTTGTACATAACTACTTTTCCTGGCGGGTGTGTTTGAGACACTACAGAGAGTTTATCCAGGTCTATGCATATTCCTCCTTGGCCCCATTGTAGAGCAACAGCTCTATTTTTGCTTGATAATTTGGAGAAATCCCCCAGACAACTCAGCAACTCCTTTCTTTGCTGGACAATTCAAAACTGTGACGAGCCCCAAACAGCAATGTGGTTGTGTCAGCTTTCAGTGTGGAGGAATCATTGCTGTTTCCACTAGTAGAAGCATTTTTGCTTTTGGGAATTGGGATTCTATACCAGGATATCCACAGATCCAGAGATGCACAGAAAAAAATGTTTCTAGTAGGTTATTGGGAGTGGTCATGAGAAGGATCCCTCCAACTTCTTGTCTTTGACTCCACAGATCAAAATCTGCGGATTCTGTGTTCTGGTTGTGGGAGAGAACCACCTGTTGGTAGCTGGTTCCAGGCATATACCCCAATCTGTAGGACGGCACCCTGGACTCACAGGGAGCTGTGCCCTAGCTATATGTGATTGAGTTTTGGCAGGATGTCACATGGTTTCTGTAGGAACTTCTGGATGATGGAGTGTGTGGTGTTATCTGTGAAAGGGCAGACACCCACTGCTGCTCCATTATGCTGAAGTGGCTTCCCTGGTTAAGAGAAGCATTGAGTGGGATGGTGTGATAGTTTTTGAGGCATTCTGAATACTCTGTGTACTATGAACATGGTGGCACTGGCACTGTGGACGGGAGCACTATGACACAGTGGCACTGGCACTGTTCACTGGAGCACTATGACACAGGGCACTGGCACTATTCACTGGAGCACTATGACACGGTGGCACTGGCACTGTTCACTGGAGCACTGTGACACGGTGGCACTGGCACTGTTTACTGGAGCACTATGACATGGTGGCACTGGCACTGTTCACTGGAGCACTATGACACAGTCACACTGGCACTGTTCACTGGAGCACTATGACACGGTGGCACTGGCACTGTTCACTGGAGCACTGTGACACGGTGGCACTGGCACTGTTCACTGGAGCACTGTGACACGGTGGCACTGGCACTGTTTACTGGAGCACTATGACACGGTGGCACTGGCACTGTTCACTGGAGCACTATGACACAGTCACACTGGCACTGTTCACTGGAGCACTATGACACGGTGGCACTGGCACTGTTCACTGGAGCACTGTGACACGGTGGCACTGGCACTGTTCACTGGAGCACTGTGACACGGTGGCACTGGCAGAGCAGCTCGAATCTGCTACATCTCATCTGGATCCAACTCAAAATGGACAGCCTTGGGGTGGCTTGGTAAATAGATCAGGCAGGGAACCCAAACGTGGTCTATTTTGTCTCCAAAATCCAAAGAGACTCTGAAAAGTTTATGTTTTATTGTGGTAAGTAGTATAAGGTACACAAGGTGTCTTCATCATTCAGGGGATATTCTGACATTTCCCTGAAAGCTAGAACCTAGAAACAGCTGTAAGGTCCAAGCCCCTGTTTCCACTGGGCTTGTCACCCATCATCTGACTTGGTCTGTTTTCGTAACATATAAATAATTCAGTATCTCTTGAGATATGTATATATGACCTATTTTTTACATATATATCCCTATATAGCCGCACAGATAAAGCAGAGTATAAGCCAGAAGATGTATTGTAGACTACACTAAAGAGTTTGCGACGGTATCTTGAGAGTAGTTGGAGACAAGAATTTAAAAATGATCAGATTTGCTCTTTAGCGGGACATTCTGGCCACAGTGTGGAGCATGGATGGAGGGTGTCAAGGCCCCAGGTGAGTAACTGGCTTGGCTGTCTGTATCAGACCCGAGGGGCCACAAGTCCCAGGAGTGTCCATGGGGTGAAGACAAATGGGCAGATTCTGGAGGTGTCAATCAATTATCACTAATTACCAGGCATTATTATTCTAAGTGCTTGGGGGCGACATGATGAGCAGGGAGGAGAGCATCCTTTTAGAAAGCTTACAGAGGTGGAAGAGACATGAATACAATCATTGCATAAATTATCGTAAGGAGCTTTGCAGGAGAGGAGCATCATGCTACAGAAACCCAAAAGAGGGAAGAAGTCCCTCGGGGAGATAATGCATGGGGTCCGTGAGGGACTTGCGTTCAGCACATAGGAAGGACTGAAAGAGACCAGGAGCATCAGGCAAGAAGAGGGGTCAGAGAATCTAGCAAATGAGGCTGGTGAAGGAAGGAGGGTGGGGCCATGCCAAACAATTGAGGACATGTCAAAGATTTGTTCTTTATCTTAAAGCCAGTTGGAGGCCACTGAAAAATTTCAAGTAGGAGTGTGTCTTGGTTTGCTTTGACAAAGGTAACTATTATTGTCACTGAAAAATGGAAATTGACTATGGGAGATATGGTGCCAGGAGACCAGGTAAGCAGGGGTTTATTCAGTCATTTCCCCAAGGAGAAAAGGGATGGCTGCAGTCTTAGGGGTCAATTTTCATACAAGGGAGGAAGCCAGCTTTATGCTGAAGTTCGAGTTTGAGGAGGTGAAGAGTTGCTATATAGAAAATAGATGCAACAATGGAAGGAGCATGGTGTGAGGCTGGATCTGGCCCAGGAAATGCAAAACAACCTGGGAAGAAAAGCCTGACATGGGGCCCGGCAGGAGGCACAGCAGAGGGTATAGGGTTATCCGGGAGATGTAATTTTGGGTGGTGGTAGAGAAACCCTCTGAGGCTTCACGTCTCAGACTGCAAAAGATGGCATGGCTTTTATTTGGAGACTGTAGTTTGTTGACTTCCCATGACACTAACAACAACAAAAATCAACAGTAAACTGCAAAATGGGTAAAAAGTTACCAAATGAAAGTCATGCATATTGTAGACCTGTGAAAAAGTCACTAGAGTCACCTCGTGAGAATACATATGTTCTATGTTTGTTTCCTTTTTACTGTGAGAAAGGACATCAAAGAATTAAAAAGCTATGATATTTTGAAGTGTCAGCTCTAATTCTAGCATTCTAATACTAAGAACAAGTTAATGGGGTCGTTTTCACATTGTCATTGCATTATTTATTTATTTTTAATGAACAAACTTGATTTTCAAGAGTAGTTTTAAGTTTACAGAAGAATTGAGCGGAACAGAGTTCCCGCATACCTCCCTCTCCACCTCGCCCCACAGTTTCCACTATTGTTAACATGTTGCATTGGTGTGGTGCAGTATTACAACTGAGGAACTCATATTGAAACATTATTATTAACTCAAGTCCATAGTTTGCATTAGAGTTTACTCTTCCTGTTGCGGAATTCTATGGGTTTTGACAAATGTCATGTAACTACCATTATTATACAATACAGAATAATTCCACTGCCCTAAAAATTCCCTGTTCTCTCCGAGTTCAGCCCTCCCCTCACCAGCCCTTGGCAACCACTGAGCTTTTTACGTCTCCATAGTTTTGTTTTTCCAGAATGTCCTATAGTTGGAATCATACCATATGTAGCCTTTTCAGATTGGTTTCTTTCACTTAGTAATATGCATTTAAGGCTCCTCCATGTCTTTTCATGACGGGATAGCTCATTTCTTTTTAACACTGAATAATATTTCATTGTCTGGATGGACTAGTTTATCCATTCACCTGCTGAAGGACATCTTGGTTGTTTCTAGTTTTGGCAGTTATGAATACGGCTGCTATAAACATCAGTGTGCAGATTTTTGTGTAGATAAGTTTTCAATTCATTTGGGTAAATACCAAGGAATACGAATGCTGGATCATATGGTAAGAGTATATTTAATTTTATAAGAAAATGCCAAACTGTCTTCTAAAGTGGCTGCACCATTTTGCATTCCCAGCAGCATGAATGAGAGTTCCTGTGGCTTCATGTCCTCGCCAGCATATGGCGTTGCCAGAGTTCTGGATTTTACATTTTCTTTGGTGAAGTGTCGGTTTAGACTTTTTGGTCACTTTCTGATTAGGCTGTTGTGTTTTCTTATTGTTGAGTCTTAAAAGTTCTTTGTATAACTTGGATGCCCATTATCAGATATGTGTTTTGCAAAGATTTTCTCCCAGTCTGTGGCTTGCCTTTTCATGTTCTTAACAGTGTCTTTTGCAGAGCAGAAGTTTTTAATTTTAGTGAAGTCCAACTTCTCTTTTTTTCATGGATTGTGCTTTTGCATGGAATTTGTCATAATTGCATTTTTATATGGTTTGTTTGATTTGAAAAGAATTTTCTTCAGTGTTATTATCTGAATTTATGTTAATTTTTACAGGGTTGGAAATACATAAATATGCATGTAACTTTTTAAAGTGACAAAGTAATCTCTAATTATAAGTTAAAGTCCTTTTGTTGTTCTTATAGATTCATATTATGTTACTTTTGTTGTTATTATTATTGTGTTTGTTAGTATTAAGTAGCTATTTTGGCAGAAAGAGCAGACACACTCTTCCTTTTGCCTTTGCCATCTAATGCCTTGTGTCCTGTGAGTTAAAGAAAAATAATTTGCGTATAGAAATTATTGATTTGCATCAGTTTTCTGCTTCAGCACAGCACATTGGTTAGGGACTGGGTTAGTAGTAATATATCAATAAAGTCATAATAAAAACTGATATATTATTTTCTCAGTTTAAACCTGGATTGTATGGCCATCCTGTGTTTTGGCCTTGAACTGTTACATACTGGGCATTGTGTTTTATTATTTACAGACCTGTGTTTTTTCAAGGCCATCACAATCGCTGGTCTCAGCAAACAGAGGTTTGCACAGTGCTTCACTTAGACAGCTATGGGGCTCCTTGCCTCTTACCCAGATGTCTGCTGAGATACTATGAGATACCGTTTCCTCAAAGAACTTTTCCTGAGTAATCGTATGTAAAATTCTTCTTGTTTTCCCTCCCTCTGGCCCTTCTCTCTGCTTTTCACCTTTCTTGTCACCTGGGATGCTCAGAAACCCTATGGTTTTTCTGCCTGCCTGCCTGGTGTCTGAATCTTCTGGGAAACATCTTCTCCAAGAGGGCGGGGATCGCCTCTGCCTGGTACAGCAGGCTCGCTAGCGCTTTATAAATACTTGTGAATTAATCTGAGTCACCAGTGTGCAAGCTACTTTGTCAAATTCCTTTTCTGGACTTATGAAGCATGTGTTTGGCGCAGGCAATTTCTGTATGTTTGTTTGGAGAATATTATAGTAATAATAGTACTTAACATTTCTGTTTGATTCTACTATCCACCTTGTGCATTAGGCCTGGCAGGTGGCTCTTTGCTCATTTCATAAATTTAAAAAAATTATTAATTTTTTCTGTAGCCCAGAAGATCTTCTTTTTGGTTTGTAGTAATTTTCTAATACCATTCTGTCTCTTTTAAGTTAATGTAAATTTAAAACAGAGAAAGAAAAGAATCAAGGAAAATCAACACCCCGATTTTCAAAATATGTGATGTGCCCAAGGGGCAGAGACCAATGTTTCCATCACCAAAACAATCTGAAAATAGGGGATATCATATGACTTGGAGGTAAATTTCAAAAGCAATTGGTATAGTAAAGGTTCCAAAATGTCCATCTGGGGGAAAACAAAACAACAACAACGACAACAAAATCCCAGTCCAACTCTGTTTAAGCCAGGATTTTACAAATTTATTTGATCTGTTTTAATTAAAAAGGTATTAATGTTCCTTGGATCTAGTCTTCCAAAGAATGCTCTTTATAAAATGTTGCTTTTTGCATTGTTTGTTAATTTGTTTGGAGAGGAAACAGATAGTTTTCCAGGATGGCTGCAGTTAGAGGTGTAGGCAGTGCTCCTCTGTTATTTGAAGTGAGCAAGACTTCACTGTAACAAGTCTGGTTAAGACTCATGGCAAAGAAAAAAAAAAAAACCTCTCTCATATCACCCTAAATAAAAGCAGAGTACAGGATAGACTGTAAATCGCTAATTATTCTTATGATTTCCCCAATTCCAAGTGAATTGGAGCATATCCTAACCAGACGCAGTAATACCTGGGAATGTATTCCGGAAAACATGCAGAATGACTGGATAACAATTTCTTTCTCACACTATCTGTCATGGGCAAATATCACTTCTTCAGAGAGGCCTTCTCCCATCTCTCATCTCAAATAGCCACTTTTCCCCAAGGCACTCTCCAAGCCCTCACCTTACTGTTTTGTACTCATAGCATGTGACAATAGCTCCAGTAATTTTTAGTTACGCGCTTGCCTTTGTCTGCTTCCCTGAGCCTATCTACTCCAGGATAATTTCCTAGAGCAGTCCCGTTCACTACTTTATACTCAGCAGCTAGAAAATGACCCAAAGCATGGCAGGGCCTACAAATAACTGTGGTGCACAAACATGAACACTACGTTCTTGACTCAGGACACAGTTAAGCCACAACTTTACTACATGAATTTAAAGTCTAACGTGTCTTAACTGGGGAGAGCATGGACCGAGCATACCACGCAGATGATCAAACTGTGAAATGAGTAAGTCCTATGTCACTGACGTGAGCCTGTTGGGAATGATGTGTTTAATGCCAGTGAAAACACTTGGCAGCATAAAGTACCGCACTCGTCATCCAACAATTCTTAACAGCATAGGTATGTTTTATAATTTAAAGGATTTTGGTTTTTGAGTTTATCATCTATTACCCCAAGAACCATCACCTTAGTTAGACTTACACTGAGCTGATTAGTTTTGAATAGGTTCATTTAGAAAATTTAGATTCATTTTAATGAACTGTGAGGATGGTTGCCTGTTTCAAGTAGACTCAATGGAATTTTAAAAATCAAATGATTAGTCTCTAATCTAGGTTATCTATTTAAATGAAAGGAGTTAAGACAACAAACTTTCCAAAAATTGCTTTGATTCAATTAGTTAAAAGGAAATTAATCAGACTATTCAAATTTTTTTCTATTTTTAATCAATCGGGGATGTCAACCATCAAGAAGAAAATCCCTTCCCTCCCTCATTTATTTCAAATAGGAAACATTTGACTTGGTAGGCAGGTATGTATGTAACTTGCTTCTCTTTGTGATGGGGACTGTGTGTGAGAGCACCTCTGTCTGTGTGAGATGTGTGTTTGAGGTGGGGGTATATGTATGTGGAGCATTCTTTTTTTAAAAAAAAATGTAATTGAGATATAAGTCACACACCATACAACATACAAAATTCACCCATTTAAAGTGTTTATTTCAAAGGTTTTTAATATATCCATAGATATGTGTAACCAGCACCACCATCAATTTTAAACATTTTCATCACTTCAAGAAAAAAACCCATACTTTTTTTTTTTTTTTAAGACGGAGTCTGGCTCTGTCGCCCATGCTGGAGTGCAGTGGTGCAATCTTGGCTCACTGCAAACTCCGCCTCCCAGGTTCACGCCATTCTCCTGCCTCAGCCTCTTAAGTAGCTGGGACTACAGGCACCCACCACCACGCCCGGCTAATTGTTTGTATTTTTAGTAGAGACAGGGTTTCACCGTGTTAGCCAGGATGGTCTTGATCTCCTGACCTCGTGATCCACTGGCCTCGGCCTTCCAAAGTGCTGGAAAACCCATACATTGTAACCATAACTCCCCTATCTTCCAATCTCTATATTGCCCCCGGCCCTAAGCAAGAATGAATATACTTTGTGTCTATATAGATTTCCTGTTCTGGACAATTGATATGAATGGAATTACACAATATGTGTAATTGTAATATGTCTTGAGTAGCTGGTTTCTTTCACTTAGCTAAAGTTTTCAAGTTCATCTATGTTGACACATGTATCAGTACTTCATTCCTTTTTATGGCCAAATAATATTCTATTGTGTGGATATTCCATATTTTTTATTCATTTGTCAAATGATGACGTTTTGGACTGTGTACACTTGTTAACGTTTATGAACAATGCCACTATAAACATTTGTGTTGAACTTTACGTATAAGCATATGTTTTCGTTTCTCTTAGGTATATCTCTAGGAACAGAATTGCTGGATCATAAGGTGACTCTATGTTGAATCATTTGAGGCACTGCCCGACTGCTTTTCAAAGCAGCTGGACCATTTCCACCAGTAGTGTGTGAGAATTCTGACTTCTCATGTATTATACTTACCAGCACTTGCTATTAGTCAGCTTTTTAATTCCAGACATCCTATTGGATGGCAGTGGTATCGCATTACACTTTGATTGGATTTAATTTAATCTGATGACTAAAAAGTTCAACATCTTTACATGTGTATATTGGCCACTTATATACCTTCTTGGCAGAAATGTATATTATAATCTTCTGTCAACTTTTTAGCTGGGTTATTTATCTTCTTATTATTGAGTTGCAAGTATTCTTTATATATTCTCATACCTGTGCCTTATCTAATATATGATCAGTAAAAGCTTTCTCTCATCCTGTGGATTGTCTTTTCTCTTTCTTTTTTTTTTTTTTTTTTTTTACTTGGAGGAATAAAATATATTTTAAATGTTATGAAAATATTGTAATATTGTAAAATTATTTTCTTATTATTATACTTTAAGTTTTAGGGTACATGTGCAGTCTCTTTCTTAATGGCATTCTTTAAAGTGTGGATTTTAATTTTGATAAAGTCCAATGTATCTATATTTTCTTTTGTTTGTGATTTTAATGTCATATGTAAGAATTATTTGCCAAATACAGTTACAGAGATTTATTCCTATGTTTTTGCCTAATAATTTTATATTATTGCATTTAGACCTCTGATCCATACTGAGTTAATTTTTGTTTATGGTGTAAGTTAAGTGTCCAGTCTCATTCTTTTGCATGTGGCTGTCCAGTTGTCCCAGCCTCAGTTGTTGAAAGGACTATTCTTTCCCAATCGAATGGTCTTGGCACACTTGTTGAAGTTCAGTTGGCCATAGACATAGGTTTATTTCTGGGTTCTCAATTTGATTCCATTGATCTACACTGCTGTCCTTCTACAGTGGCCCGCTGTCTTCATCACTGTTACTTTGTAATAAGTTTTCAAACCATGAACTGTACATTCTACTTTGTTCCTGTTTTTCAAAAATATTTTGGCCATTCTAGGTTCCTTGGAATTTCTTGTAAATGTTATAATCAACTCGTTGGTTTCTGCCAAAAAGTACACTGCAATTCTGGTAAGTTTTGTGCTTCTATTGACATTTCCTCAAGCTCAGAGACTCCCTCCAGACAAGTCCAATCTGTTAACGAGCCCACCAAAGGCATTCTTTGTTTGTTGCAGTGTTTTTGATTTCTAGCATTTCTTTCTTAGATCTCTCTACTTAGATTACCTGTGTTTTTGCATGTTGTCAACATTTTCCACTAGAGCACTTAGCATATTCATCATGATTATTTTAAATTCCTGGTCTGATCATTCCAACATTCTTGCTGCATGTGACTCTGTTTTTGATGTTCACACTGTTCACTTTGTCTCTATTTTTTGCTTTTTAGTTTGCCTTGTAATTTTCTGTTGAAAACTGGACATGACATACTTAGCGAAAGGAGATGCTTTAAATCAATGTTTCGTGATGTGGAGGTGAAGTGTAGGGGGGAGAAGCGTCTCACAGTCCTTGGAGCTGGTCTTGGTGTTTGGTGACTCTGTGACCTGGACTGTGACATTCACTTGTGCTTCTCGTCCCCTCTCCTTAGGTGTGACGCAATGGCTATAGATGCCTGGAGTTGGCTATTTGCCTTCTCCCAGGTCAGCTGGGTTCTGATAAAACCCTGATAGTTTAAGTTCTGGTAAAATAGTTTCTCCCGAGGCAGTCCCTGTGAAGAAGAACAGAGTGCTCTGACATATTTCAAGAGGCTACTTTCCACTTCCCGTTGTTGGAAGCCAAGGGATTTTTCTCTGATCATCACTGTGAAGGCCTGGTAGGCTCCCGGAGATAAAGCTCACAAAAGTGTGGGGGCCCCCGTGACTGGGTCCCCCTGTGTTTTTAACTGTCAGGCTTGTCCACACTGTTGTAGAAATCTGTGAATTATGGCTCAGGTTATCCCACTCTGTACTGGTTTTCTTTAGGGTTCCGCTCACAGGTTTGTCCTCCAGTGAGCTTTAATTCTCTGTGTCCCCTTGTCTGTCTTCCCAGTTTTGGGGGCAGAAGGCTGTCCTGTGATATCAGGGAAAAAAACAAGCCACTAACTAAAATACTTGATGCAGAAAAAAAGCATGTTAGACGTTTAAGCCAAAGAGTATTACAGGAATGTAGCTGAATATTGGACTAGGTTTTACATCACCAAATACCTCAGCTTCCTTCAGCATGGATAAGTCCCTATCAAACTCTATGGAATTTTCACAAGCCGGGGAAAAAATTCGCCTGTCATTGTGTTCTTACTTCCTTGTTCTCTCTCAATCCATTCATCAACACATATTTAGGAAGAATAAGTCTCTGTCTAGACGTCTTTGTACTCCTAGGATGACTTTGGTAATGGGCCTTCCTCCTCCTCATGAATTGATAGGAAGAAACCCCGAGAAAGTCTTAATTATACCCATCAGCCTAACTGACTGTGTAGCAAAATCCCTAACCTCAGGACCACATCTCCAAAGAAAGCAGCTATTAATTAGAATCTGTTGGTGCAGACAGATAGGGAGCTACAATTCTCAGGTGTGCAACACTCCTATCGCTCTAGGTTAGTTTTCTCGTGTTTGAAAGTTATGATCTTAAGAAGAAATAGGCAAGGATTACACTTCTAGTAAATCAAATAAAAGATGAAGTCTAAATACTATTTCGTAAGAGGCTATACAGTGGTCTTAGGACATTACAAGTCAGAAGAATTTTAAATGATGTGTGCTGAAACTCTTCTTTAATAAAGAGTTTAACTAGAGATATGAAAGATGAAAACCTAAATTGTGTGGAAATGTACACACTGACCCCAATTTAAAAGGCCAGGGTTGGAAAGGCTTTGCCCTGAAAGTAATGAGCCTGCTGCACCAATAGGCCTTGAAACCTCAGAAAATAAATTAACGAAGGGAGTTTGCAGAGTGCGGAATCTGTTGAGAACTCCTTAAGAAGATTAGTATATAGTACAACCATAATTAGGGAAAAACTTCTTGGTGTTTATGTTTATTAAATTTTCTCATTAAATTAGTATTAATAAGAAGCTTTAATTTTCAGCTATTCTTAATGCTTTTTAAAATGAAAAAAATTGTAAGGTAGGTTATTTGCTTTATTTCTTGAAGATTGCATATATTTTCATTTTTAGACATTATATCTGCCATAGTTTGGACATGGTTTGTTCCCACCAATTCTCATGTTAAAATCTAATCCTCGATGGTGGCTGGCAAGATGGCCAAATAGGAACAGCTCCGGTCTGCAGCTCCCAGAGAGATCAAAGCAGAAGGCGGGTGATTTCTACATTTCCAAATGAGGCACCCAGGTCATCTCACTGGGACTGGTTAGACGGTGGGTGCAGCCCACGGAGGGTGAGTGGAAGCAGGGTGGGTGTTCCCTCACTCAGGAGGTGCACAGGGTGGGGAACTCCCTCCCCTAGCCAAGAGAAGCTGTGAGGGACTGTGCCATGAGGAATGGTGCATTCTGGCACAGACACTACACTTTTCCAATGGTCTTCTCAATCCACAGACCAGGAGATTCCCTCAGGTGCCTACACCACCAGGACCCTGGGTTTCAAGCACAAAACTGGGCAGCTGTTTGGGCAGACGCTGAGCTAGCTGCAGGAGGTTTTTTTCATACCCCAATGGCGCCTGGAACACCAGCAAGACAGAACCATTTACTCCCCTAGAAAGGAAGCTGAAGCCAGGGAGCCAAGTGATCTAGCTCAGCAGATCCTACCCCCATGGAGCCTAGCCAGCTAAGATCCACTGGCTTGAAATTCTCACTGCCAGCACAGCAGTCTGAAGTCCACCTGGGACACTCAAGCTTGATGGGGAGAAGGGTGTCCGCCATTACTGAGGTTTGAGTAGGCAGTTTTCCCCTCACAGTGTAAACAAAGCCACCAGGAAGTTCGAAGTGGGTGGAGCCACCGCAGCTCCGCAAAGCTGCTGTAGCCAGACTGCCTCTCTAGACACCTCTTCTCTGGGCAGGGCATCTCTGAAAGAAAGGCAACAGTCCCAGTCAGGGGCTTATAGATAAAACTCCCATCTTTCTTGGAAAGAGCACCTGGGGGAAGGGGCTGTTGTGGGTACAGCTTCAGTAGACTTAAATGTTCCTGCCTGCGAGTTCTGAAGAGAACAGCAGATTTTCCAGCACAGCAATTGAGCTCTGCTAAGGGATAGACTACCTTTTCAAGTGGGTCCTTGACCCCTGTGCCTCCTCACTGGGTGACACCTTCCAGCAGGGGCTGACAGACACCTTACACAGGAGAGCTCTGGCTGGCATCTGGCAGATCCCCCTCTGGGACAAAACTTCCAGAGGAAGGAACAGGCAGCAAACTTTGCTATTCTGCAGCCTGGACTAGTGATACCTAGGCAAACAGGATCTGGAGTAGACCTCCAGCAAACTCCAGCAGACCTGCAGCACAGGGGCCTGATTGTTAGAAGGAAAACTAACAAACAGGAAGGAATAGCATCAACATCAACAAAAAGGATATCCACACAAAAACCCCATCCAAAGGTCACCAACATCAAAGACAAAACGTAGATAAATCCATGAAGATGAGCAAAAATCAGTGCAAAAAGGCTGAAAATTCCAAAAACCAGAACACCTCTTCTCCTCCAAAGGACAACAACTCCTCACCAGCAAGGGAACACAACTGGACAGAGAATGAGTTTGACGAATTGACAGAAGTAGGCTTCAGAAGATGGTTAACAACAAACTCCTCCGAGCTAAAGGAGCATGTTCTAACCCAACGCAAGGAAGCTAAGAACCTTGAAAAAAGGTTAGAGGAATTGCTAACTAGAATAGCCAGTTTACAGAAGAACACAAGTGACCCAGTGGAGCTGAAGAACATAGCATGAGAACTTTGTGAAGCATACACAAGTATCAAACTGAATCAATCAAGCAGAAGAAAGGATATCTGAGATTGAAGATCAACTTAATGAAATAAAGCATGAAGACAAGATTAGAGAAAAAAGAATAATAAGGAACAAACAAAGCCTCCAAGAAATATGGGACTATGTGAAAAGACCAAACTATGTTTAATGGTTGTATGTGAAAGTGACGGGAAGAATGGAACCAAGATGGAAAACACTCTTCAGGATATTATCCAGGGGAACTTCCTCATCCTATCAAGACAGGCCAACATTCAAATTCAGTAAATATAGAGAACACCACAAAGATACTCCTCAAGAAGAGCAACCTCAAGATACATAATCATCAAGCATATTACTAAAACTCCAAAAGCCATGGCAACAAAAGCCATAATTGACAAATGGGATCTAATTAAACTAAAGAGCTTCTGCACAGCAAAAGAAACTATAATTAGAGTGAACAGGCAACCTACAGAATGGGAGAAAATTTTTGCAATCTATCCATCTGACAAAGGACTAATATCCAGAATCTACAAGGAACTTAAACAAATTTACAAGAAAAAAAAACAACCCCATCAAAAAATGGGCAAAGGATATGAAGAGACACTTCTCAAAGAAGACATTTATGTGGCCAACAAACATATGAAAAAAAGCTCATCATCACTGGTCATTAGAGAAATGCAAATTAAAACCACAATGAGATATCATCTCATGCCAGTTAAAATGGTGATCATTAAAAGTCAGGAAACAACAGATGCTGGAGAGGATGTGGAGAAATAGGAACACTTTTACACTGTTGGTGGGAGTGTAAATTAATTTAACCATTGTGGAAGACAGTGTTGCAATTCCTCAAGCATCTAGATCCAGAAATACCATTTGACCCAGGAATCCCATTACAGAGTATATACCCAAAGGATTATAAATAATTCTACTATAAAGACACATGCACATGTATGTTTATTGCAGCACTATTCACAATAGCAAAAACTTGGAACCAACCCAAATACCCCTCAATGACAGACTGGATAAAGAAAATATGACACATATACACCATCGAATACGATGCAGCCATAAAAAAGGATGAGTTTATGTCCTTTGCAGGGACATGGATGAAGCTGGAAACCATCATTCTCAGCAAACTAACACAGGAACAGAAAACCAAACATCTCATGTTCTCACTCATAAGTGGGAGTTGAACAATGAGAACACATGGACACAGGGAGAGGAACATCACATACTGGGGCCTGTTGTGGGGTGGGGGGCAAGGGGAGGGATAGCATTAGGAGAAATAACTAAAGTAGATGATGGGTTGATGGATGCAGCAAACCACCATGGCACATGTATACCTATGTAACAAACCTGCACATTCTGTACTTGTATCCCAAAACTTAAAGTATAATAATAATAAAAAAAATCTGATCCTTAATCTTGGAGGTGGTGCTTAATAGGAAGTGTTTGGATCAGGGAGGTGGATTTGTCAAAAATAGATAATAGATTTACACCTTTACTTGAGGGTGAGTGAGTCCCCCCTCCATTAGTTCCCACGAGACCTGGTTGTTAAAATGAGCCTGGTACTTCCACCTGCTTCCTCTCTTACCCTGTGATCTCTGCACACTGGCTCCCCTGCACCTCTGCCAGAACTGTAAGCCACTTGAGGTCCTCACCAGATGCCCAAACTTGAGCCTTCCATCAAGCAGAATTGCAAGCCAAATAAACCTCTTTTATTTATAAACTACCCAGCCTTAGGTATTCCTTTATAGCAACACTAAATGGACTGTGATAATACTTATTTTGGGAAAAAAATGGAATAAATGAAACACTAATACAGTCCTGCCTGGTGGGAGTACAACCACTTTGAAAAGTTGTTTAGTATTATGGACTTATATTGTTCATATCTGTCTGCCTATCCATCTATAATCTATCTATATCATAATCTACAATTTTATTCTTAGGTTTATATCCAACAGAAATACACTAAAAGACATGCAGAAGGATGTTTATTGCTCCATGATTCATAACCCCGTAACCGTAACCAGAAACAATCCAAGTGTCCATCAACACTAGAATGGGCAGGTACCTTGCTGTGTATCCATGTGCATGGCATGACGTGATTATATGACATAATGTATGACATGCCCTGATATTATGTGATATGAATGCTGTAACATGTCACACTCCAGCCCCATTTCCAGCTCCATTTACATGGGAGAATCTCAAAAACATGATGTTCAGCAACAGAAACCAGACACAAAGGAGCACACACTGTTTTACTTATATAAAGTTCAAAAATGGGCACCACGAGACTGAATTAGAAGGCAGAAAAGTGATTTCCTCTTGCAGTCACTGGGCATGGACACACAGGAATGTTGGCAATGTTAGATTTCAGGATGGCTGTTTCCAGGAGTGGTCACTTACGATTATTCATTTAACTCACCAAGCTGTATATTTATGATCTGTTCACTTCTACTTATGGCTTATGATATGCTCACTTTGGTTTAACAATGTTTAAAAAATGAATGAGAGAGTTAATGGAAAAGGTTATGATGAGACCAGGGCACAGAGGTTCAGAAGGATCCAGGTACAATGAGCCATTTAGAGAACTTTGCTTTTTGCTCCGAGAAAAATGGGAGCCACTGGAGAGCATTGACTGGAGGAGTGAAATGCTCTGATTTATATTTGCTATAATGATCATTCTGGCTGCCATGATAAAAATATACTGTGGGTTGGGATGAGAGAATAAGGTAAGGTGAAGAGTGTGTGCATTTCAAATTTTGATGCATTTTGCTAAACTGCTCTCCCTAGAATCTGCAACTTCTCCACATCATCCTCTGCACAACGGGCTCTCCAGATGTTGAATATTTGTTCATTTGATGAGGAAAAGCAATAGCTGAAGGCAATTTTAATTTACATTTCTTGCATTAGGGTGGGATTTATCTTCTTTTCACATATTTGAGAGCCATCTGCAGATCCTTCTCTATCAACTGACTGCATATCCATGCCCATTTTTTTCTATTGATTCATCAATATGTTTTCCTTACATATTTGGGCATGCCCATTGCATATTAAGGGAATTAAACATGGTCTGTGATTTTGGCTACAGCTACATTTTTTCTGGGAATAAACTTAAAAATTTCTTCCCCACTCAAAGATCATTATTAAAAATAATACCAATAATAACTTGAAAATTCAATGTTTTCTTTTAGTACTTTTGCACTTCGTTTTTTTTTTAAACTTAAATCATTGTTTTATTTATAATTTATTTTTGGTATAAGGTTTTGAGAAAACAATCTGAGTTTTTTTTCCAAGATCAGCAGAGATTTAAGGAACATAATGCATTTTGGAGATCCATTGCCTGGTTTGAATTCTAGCTCTGCCAATCTCTAGCTCTGGAACTCTAGGCAATCACTTAACGGCTCTGTGTTTCTTGCTAACTGAAAAGTGGGGATAATAATAATATCTACTTTTGAGGGTTGTTTTAATGATGAAATTAGTTCATATACATCAGTTCAGATACACCCAACAGTGCCCATGCATATAAACATTCAATGAACATTAATATTTCTATTAATTGAGTTAACGAGTTAATTGTGTTATCCATCTCTCCCCACTTAATTTGTTGTGCTATTAATAGCAAATAACAGCTTTAGATTAAGTTTTGGACTTTTTAGTCTTTTTTATTGATCATGATCACTAGTCATGAACTTGTACCACATTATTTAACTTACTGTAGCTTTAAAGTGAACTCTACGTTAATCATAACAAATAACTTCCTCACCCACTGTTTTCTTTTGCAAAATGCTCATGGAAATTGCTACTTGTCTATTTTTCCACATCCTTTAAAACAAGCCTGTTAACAAAAAACAAATCCTGATGCTATTTTATTAAATCATGTTGCTTTTGAATTAACATGGGAAAAATTGAAATGTTTCTGGTAATGATAACTTCTGGCCAAGTATGTGCTATATCTTTTAGAGTCTCTCAAGAGGGCTTTCTAGATTTTCACATATTGAAATTGTATTGGCCACCTTAATTTCATTCCTCGACATCACAGTTCCTTGTTACCAAGAGAAGCAGAGTGTGCCTCATGATGGCTGCCCAGTGCCTCTCTGGGCACTGCTCTGTGGGCCAGCCCAACCTCCCAGCCCTACCTGGCCCTCCCCAGGGCTCTGTCACCTACCTTCCTCACAGCCTGGTTTGTATAAGGAGGAGTGTCACTGACAGGTGACTGCAGGGTCCCTGTATTTCCCCTTCAGTGACCTGGTGCGAAGATTAGGGAAGTGACTGAGCACGTCTGTGACTAGAGCTCCCTGCCGGGCAGCCTTTTTCCTTGACCCAAGCTCCAAGGACATCCTCTCCTCCTGCTCCCTCGGGTCCAGGGGTGGAACAACTTCTCCTTCTTATATCTTAATGTTCCTTGTTGGTTTATTTTTACTCTCTGAATCACTCCTTCATTACATTCTCTCTGAAACCTCAGCTGATGTGTCCTCTGCTTCTTGTTAGTACCCTGAAAGTCACAGAGATTTTTTTATACATTGTCTAAACAATTGTTTGTATACATAAAGTATATTCATATCTGTAAGCTAATTTTTTATTTAGCCTCCTTGACATTTCTCATTATTTAAAACATTTGTTCTATTGGCCTCTTTAGTTTTTCTGATAAGATCATTATCAAATAAAGATAATTTTTCTTCTTTCTTTCACTTTTATCTTTTCTTGATTTATTTTTTAAGTCCCTCCCCTCAATTCCAATTAGATTGGCTAATATCTTCACATAAAATAGATTAGAAAGGATAGTGTCCATTCTTGCTTTTGATTTTACTAAAAGTGCTTCCAGTGTCTTCCCATTAGAAAGATCATGGGCATGGCAGCTTGGATCACCTAATGCGAGCCCAGATGCAGGATGCCTTTCACAGAGTGCTGCTGGGATCAACACCTAGGGAAGGAAGAGGAAGGCAGTGGTGCTGAGCCAAGAAAAACCCAAAGACCAGCGTTAGCCAACTTTATGGGGGCATTCTAGAGCGACCATGGGTCCTCGGAGTTGGTTCCCATTCTGGAGCGACCATGGGTCCTCGGAGTTGGTTCCCATTCTGGAGCAACCGTGGGTCCTCGGAGTTGGTTCCCATTCTGGAGCGACCGTGGGTCCTAGGGATTGGTTCCCACTGAGGCAAAATGGTTGGGCTTTTGCAGCAATCATTCCACGGGAGCCTCTGCAGAAGCCATGGCTGGGCGAGTGTCTCTCTTCCTCTGCAGGTGGCACTGCCTGATGGACTAAGAGCTGTCAGCCTCCCCACAGCTGGAAACAAGAGCTTCCTGGGCGAAGCTCTGAAGAGCATCCCCACACCCCACAGTCCACTCCTTGCTCTGTTTGGATCCCTTTTTCACACACATTCAGGAGTAGCTCCTCTGTAATCCTGGTGGGCCTCTTTTCCTTGGAAAGACAGGTGTCATGACAGTTAGTAAGATGGCACCAAGCACCCGCCCCTGCAGCTGGCTTTGAGGCTGCCACGGATGCTCAATATGTCCCTGCCCCACCACCTGTTCTGGATTCCCCCTCACCTGCAGCCAGCGCCCCTTCTGGTCCTAGTGACTTTCCTGGGAGAATGAGCAGATCCTCAGTCCTGAGAATATGAACACTTTGTCACTGTTCTTCTGAGCCTGGGATTGGTGTAACTGTCTATTTTACCATTGCTATCAGGCCAGGGAGAACCAGGAAGCTCCAGTATGGGTCACCTGGATTTTAACCACATCCTTTCTCACCTCAGGAGCAGCTGGATCCCCTCCTGATGATCAGGAGCAATTGCCCTGGATGGGATGGCAAATCCTCTTTTTGACTGCTCGTCCCTGGAAATGAAGAACCAGACCTAAAGTGCCCATACAGCAGCCATCACTAATATGAGTTCAGTGGAATGTTTACTCTTCCCTTCTTGGATGTGTTCTTCCTTTGAAACCCGGATCTTTATTCATGCACATCTCAGAGCTGAGAAAATAGGAACATGCCTCTCCCATGCAGGTCATTGGGCGTGATGATAAATAGGGTTGTTCCTGCTTTCAGAACCCCAGAGGCCTACTTTATGATTTTACCATGGCATTGGCATGAAATTAACATGATGTCTGCTCCCACTTCTAATATTTCTAATACTGTTTAGTCTGTTGGATCACCTGGCCCAAGTCTTGACTGCACCATAGCCTGAACTGCTGCAGTATCTTTTCATTTTGCAGCCCCACTAGAAGCAGGAATTTTTTGCATTGCCTGAAATGTGGGCTGAAGGAGTATTCTCAAGTATGGCACAAGCTGCTTCAAAAAACAACCAGGTCTGCCAGGTGGTGCGCTTTCTTATGGTGGAAAAATGAGATGCCACAACTTGTCCTTTATTTTGGATAACGTGTCCTGACCACTAGACTCCTAAAAGTTTCACTAAAGTGGCATGCTCCTGGATTTATCTAGGGCTTATCTGTCACACTCTGAAGTGTGTGTGGATTACCAAGGCATCCAACACTGTAGTCTCTTCTTGTTGGCCTGATTAACACAATGTCATAGAGAGTTGACCTTTATGATGTCCAGATGGCCCAGACTTCTTCTTTCCAGAGGGAAGAAGACATAATATTGCCCTGAGAAGAAACTGTAAATATGTGCTATTGTCAGTTTCATGTGCATGCAAACTTTCTGATTGCTATGGTTTTCACGTTTGTCCTCTCCAAAACTCATGTTGAAATTCAGTTTGCCATTGTGATGGTATGAGGAGGTTATTATGATGGCTCTGCCCTCATGGGTGGAATTGGTGCTGTTCTAAAAGGGCAAGTCTGGCCACCACTTGCTCTCTCTTACCCTCTTGTCTTCCTCCTGGTGATAATGCAGCAAGAAGGTCCTCACAAGATGCCGACCCCTCAACCTTTGACTTCTCAGTCTCCAGAACTGTGAGCCAATAAAATTCTGTTCATTATAAATTATCTAGTCTCAAATACTCTGTTAAAGTAACATAAAATGGACTAAGACACTGATCTAGTTTTCTGATCAAGATGGGAATGCATTGCTAGATGGATGGTCTTTTATGATGCACCTGCAGCCATGTTAACCTGCTTGGGTATGGGCAGGGTGCAGCACTTGGGGTCATACTGCATTGAGCTTGCAAGGGACTACTGTTGTCTTTCCAAAATAATCTGATTTTTCCTTAGGCCCAGAAAAGTAAAGTAAATACAGACAAAGTGGGATCACTACCCTGGCATACTTTAACTCCTTAAGTGTGCTTGTAATTCCTGCCATCCTTGGGTGATATATATATATATATATATATATATATATATATATATATATATTCCAATTATATAATTTTGTATCTTGTCTGAGATGAGGGTGGAATATAGTTTTACAGTCTCCCATTTGGCTTTTCTGCTATTATATCTCTGATCATACATGCAAAAGACCCAATGTGGGGTTTGCACCAGTGGCCTAGTATGTCTTTCCCAAATACGTACTAGGCACTTGGCAGGTCTGTAGAATCAATGAATCTATTTCAAGCAGGACATCAGCCAAAATTCTATTTATCACTGATCCCATAAATTCAAACTCTAACAGAGGAGTGAAAATGACTCTGCAGGGCTCCAGGTTTTGTTGTCAACTCTAAATCTCTGTCCAACAATCCTAAAAACACTTGGATATTTTCCTTTCCTTCGTGTACAGTGACCCAAGAAATTACATATATTTTGTGGAAGGGCTGGGGAAATCATTGCCATGCATACTTTCCATGGTGCTTCACGGTCCTTCCACCTGGGAACATGGCCTCTTCTTCCATCAGTAGGTCTTAGGTCCAAACATGGCTCAAATTCAAAACTGCACCAGGAATATACTGCTCTCAGCCTCTTGATCATCCATCCTTGATTTTTTCTGATGATGTGAGCAGTGCCCTGATTGGCTGCCTGTCCATTTTGCCCCCAGGGTGCTGTGTTCTACAAATCCTCTTCATACTTCTGAAGGTCAGGCCCTGCTGGCTGCCACTCCAACCTTGCCAGTCATAATGACAATTGCATCCACCTGGCTTCTCATCTTGAAGTACTGCCACCTGGTCTGTATTTCTGCAGAGTTCTGTCATCCTGTATTTATAGCGAGCCTAATTCTATAAAGATGTCTCCCATCATTGGCCCTGCCTCTACAGGACAGCAAATGCCAACAGTCTTTGGGAGACTGGTCCTTCTTTTCTTGTGCACTCCTTCTTCTAGGAAATAGAGAGTCAGCCCCAAACCCCCTGTCTCTGTGAACCTTCCAGTGGGTTTGCTGGCCTGACATAGTGCAACCATCCCAGCATGCCCACCTCCCTGAGTCTCCCCACACCCCCTTCCACTGTCTGCCATGCAATCCTGGCATTCCAGCTCACTTAGTATGGACCATTGAGTTTTTCCATTCTTCAGGAAGCATCATGGTGGCAATTTTACCCATCTCCAAAGGCTTTGTCAGGATGCTAAATCCTGTAACTCCAAATTGCTTCCAAAGCAATAAACTCTCCTTTTTGTGCAGAGCCCTTTGCTGAAAAATTCTCAAAATCCAATCCTGTATGTACTTCTCTGGCTCTGCCAGTGCACATTGGCTGGATCTTGTGACTATTTATCAGACCCAGGTCATCCCAGCTGTGACATAAGCTTAATTATGGTCTAAGAGCTAGGAGAGATGTCTTATGGGGGGCAGCCTCTGCATTTTAAGTAAGAGAGAGTGCTTGCTCTTAACAGGGAGGGGTATAACAATTCTGGAAAACAAGACATGTGGGAACATGGAACTTCAAGATTTTGAGACACGCCAATCAAAATGTCTCCATCCCATGAATCATGGTTCTATTCTTTAGTAAACAGAATTGTGCATTGCAGAGCTGCCTTGGTGAGAAGCTTGACCTTCTTCTGGGTTTGGCTACTTGGAAGATTAAGTCTAGTGCCTGTTGGCAGGCAGAATAATACCTCCTTCTCCCCACACAGAGATCCATGTCCTGATCCAGAAGCTGTGAATATGTTGGGTTCCATGCTAAAGAGAAATTAAGGCTACAGTGGAATCAAGGTTTTTAACCAGCTGACCTTAAAGTGAGGAGATTATCTTGAATTTTTTGGTCCTCCTGATATACTTGCAGGGTCCTTACAATTGGAAGATGGAGGCAGAAGAGGAAAGTCAGAGAGAGATGTAACTATGGAAGGTTGATCAGAGATACAATGCCGCCGGCTTTGAAGGAGGAGTAAATGGGCAAGGAGACCCAGAATGTGGGTGGCCTCTAGAATAAGGCCTCTGGACAAGGTAAGGGACCTGATTTCTCCACCAGAGCCCTTAGAAGGAACAAAGCATGATAGTTTTCACTCAGTGAGGCCCATTTTGTAGTTCTGACCACCAGATCCATAAGATAATAATCTGTATTGTTTAAGCCAGCAAGCCTGTGTGTATTTGTTACAGCATCCATAGAAAACTAATACAGTCTCTATCTCAGCTTTCTCAGCCTTCTCCTATGGAGCAGAAGAGTTTCTCTGTATGATTCCCTCTGTGTTTCATCACTGGCTCTTAGCTTCCTGTCGATGGATCTCAGTATCTGTTTACCTAATGCCTTCACTGGCTTAAACAGTGATTCCCAAGTCCATTGTCCTGGTTGTTACATTTCTCACTTATTTGTAAAATGCCTGAAACCTGCCACTGGCTACTGGACCATTTCAGGGGTACCCATCCCAATTCACCATCAGGGAGAGTTACAGCAACTGGGCTTCGACCTTACTCTTGGAGGTTGTCTTTAATCCACCCATAACCAGTGATGGAGTCCTCATTACCAGCCATACAAAGATAATTCCGCTCCTGGACTCCCTCTAAACTTGTCTGTTCTTTGTAATCATTTCTGGAATCAAAGTGCACAGGTCGGGTTCCCGGGTAAGCAGCCTGCGAGATGGAGTTCCACAGGCATGAAGGCTTACAGAGTAACCTTGGGAGGGATGCCAGAAGGAAAGGGAAGGAACAAGGACTAGCCAAGGCCAAAGTCAATTCGCAATTCAGCCTGAACAGCCTCAGCCAACACCATGGCGGTCGGCAGGGCGGAGGCCATGAAGTTGACCCGTGTTGGTCTGGAAAAGCCTTTGTGGTCCTGTATTACCACCTGAACTAGCTATGGATTAGGTCTCCTCTTCTCCTACCTTCCCAAGGGAGTGACCTAGGCCAGCGTGGCTCTCTGCCACACAGGAAACCTCTGAGAGGTCCTGGCCAGCAATGGGTATCTGCCCACAGCTCAGTCGGGGGACAGAAGAGGCGCCTCTCTGTGTCCATCGTGCGGCATCTAAGACTGAATGTTTTATCATTATAAGGAATTTTTCATCTACAAAGATGGGGTTATACAAAGGTCTTTTTATCAACCTTATCAGCAAAATCTAGACTTCTGAATACAGTGGGAGAATATGTTCAAAATGCTGGGAAGAATTACTATTGACTTTAAATTTTCATCATTCGGAAGTAAAAATGCATTAAAGATTTTTTTTAGATAAATATTAACAGAAGTTGCTTCTCAAGGATATATTTTGAAAAGAAGAAAATTTTAAGTCCTTGAGGAAAGAGTAGGGGGAAAGGAGCAGTGATGAACAAACAAATTACTAAACAATGAATTTTTTATTGTATAAGTTTTAGGAGTAAAAGTTGATGTTTTGATATACATATCTATGGTGCAATGCTTATTATGAATAGGCAATTTAACATATCCGTCATCTTCAATAGTTACCTTTTCAATGTTTTTGTGGTGAGAGCACCTAAAATTTACTCTCTCAGCAAATTTTCAATATGCAATACAATATTAACTATAGTCCCCCTGCTGGACTTTCTGTAGACTCATACAGCCTGTATGACTGACTGCAAGTTTACACCCTTCCTCCACCTTCGCATTTCCTCTCCCTCCCTACCCTGCTGACCCCTGTTCTACTCTCTGTTCCTATGCATTCAACTATTTTTTCCCTTTGAAATTCCATATATAAACGAGAGCGTGAGGTACTTGTCTTTCTGTGCCTGGCTTACTTCACTGAGCACGATGTTCTCCAGGTCTATCCATGTTGTCACAAATGGCAGCACAGCAGCTTCTCCTCTTTTGTGTAAGGCTGAATAATGTCTTTGTGTGTGTGTGTGTGTGTGTGTGTGTGTGGTGTACACACATATTTGACATTTTCTTGTTTATTCTACAATGGACACAGATTGTTTTTATATCTTAGCTATTGTGAATAATGATGCAATCAACAATGGGAGTGCGGACATTTCTTTGGGACATTAATTTCTTTTCCTTTGGATATGTATACTCAGTAGTGGAACCGTTGGGTTATATGGTAGCTCTGTTTTTTAAATTTTTTGAGGAAGCTCCACACCGGTTCCATAATGGCTGTTTCAATTTACATTGCCACCAACACTATACAATGTATAAGAGTTCCCTGTTCTCCACACCTTCAGCAGTACTTGTTATCACTTGTCTTTTTTAATAACCATCCTGAATATATGAGATATACAATGAGGTATATCTCATTGTAATTTTGGCTTGCATTTCTCTGATAATTAGTATTTTGAGCACCTTTTCATATATATGTTGGCCATTTGCATGTCTTCTTTTGAGAGATATCTGTTTAGATACTTTGTACATTTTAAAAATCAGGTTGTTTTGTGTGATGCTGCTGTTGCTATTGAGTGGCATGAGTTCTTTATATATTTTGGATATTAACTCCTTATCAGATATATGATTTTCTAATATTTTCTCCCAATATGTAGGTTGCCTTTTTGTTTTGTTGTCTGTTTAATTTGTTGTGCAGAGGTTTTTTTAGCTTTATGTGGTCCCATTTGTTTATTTTTGCTTTTGTTGCCTGAGTTTTTGGTGTGATATTCAAACAGTCATTGCCAAGGTCAATATTAAGAAGCTTTTCCTGTCTTTTTTTTCTAGTATTTTCACAGTTTCAGATGTTATGCTTGTTAATCCATTTTGAGTCGATTTTTGTGTATGGTGTAAAATAAGGGTCCAATTTCATTATTTTGCTAAATAATGAGTTAGTCTAAAACAGAAGACAAATATTTGAAAGTTCAAAAACACTTTCAGAAAGTGCTGAAAATTTTTAAAAATGAAAGGAGCGGTAAACAGGTTTAGAACAAAATAGCTCAAAAGTAACTCTTTTCCTTGAGAAGGAGACTGAGATATTTACTATGTTTTGACTCTGTTAACTATGTAATAAATATTTAAGGAAAATAACTAAAAAGTATAGAAGTAGAATGTTTAGTAAACCCATAAAATTTTAAAAGCAGAAATAAAAATAGAACAATATCTGTCTATATAGCAGAAACTAAGGAGAAAAGTAAATAAAAAAGAATAATTAGAAAATAAAATGGTAAAAATAGACCAAAGTATATTAAATATCAAGATAAATGTATTTTAAATTTTTCTGTTAATCAAAATAGATTTTAAGAAATTTATTTTTAGCATTCTCTTTTCTTCACATCTTCTATATTTAAATAGAAGTGTCCATCTAATACATTTTGGTCTCTATTTCTTGAAGCACATAAAAACCTACTTTCTCCAAGTGGCATTCCAACCTTTGAATTTGATCCCTTCCCCTTTCCCTATCACTTTTTTAACCTCATATGTATCTATCTGAAAAATAAGACTTTTTGACAATTGCATTCTTTCAACATACCATACAATATTAGTATCTAATAACTTGACATTCTATATTTAAAGAGTTTGAAGATAAATTTAAAAAATATTTGCTATATGTGTTTTATAAGAGACACACCTAGAACTTTTAACAGAAATGTTAAAATGTTAAAAGTAACAGAAAGTATTAAAGATAGAAAAAGGTATGCCAAGCAAATATAAACAAGGAAAACAAGTGCAGTAATATCAGAGAAAAGTAGAACTCATGACACCAGTCCAGCTCCATTAAGTATGAAAATAGCTGTAAAAAGTCATGAAAAGCTTAAACTTACATGTTCCTAACGATATAAACTCAAAAATTCTTTTTAAGAAATCAGACAAATACGTAGGTGAAGTGGAAAACATTTAGAACCTTAGCTAGATATTTTGATTACATTATTCTTAGAAAAGAAATAGATCTAGCAAACTGGGAAAAACCCATTTTGTGCAAATTTAATAAGCTAATGTGACGTTGGCCTCATGGATGTACTGAATGCTAAAAGAACACGCATCCATTCTAAGGATGCAAGAAACAGTCTTCTAAAAATATTTAACCACAAAGGAAGTTTGAACAAATACCCAAGAAATTAGTATTATTGACCACGTATGTGCACTAAAATCTAATGAAATTGGAGATCAATTGCAAAAAAAGTAGTTAAAACTCTTCCTGTGCATTTGTAAATTTTAAAACACATGTAAAAGCATTTATAAATCATATAAAAATTATAATAAAAATGAGAAAAAATGTGAACAACAGACACACTCCATCGTGTGTGTAGTGTATAGATGAGGGGCACCTCTCATTATAGCAGCAGCCTTCTAAAATGACCCCCAGCCACAATCTTAATTATCGCAAGCCCAAACATAAAAGTGATTTTACTCTGGTTTGTATGGTTGTATTTGAGGAACTCTTTGCACTCTCCTCCTTCACTTCCTCCGATACCCCTACAATCTCACTGACCCACCTGGAATCCCTCAAAGTGGTCACTTTCTTCCCTATCTTCCCTTCAGCAATGCTCTCCTCTTCTCCCTGCTACAGAGGCAACCTTTAGCTTCAGCCTGGACTCCACTTCCGTCCTCTGGGAACCCTTCTCTGACCTCTTTCAAGAGTCAGAGGTCCCTCAACTCTACAAACCCTGCCCCTCATTTACTGGCCCATTTGCAACACCTCCACAGTGCCTGGCACACACATTGGGCATCAAATTCATGTTTGCTGAGTGAGCATGTGAATCTGAAAAGAGGTGTTGGATCTAGAATGCAACTATGAACCTTAGAGGCCCCCCTAATCACTTCAGCAGCCTGATTGTAGCCTGCAAGGATGCAGCGTAGCAGTGAACAGGCAGACAGCTCCCCAGGCCAGCTTCAGGGCTCTGAGTTTTACCTGAGAATGCTTCGCTGGACCTTGCATATGACAAGGACGGTCACTGTACGACCCTCACAGGCCTCAGGCCCTGGAATAGAGGGGCGGCCCAAACCACCTTGCTGCTGAAACCCCTCCCTGGATGCCAGATGCAAGGAGAGGTCAGTGAGGGCTCTGCAGAGCTTCACATTCCCTTCTGTCCATTAGACGCCACTGGAACCCACAGTGATTATCAAAGGTAACGTGAGCCCTTTGGGTTTGATTCAAGGCAGGCTTGTGCTTGGTCCAAAGGGTCTGGAAAACCAGCTCACAGGGCTTCAAGATGACTACCTTATTCTGTTTGACAATTTCCATTTCATTGGCTGAAGAAGGGAGATTCTAAGCAAGATGACCAGGAGAAAGACTCTAAAATATACTGCATCACATAGCACTCCCGAAGATGTCTGTCCTACTAAGGACCTAGTGGCAGAGGACCGGGCAGGCTGGTCCGCTGTCTGCACAGGCCCAGTGATTTCCTTTGACATCGGAAAATGAGACACACGGATGGCTGGTGGGAGCACTGAGGGCTTCAGGGTGGCTCTAGCCAGGAGAGCAGACCAGGCTGGGTGTGGCGAGGACCCGCAGGCCCCCATCTTCTCGGTCAGGCCATCCCCGCACAGTGCCACTCACCATAGCAAAGAGCTACAAGGCGACAACAGTAGTTAGTCACTGTCATCCTCGCTAGACTATTTGTGGGGGAGGGCAGAGGCAACAGAAGTGGCCAGTTGGGCACCACCTTGATGATTTTAGAGCACTCCTTTTCTTCACACAATAGCACTTCCTGATCATTATTTCCTTTTAATTCACATTTGAAATCCTTACACTTCAGTGTTCATATTTAAAACATAGCTGGGGAAACTTGAAACTTTATTATTTCCAGTAATGTGTTAGCTCAATGCAGGACTTTTGTGTTTTAATGTTCTTTGTTGAGATTCTTATATTTTATTCTCTTTCCCTTTCTTAAAATGGTTGGTGCTACTGTTTTCTTTGAAGGTTCTTATATTTTGGGGCCATTGTTACTTTTCTGTTCCCCAACTCATCTTTCATTAAATCAAATAAATTCTCTAGTTGATTCAAATAATAATATCAAGTATTTATTGAAAACCAATATGTGCTAAGTGCCTCATATAATAATTTGTTTATTGATCAGATTACTTCTAAAATATGCAATATTCTTATTTCTCTCAGATGCATATGTGCTAATGGTTATTTTTGTTCTGTCTTTTTTATGCCTTTTCTAAGTTAGGTTACTAATATGATTCTTTTGCTCTTTAGATACACCGGCCAACTGAAGGCTCTTTATGTAATTCTTTAAGAAATTACAAATTGTAGGCTTTCAATAAATATTTGTTGGATTTAATTTTGGCACACAAAGTTCATAAGAGAAAACTGATACTTCAGATTTACAAGCAAACTTAGGAACCATGTAAAATGGGCTTTTTATTTATTTAAGAGGAAATACTGACCTGGGGGGTAAGGAGAAAGGACAGACGGTGGTTCCTGGCCTTCACATCGAGTCATTGGCAGCCTCTATGGGTTAAATTGTGGTCCCCTCCACCAAGAAAAAGATGTGTAAAACTCCTAACCCGCAGTGCCTGAGGAGAGCACCTTACTTGGAAATAGAGTGGTCGTGGATGTAATTAGTTAAGATGAGGTCATACTGGACTGGGATGGGCCCCTACTTTGGTGTGACTGATGTTCTTTAAGGAGAGGAGAGAGACACATGGGCAGACGCACAGGTGACAGTGGAGACGAGATAGGAATGATGATACAGCTAAAGAATGCCAAGGATTATCATTTGCCACCAAAAGCTGCAGGAGGCAAAGCAGGATCCTCCCCTACAGATTTCAGAGGAAGCAGGCTCTGCAGGTAACTGGGTGATTGACTTCCCAGCCTCCAGAACCAGGAAACAGTGGATTTCTGTTGTTTTAAGTCACCTAGTTCATGGTACTTTGTCATGGCCGCCCTAGGAATCTAATATGAGTACTCCAGGGTGCAGCTTATTAAATCTGAGGGCCACAGCTGGTCCTGGGAGAAATCGTGAGGTATATGCCTCTTAATCTTTGAAAAAGTGAGCCTGGCTACTCTGTTCTACTCTCTATACTTCCTTTTGTTTTTATTTTATTTTATTTTATTTTATTTTATTTTATTTTATTTTATTTTATTTTATTTTATTTATTTATTTATTGAGACAGAGTCTTGCT